>NC_000012.12:124381145-124682768 GCF_000001405.40 Homo sapiens | reverse complement strand
AGCAAGGAAGTTTGCTCAGGGTGCACTTGCTGGGCATTTATTAATTTCACTGAGAAGACGGTGCTTCTGTTCATGCGGCCAGTGCAGGAGCTGGGCCCACCTGTCACTTGGCCACAGCTGGGGAGCACAGGCCCGGAGCAGGGTTTGGAGATGAGAAGTGGGCTGAGCCCCAGTGCTGGGCTCAGGGTACCGAATGTTAGAAGGCAAGCCCTCTCAGGGTGCCAGTGCAGAGGGGCACCTGGGATGCCTGACATGCCTCACCCAGTGCCAGACCTGCTGAGGGCACTCACGGTTCAACCCGGGAGGCCCAGGAGCAGCTCAGGCCTGGTGGGAGATGAGGGGTAGAGATGACCTCCCTGAGCCAGCCTGAGGCCAGCTATGTTCATGAAGCTTCCAGCGTGCTGTTTCCCAGGAGGGCAGCTCTGGGAGCCTGAGAAGGCAGGGAAGCTGGAGCTGCCCCTCCCCCAGCCCTGTCCTTCCCAAAAGCACAAGCACGTATGTCGCAGTTCACCCATGTGTGGTGTGTGTTGGGACTACTCACAGGTCACAGGTGGGGTTGTGTTTCCCGAAAACACATGTCCGGGTCCTAACCCCTGGCAGCTGTGGATGTGACTTTATTTGGAAATAGGATCTTTGCAGATGTGATCAAGCTGAGATGAGGTCATCAGGGTGGACTCGCGTCCAAGATGACTGAAGCCCTCACAGGAAAAGGGGAGATACGCACAAACAACGTGGAGGCAGAGGAAAGGCTGGAGTGACCGATCTGCAAAGCCAGGAAGGCCAAGGGTCGCAAGAGCCACCAGGAGCTGGAAGAGGCAGGGAAGAATCCTGCCCCAGGGGCTTTGGAGGGAGCAGGGCCCTGCTGGCACCTGGATTGCAGGCTTCTGGCCTCCAGACCTGTGGTTTTAAGCCACCCGCTTCGTGGTACCTTGTTACAACAGCCTGAGAAGCAAACGCGCTGCATTTAGTGGGTGACGTTCCCTGGGGGTCTGGTTAGGATGCAGGTTCTGATTTCATAGGTCTGGGGTGGGACCCAAGACCTGGCTCCCATGCCCGGCGGATGCTGCTGGCCTGGGGGCTACGCTTTGAGTAGCAAAGCTTTGAAGGACGACTGGCAGCGGCCAGGCCAGCCCCCACCCCCACTTCTATGGGGCTCACAGACTGTCATAGTGTTCATTCATCCCTCAGGGGAAATGACTCAATCCGGGTCAGGGGTAGATCCCGGTTAGTCTAGCCAGGGGTCAGCAAACTCTTTCTCTGTAAAGGGTTGAGTCACTCTTCTAGGCTTCTTGGGCGTCTCTGCGGTAACTCCTCAGTTCTGCTTTTGTCACACAAAAGCAACCACAGACGATATTAAAAAAAAGGGTGTGCAGCTTGGGAGGCTGAGGCAGGAGGATCGCTTGAGCCCAGGAGTTCAAGACCAGCCTTGGTAACATAGCAAGATCCTCATCTCTACAAAAAAATTAAAAATTAGCTGGGCATGGTTGTTTGTGCCTGTAATCCCAGCCACTCAGGACGCTGAGGCAGGAGAATCGCTTGAACATACGAGGCAGAGGTTGCAGTGAGCCAAGATCACGCCACTGCCCTCCAGCCTGGCAAAAGAGCGAGACTCAATCTCAAAAAAAAAAAAAAAAAAAAAAAGGATGTGGCTGGGCACCAATCAATCTTTATTTACAAAAACAAACAGGCTTGGGGCCCGTGAACCACCGTTTGCTGACCCTGGGCTAAGCGTCATGGCCACCCCATCCCCCTTCCTAGATATTCACGTGGCCTAACCCTAGCCACTGTGGCGTGGAGGGGACTGTGCTGGGGGATTTACAGGGAATGCTTACCTGCTCTTACCTATTTATTTATTTTTTTCTAAGATAGGGTCTCCCCAGTAGCTGGGACTACAGGTATGTGGCACCATTCCTGGCTAATTTTTGTATCGCTTTTGGTAGAGAGGGGTTTCGCCATGTTGCCCAGATTGATCTTGAACTTCTGGGTTCAAGCGATCCATCCTTCTTGGCCTCCCAAAGTGCTGGGATTACAGGTCTGAGCCACCATGCCCAGCCTACCTGCTTTTAAAAAAGAGAGAACCAGGCAGGGTGCGGGGGCTCACGCCTGTAATCCCAGCACTTTGGGAGGTTGAGCTGAGCGCATTGCCTGAGGTCAGAAGTTCGAGTCCAGTCTGGGCAACATGGTGAAACCCCCCCCTCTACTAAAAATATAAAAATTAGCTGGGCGTGGTGGTGCACACCTGTAATCCCAGCTACTCAGGAGGCTGAGGCAGGAGAAGGCAGGGAGGCTGAGGAGGTGGAGGTTGCCGTGAGCCGAGATTGAGCCACTGCCCTCCAGCCTGGGCGACAGAGCAAGACTCTGTCTCAAAAACAAAACAAAACAAAACAAAACAGACAAACAAACAAAAAACAAAAAGGGGGGAAGAGATGGCTGCCTTATCTTTGACTGCACTCTGTCTTGTTGGGATGTGATGACCAGATCTGCTGCAGCCATCTTGAGGCCATGAAGGGAGTCCCAACACTGAGGGGTGGCAGAAGAGAGAGGAGGAAGCGCCTGGTGCAGATGCCACCAATGAGCTGCTGAGTCACCCAGCCCTGCAGCTCCTTTGCTCCGGGACCTCCTCTCATGGGGAGAATCCATGTTCATCATGAAAGCAGTTGGAATTGGGATTTTTCTCTAACTTGCTACCCCAGGCATCCTGAATGCTACAACCTGCTCCGGGTGCCCCAGGCCCTGGAGCCGCTCATGGCCTCCTGTGCAAGTCAGCACCCTCTCCTCCGGGCCCTGCACGCAGCCACCACGCCGCAAGGGCAGTGAAAAGCTGACCTGGAGCCTAGACATTTGGATCCCTGCCCCAAGCCCTGTCGCTTTGGCCAAACCACTGGCCTTCCACATGTAAAACAAGGGCAACTCCACTGGTCAGATGGGTTTGTTGTGGAGTTGAAGTTTGTAGGCAATAAACCCTAAAATAGCAACCTGCAACCCGGGCAGTGTGAGGAGTACTGTCAGGATTCCACCCCCACACGCTCCGGGCCTCTCAATGACGCTTCTGTGTCCCTTCTCTCCAGTTTGCTCCTAACTGCCTGCACTTTCACCTCGCTTCTGGGCACTGCTCCCGGGCTCTGGCGGTGCTTTGGCCCCATGTCCAGGGAGCCTGACCCGCCTGGTGGCTGTGATTCCCTGGGACAGCCCCTGGGTGACCACTGTGAGTCTGAGCTCTTGCCTTGGGGCAGGACGAACTGGGTGCTCCTCAGACCCAGATCCGGCTGAGGCTGGGATATTGGCTCGAGTGACACCTGGGCTTGGCTTCCTTCCCTGCCCTGTCCTGTCTCCCCTGTGCAGCCTCCCCTGAAGCGCGGGTCTACAAACCTCATCCCAGGACCCGTTTCTAGGAGACAGTGAGGCTAAGACCCAGTGCCTGCCCGATGCATTAACAGATGGAATCCTCCTGAGGACCCTAGGAAGCAGGTACTCTTATCCCATTTTGCCCAAGGGGACACCCAAGCCCAGAGAGGCTGGGTAACTTGTCCAGGGTCACACAGCTTGTCTTGCTTCTGAGGTCATGTCTTTGCCATTGCACTGTACTCTGCAATGGAGCTCTTGGGTCAGAAACCCCAGCTTGGAACCCCATCTTTGCTCTTGCCTAGTCCTGTGACCCTGGGCAAGCAATGCTGCCTCTGTGGGCCTCAGTCTTTTCACCTATTATGAGTTAAGCCACCAATACTTGTAAGGGGCTAAGTGCTCAATGCATGTCAGCTGGCATTTGTCATTATTAAGAGAGGGGCGTCTTTGAGCTGGCTTTGCCCTGCTGGGCTGCAGACGGGCGGGCAGCCCTTGGGACCCCCAGATGACCCCAGGGGAGGGAGGAAGAGGAGGGAGAGGTGGCTGGCTGAGCCCCAGCCCACTCCGTGCCCGGGAAAGGCAGGATGTGGCCCACGCAGAGTGAGGGCAGCCGGCACCGTCGCCATGGCAGCAGCCTCCAGCGGGCTTCCCAGCTGTCCAAGGAGCCTGTGGGGCCTCCACCGTCCTGGCCCAGGGCAGCAGAAGTGGCCGCAGGGCCTTGTGCCCTTGGGCGGTCCCCTAATTTATAGCCGGGAGCATTTTCTGGTTCAAAGCACATAGCATTCAGTTATGCTCTCTGAGGGTGGCCGTGCAGGGAGGCCTCAAGGCCACCCCCGGGGGCCTGATTAGCATCAAGAGACTCCCACAGTCTGAACTGGGAGTCCTCGAGGTCAGCCCCCTCCCACCAGGAAAGCCCCTGCCCTCTTGTCTAAGCCATTTGTCTGTCTAGGAGGCAGGGGCGGGGTGACAGGCTTGAATCCAGCCCAGGCACTTTCTAGCTGGGTGGCCTTGAGCAAGTTACTTCATTTATCTGGGCCTCAGTGTCATCATCTGAACAGTAATAATAACAAAACAGCTTTGGGAGGCTGAGGCAGGAGGATTGCTTGAGGCCAGGAGTTTGAGACCAGCCTGGGCAACACAGCAAGACCTGGTCTCTACAAATTATAAAAACGTTAGCCGGGCGTGGTGGTGTGTGCCTGTAGTCCCAGGTACTTGGGAGACTGAGGTGGGAGGATCGCTTGAGCCCAGAAGGTCAAGACTGCAGTGCGGTGATCATGGCGCTGTACTCCAGCCTGGGCCACAGAGTGAGACCCTGTCTCTTAAATAAGTACAATGGGCTCACAAGGACCTGCACATAGGTTGCTGTGAAGATCAAGCATCTGTCAGGGGATGTGCCCAGATGATAGCTTGGACTGAACAAGTACTTCACGCAGGCCAGGTGCTGTTTTAAGCCCCTTGGGAATAAGCACTAGGCTCCTCCCATCTATACTGCGGTTCCGTCGCTTTTGCTCCTGTTTTACAGATAAGGAAATGGAGGCACCAGAGGTTATGTACCTGCCTGAGCAAGGCCTCTGCTTCCCCTAGTTCTTTTGTATTTCATTTTACAGGGGCCCTCAGATAACATTCAGGTCCCCTGAGCATGCACTGGGCGCCTACTGAATGCAGGCATGGTCCTGGCCCCCGGGGTGAGTGGAGGCGAATCAGACGTAGCTGGGGCCGCGGGGCAGAAGGAAGCACGGAGACACCCCTGAGACCTCCAGGTCTCCTCTTCCGCTAGGGTGTCCTGGTTCTGACTTACAGGGGGCTTGAGCGCAACCCCCAGCCTTTTTCTCTCTGAAGAGAGGAGCAAAGACCGTGGAACCTGCAGGGACGGCAAACTGGGCGCTTCCAGTTCCAGCTGTATATTTCCCCCCTGTTGGATTTCCTTTGGGTAAATACGGAGTCAAATCAAACTTTGAACTTCCAACTCCCTGCCAGACTGTTTCTTACTACCCCTATCCCTTGCTCCCCACCTCACCCAGATCTCTCCTCCCTGCCTCTGTCCCGAGGTGGCGGAGAGGCTGGGGGAAGCCCCAGCGTGGGAATCCTCAGAGCGGTAGGAGGGAGAGAGGCTCAGCGTCAAGGGCTGACCCCGGGGTCTCTGCTGGCCTCTGCTGTGGTGTGGCCAGTGTCATGCGCCCTGGGGATTCCGGTGCCTGGGGAGCAGGGGCTTGGGGACATGTCCCGCCAAAGGTGAGGACCTTGGCAGCTGCATTCAGACAGGGCTACCCCTGACACACAGGTGAGCATGCGCACATACACACATGCACACACATGCCCCCACACACATGCCCGCACACACACGCCTGCACACACATGCCCACACACACACACACACGCACACACATGCCCGCACACACACACGGACACACATGCCCCCCCACACATGCTCGCGCGCGCACACACACATGCCCGCACACACACGCACATACATGCCCGCACATACACACACGGACACACATGACCGCACACAAATGCCCGCGCACGCACGCACACACACACACACACGAACACACATGCCGGCACACACGCACATGCCCGCACGCACACATATGCCCGCGCGTGCACGCGCACACACATACACACATGCCCAGGCACACACATACACACACATGCCCGGACACACACACACACGCACACACACATGCCCGCAAACACACACGCACATACATGCCCGCGCACACACACGCACACACATGCCCGCACACACACGCAAGCGCACACACAGATTTAGTTCCCAGCTACTGTGGCCACACTGTATGACCTCAAGCAAGGTGCCGCTCTTCTCTGAGCCTCGGTTTCCTTGTTGTGAAATGGGTCTGTGCTGACAGCCCCCCGTGTTTTGAAGACCTTGGGAAATAGCGGAGAGAAAATGCTTTCTGAGCCATACTGATGTCCTTGTGACTCAGCTCTGCTCTGCCTTCCAGCTTACCCGTGTGCAGTGGCTGGAAGACGTGCGTGGAACCTTCTTCCTCTTTCTTGTTTCCTTTCCTTTTCTTCCTCCCTCCCTCCTTCTTTCCTTCACTCTCTTCCCTCCTTTTACAGAAGGGAAATTTTTAAGTTCAGAGCCTTTTTCCCCCGCCTCCTGGCACGGCGGATTGGTGGGGGTTCCGCCCCCATCGTGGGACCCTGGGGGTTGACAGCTCTGCCATCCGGAGCCGCAGGCGGAGCGAGGAGGGAACATTATTCTCTGTAATGTCAGGCCCTCCTCAGCACTTTCATGTTCAAAGTGCTTCCTCGGTGCTAAATAATTAATTCTCTCCACGCTCCCTCGTGAGGGAATAAATAAATGTCACTGGTATGGGGTGACTAAGCCCGCCGGGAATCAAGGCTGACAGCTTCAGGCGCCAGCAGAGGGTCGGCCGGGGACATTGCCTTCAGAGGCCACTGCTCAGTTGGAGCTGACAGGGAGCCCAGCCATCCGTGGCCTGGTGGGGACACGGCGGTGGTGCCCGTGTGGGCTGAGAGAGCCTGTCTCCCTGGCCTGCCCTCGGATGGATCGGGAGCACCCGACCAGCGGCAGGCTCCAGGCCTTGCTTTCTCATCCGAGCTGACCTCCGTGTCCTGTCTTCCTGCCTGTGAAATGGGCATCATTACAGGGCTGGCGTCCCAGGGTCAGTGGGTCAAATGCTGATACCCCCTTCGGCAGAGGCTGGGCCCAGGGAAAGCTTCCTGCACCCAAGGTCATTGTCATAATTATGTGCTCATGGCACCCCCCGACACTCCACTGGCAACCCCTGGGGCCTCCTCCCAGGGCTCAGTTTCCCCAGACTCCTCACCAGGGTCCTACCCCACCCCTCATCTCCCACCAGCTTCCTCTCCTTCCCCTGGCAGGGGCCTCTGGGCCATGTAGGGCATACCAAGCACATTCTCCCTTTGGAAACTTCACCCTGGCTGTTCCCGCTGCCACGAACATCTTTCCTCCCCAGCATCCTCAGGGTGGCCTCCTCATTTCACCCAGGTCTCTGTTCCAAGACACCTCCTCAGAGGGGCCTTCCCTGACTGCGCCTGTCTAAAATAATCAAGCCAGTAAGAATGCCACTGTCCTTCCCCTCCCAGCCTTAGTTCTGCCTGAGGCATCATGTAGTCACTGCTGCTCACCCAGGAGACTGAGAGAGGATGGGGACAGTGACTTTCTTGGTCACCACCCAGGGCCTGGCATATAGTAGGTACTCAACAAACAGTTACTGTGCTTGCTTTTCTATCCCCAGTGCCTGGAAATGTGTCTGGCATATATTAGGTGCTCAATAAATTCACTGCTCTATCCCCAGTGCCCAGAACGCATACAGCCTGGTGCATAGTAAGTGTGTAATAAATAATGCTGTTGCTTGCTCTTCTAGCCTCTGGACCTAGAAATGTGTGTGGCACACAGTAGGTGCTCAACAAATAATTTGTTCACTGCTGTATTCCCAGTGCCCAGACCAGCTCCTGGCATGCAGTGGGTGCTCACTAAGCATTTATCCTTTCACTGCTGTCATCGGCCTAGTGCCTGACACAGGGCAGGCATCTAATGTATATTCCTTTAGCTCACAGCTGTATCCATGGTTCATGAAAATGTGTCTGGCCCATAGTAGGTGGTCAACGAATATTTGTTTTGTTCATTCCTGTATCTCCAGTGCCTAGCACTTAGTAAGCACTTAGTGTTTGTTGAATGAATGAATGTTGGGATGAAGGATTGTTCTGTTCCTGAAGCCCCAGAATCTCCCAGAACAGAGGTGCCCACAATATGGGGAGAGGAGTGGGGCAGCGCAGAAGGCTGTGCCTGCCTGTGTGTTTGGATGCCTCTCTCGGAGCAGCAGCCTCCCAGCCTGCCTGACTGCCTGCCCGCCTGCCTGCCTGCCAGGCAGCACATGGCTCCAACACGCTCTGCCAGCCTCGAGCAGCCTCGCCCCAGCACCAGGCCTGGCCACGCTGGGAGGAGGGAGGGAGAGAGGAGGAGGAGGGGGCCTGCAGATGGCTGGCCATCTGCTGCGTAGGAGGCTGGACGGGCAGGCGCCCCCCCACCAGCCTACACTGTGCTGTCATCTTCCTGTCTGCTCAGCACGGCCAGACGGGGGGCTTCAGGGTGAAGCAAAGGATCCTGTACTCTTCCCCAGCTTCCAGGTCTCCTCTGCATACCCTGGAGTGTGTTGGGTCTGCATCTGGCCCCAGCACCCAGCATGGTAGGCAAGTGTCAGGAAGAGTGTGATCAGGGTGTCCAGGGTCAGGCCAGGTGGGGTTGAGCCCAGGGCTGGGGTTGGACTCCGCTGTCCTCCCAGAACTCCCACTGTGCTGCCTGCTGTCCCCCTTCCCAGCAGGCGAGGCCAGGCAGCTGCTCCGTTCCTCTTCCTTGAGGTCATTCAGGACCAGAGGGCATTGCTGTCTGCCCCTAGGCCTCATCAACACACTGAGTGCGTAGAGGAGAGGGTGGGGAGGGAGGGCATAGGGGACAGACAGTGGGAGCAGAAGGATCTGGGCATGTCTTGTGTGTGCACATGCATATCTGGGCATGCATACAGGAAAACAGAATTAGGAGATTTCCTGGTTCACATATTGGAGTTACATGGTTTTCTCTTTGTGACTGAGTACATAGTACAAGTGAATATTTGGACACACACGTTTTATGTGCCTATGCATGCTGTTCCAGTGGTGTTTCCGCAGATTTTATGTTTAGGTATAGCCCCTACACAAGGTGTGTGCATGCGTGGTCTTCGCACACATCTGTGTGTGCACACCTGTGGGTGGGTGTGTGCTGGGCCAGTAGATAATATTTGTGTGTGCAGGTGAACAAGCTTATGCTAGGAGGCCAGCATCTGGTCTAGATGTGTGTGTGTGTGCACATATATGCATACATATGTGTCACCTGGTCACACATACAAAATAATATGAGTATGGGGCCAGGCATAGTGTCTCACACCTGTAATTCCAGTGCTTTGGGAGGCCAAGGCAGGAGAATTGCTTGAGGCCAGGAGTTTGAGACCAACTTGGGCAACAGAGCGAGACCCAGACTCTACAAACATTAAATTAGCCAGGCATGGTGGTGTGTACCTGTAGTCCTCTCTACTCAGGAGGCTGAGGTGGGAGGATTGCTTGAGCCCAGGAGGTCGAGGCTGTGGTGAGCTGTGATTGTGCCACTGCACTCCAGCCTGGGCAACAAAGTGAGACCTTGTCTCAAAAAAAGAGTATGTTTCGTGTGTATGTCATGTGTATATATGTGTGTACTTATGTGCATGTGTGCATATGTGTGTGTATATGGATGTGTGGGCAAGTGTAGGATGTGTGAATATGTCATGTGTCATATGCCATGCATAGATGTATATGTGTGTGGGGTGAATGTATATATGCATGTGTACATGAATGTGTGAAGGAATATGCATGCACAAGTGTATGCCCATGTGTGTATACACATGGGTGTGTGGGGTGTGGCTGTAATGGGTGTGAGACAGAGTCTGTGTTAATGCAGAGGTGTCTGTGTGTGCATCTACATATGGGTGTGTGTAGTTGGATATGCATGTGTGTTGCGTCTGTGTGGCTATGTGTATATGTGCATGTATATTCATGTCTTAAAGATGTGTACCTCATGTGCATGTGCAGGTACATGTGTGTATCAGGATGAATGTGTGTGTGCAGTTACGTGCGTGTATTAGGATGAGTGTATGTGTGTAGATATATGTGTGTATTAGGATGAATGTGTGTGTGCAGGTACATGTGTGTATTAGGATGAATGTGTGTGTGTGCAGGTACACGTGTGTATCAGGATGAGTGTGGGCAGTTACGTGCATGTATTAGGATGAATGTGTGTGTGTGCAGGTACATGTGTGAATTAGTATGAGTGTGTGTGTGGAGGTACATGTGTGTATTAGGATGAATGGGTGTGTGTTTGCAGGTACATGTGTGTATTAGGATGTGTGTGTGTGCAGGTACGTGTGTGTATTAGGATGAATGTGTGTGTGTTTGCAGGTACATGTGTGTATTAGGATGTGCGTGTGTGCAGGTACATGTGTGTATTAGGATGAATGTGTGTGTGTTTCCAGGTACGTGTGTATTAGGATGTGTGTTTGCAGGTACATGTGTGAATTAGTATGAGTGTGTGTGTGGAGGTACATGTGTGTATTAGGATGAATGGCTGTGTGTTTGCAGGTACATGTGTGTATTAGGATGTGTGTGCAGGTACATGTGTGTAATAGGATGAGTGTGTGTGTGCGTGTGCGCAGGTATATGCATGTATTAGGATGAATGTGCAGGTACATGTGTGCATTAGGATTACTGTGTGTGTGCAGTTACATGTGTATATTAGGATGAGTGTGTGTGTGCAGGTACATGTGTGCATTAGGATGAGTGTGTGTGTGCAGGTACTTGTGTGTATTAGGATGAGTGTGTGTGTGTATGCAGGTACATGTGTGTATTAGGATGTGTGTGTGCAGGTACATGTATTAGGATGAGTGTGTGTGTGTGCGGGTACATGTGTGTATTAGGATGTGTGTGTGCAGGTACATGTATTAGGATGAGTGTGTGTGTGTGCAGGTACGTGTGTGTATTAGGATGTGTGTGTGTGCAGGTACATGTGTGTATTAGGATGAATGTGTGTGTGCAGGTACTTGTGTGTATTAGGATGAGTGTGTGTGTGTGCAGGTACATGTGTGTATTAGGATGTGTGTGTGCAGGTACATGTATTAGGATGAGTGTGTGTGTGTGTGCGGGTACATGTGTGTATTAGGATGTGTGTGTGCAGGTACATGTATTAGGATGAGTGTGTGTGTGTGTATGCAGGTACGTGTGTATTAGGATGAGTGTTTGTGCAGGTACATGTGTGTATTAGGATGAATGTGTGTGTGTGTCCAGGTACATGTGTGTATTAGGATGAGTGTTTGTGCAGGTACATGTGTGTATTAGGATGAATGTGTGTGTGTGTCCAGGTACGTGTGTGATTAGGGATGTGCATGTGTTTTGTGTGTGTGTCGTGTGTGATTAGGGATGTGCCTGTGTTTCATGTGTGTGTTGTGTGCGTGGTGAATGTGCGTACATAGCCCAGTAAGAGCACAGACGTTGGAGCCAGATGACCTGGGTTCACATCCCAGATCTGCCACTCACTGGCATGTGTGACTTGGGGCAAGCCACTTAACATCTCTCGACTGCGATGGGGGCGGCACAGCTTCTGCGGAGGCCTGAAGACCCTGAGCTCTTCCTGTGGGTCAGAGGTGGGTTGGGGGAGTCAAGGAAGGTTGCCTTAAGAAAGGGCCATTTGAACTGGGTCTTGAAGGACGCGTAGGGTCAGAGATGGAGATGGCTTGGGAGAACTATCCGGGCAGATAGCAGAGCATTGGAGTCACTGATTCTAACCCCAGTCCGGGCCCCCAAGTTCTTTTCCCCAGGTGGCTCAGAAAGTCTCCCTCCTGGTCTCCCACACCATTTTTCTGAAATACGCTTTTAGTTTTGGGGTGGACTGCTCGCCTCCCTCAAGGCCTCGCCCATGGGCCTGCCCCATGGCTTCTGCGTCCCAGTTTTCTCTGCCCCCCGAGGCTGTTTGCAGGTGGTTCACAGCGTCTGGCTTCCTCCCTCCCGGCTCTTTGTACAGATGGGGAAGCTGACGCCCGGAGAGGTGCAGAGGCTTGCTTAAAATCACACAGCAGAACAGGGAACAGAACCAGTGCCCAAGGCCCAGGCTAAAGGCAGCATGACAACTGTCTCCATTTTGCAAAGTTTAGCTCAGACTCAGAATTTAAATCCAACATGTTGTTCAGCAAACATGTTGTAGAAGCAATGTTCGAATTTCATTAATTGAACACATTAATTGAGCACCTACTGTGTGCCTGACGCAGGGCACAATGGCGATTAAGACAGAAGCAGTTTCCCTAGGAAATGACAGTCCAGTCCGGATCTGTCTGTTGGATACAGTAGCCCCTAGCCCCATGCAGTGGGAGATGGAACCATGGCCCACAGGATGTCCAGGTCCTAAGCCCTGGGACCTGTGAATATGTGTCCTGATACAGCAAAGGGGGCTTTACAGATGTGATTTAATTAAGAATCTTGAGATGGGAGATGTTCCTGGATGATCCAGGTGGGCCCAAGGTCATCACAAGGATCTTTATAAGAGGGAGGCAGGAGGGTCAGAGTCAGAGGAGCTGTGACTGTGGAAGCAGATGTCAGAGTGATGTGAGGCCACAAGCCAAGGAATGCAGGAGATTTCTAGAAGCTGGAAAAGGCAAGGAAACAGAGGCTCTCCTAGAGCCTCCAGGAATAAATGCAGCCTCGCCAACACCTTGCTTTTAGGTGTGACCCATTGCAGACCTGTGACCTCCAGAACTATAAGAGAATAAAATGTGTTAAGCCACTACCTTTTTAATTATTTGTTACACAGCTACAGGAAACTAATCCATGTGTCTGTTTACATTTAGATTAAATAAAATTACAAATTCAGTTCCTTAGTGGTACCAGCCACATTTTAAGTGCTTGATAGCCATATTTCCATCATCACAGAAAGTTCCATCAGCCAACATGGGTCTAGACAGACTATAAACAAACAAACCAATAAATAAGAGAATTTCAGATGACGATGAGAAAAAAAAAAAAGCTTTAGAAACCATATCCTTAGCCCAGCTTAAATAAAGAAAACATTTGGCAATTCCATAAAAGTTCCTGAAACCTTAATCCACGGAGATATAACAGCTGCCTCCCAGGGGCAGGTGTTCTAGGTCTATGATATGGTTAGGCTTTGCGTCCCAACCCAAAATCTCATCTTGAATCCCCATAATCCCCACGTGTCAGGAGAGAGACCAGGTGGAGGTAATTGAATCACGGGGGCAGTTTCCCCATGCTGTTCTCGTGAGAGTGAGTGAGTTCTCACGAGATCTGATGGTTTTATAAGTGTTTGGTAGTTCCCGCTGTATTCATTCTCCTTCTGCCGCCTCGTGAGGAAGGTTTCATGCTTCTCCTTTGCCTTCTGCCATGACTGTAAGTTTCCTGAGTCCTTTCATGCTTCCCCTTTGCCTTCTGCCATGACTGTAAGTTTCCTGAGTCCTCCCCAGCCATGCAGAACTGTGAGTCAATTGAACCTCTTTCCTTTATAAGTTACTCAGTCTCAGGCATATCTTTATAGCAGTGTGAGAACAAACTCATACCATCTATGTGCTTGCAAAATCCACTATGAGAATCAGAGAGAGGTTAAGACACTTGGCCAAAGTGACACAGCAACAGAAGCCAATGGGAAGGTAAGGCTGTTTCTGCAGATCTCTGAGCAGATGGGGAAAGGTGAAAATTCAGCTTTTCTAAGAAAAAACAACAGACTTCCTACAGTTCAGCTAACTCCAGACCCCTTCCCAGGGGGCACTTGTTCCTGTGGGAGACATGTGCCCCCAAACACAGGCCAAGAAGACTGTTAGTTTTCCGCCACTGCTGGAACAAAGCATCCTAAACTTTGTGGCTAAAAACAATAGGAATCGTGTTCCCTCAACGTTTGGGTGGCAGCAGGGCCATACTCTCTCTGAAGGCTGTTGGGGAGGATACTTCCCGGCCCCTTCCAGCTTCTGGTGGTTGCCAGCATCGTTGGCAGTCCTTAGCTGTGGCTACCACACTCTAATCTCTGCCTCTGTGGTCACGTGGCTTTTCCCTGCATGTCTCTGTCCAAACTTCCTCCTTCTTATAAGGATCCACTCCAATCCAGTATGACTTCATCTTCAGTTGATCACGTCTGCAAGGACCCTATTTCCAGAGGTCACATTCGTAGGTACCGGGGAGTGACATAAACTGTGGGCAGGGGGCATTTTTCACTCTAGGACAGAGACTCTGGGCAGTTATCCAGAGCCTGATGGGTGTAAACCTGTGCTTCTCAGATGGCAGCATGCTGCATGGTTAGGAGCACAGACTCAAGCTAGAGAACTGGGTTCAAATCCCAGCTTCACCACTCACTGGCTGTGTGACCTCAGATGCACTACTTCTCTGTGCCCCATGTGATACTGATAACAGTATCTACTATAAGGATTAAATGAGGTAGTGCGTATAATGCTCTTGGAGGTACCCAAGCCCTGTGCAAGCATTTGCTATCATCATAATTTGGGGTTTCCCTCAAGTGGTTGGGAAGACCTGGAATGGATGTAGGCACAGCATTAAATAATATGAAACAGCAAGAAAACCACTCCTTTTTTTTTTTTTTTTTTCTATTCTTCCGCCAACTCCAGGGAGAAACTCTCCACGGGTGCTGAGATGTCTTTGACACCTCGCTGAGTAAGGTTGGCAGAGCTTCCTTCACAACAGCCGGAAACGGTTTCCATTGAAAACCTTCCTCAGGCAGCAGGACAGAAAGCAGACTTGGGTGACACCTTTTGTTTCTCTGTGTTCACTTTCACCATCACCTACTCTTCCGGTAAGTGATATCGGCTTTCCGATTAGGGGGTGATCTGAGCTTTCCTCTTTACGTCCATTTATTTGCCTACAGAGAAAGTGAGTATTTGTTTTTAAAGTGAGCAAATAGCAGTTCAGCAAGGAAAAGGCAGAGGCTGTTCCCATGGGTGGTTCAAGGAGGTGGGGCAGGAGCCGCGCAGTGACACCTGAATGCCTGGGGCAGGCAGCCACCTGGGCTTTTGAGGTCTGGAGTGGAATGTTTCATCGACTGCTTCAAAGGATCCCATTATCTGAACTACCTTCTGATCTGTGTAGATGCCACCCGGATACAATCCACATTCGGCGACCTGCTGGTGTAGCTGGGCTGCACAAGGATCGGGCGGTCCCACAGGACTGAACTAGAGGGATGGGGCTGAGCGGGGCTGAGAGACAGGGCCTGGTGCCATTCAGCCTCCCCCAGTCTCGGCAAAAGGAGATGCAGGGGCCTCACTACGCAAGCATTTAGCAAGCTCACCTTCAAAGGTTTATTTTGCCCCCTTCCTCTGAAGGTGACACGTTCCATCCACAAGTCAGTGAGAAATGGGCTGGCCTGAGCTGTTGGAGAGCGTCGAAGGAGGTTTGCCCCGACAGCTGTGGGGCTACCCCTTTGTCCTGAGAAATTCACAGCCGGGGCCTGATGGTGTGAATGAGTCCACTTCTGGACAGGGCTGTGGGCACAGGGCTGTGTGTGGCTCAGGGAGCTCAGGCACAGCCTCTTCTTTTTCTCTTTTGTACACACTGGGATTACCCGGCTTGTGAACCAGTGAGATCTGGAGACAGATCCTGTGATGAAATCAGGCCACCATAACCTCCCATCATAGCCTCTGCATACAATCCTTCCATGTTCCCCTTTCCAGGTATCTGTTGCTGTGTAAGGAGTTACCCCAAAACTTAGCAGCATGAAACAATAGCAATGATTTTATTGTTATGTCATGGTTCCGATGTTGACTGGGCTCAGCTAGGCGGTTCTGGCGTGGGGCCTCTCATGTGGTTGCAGTCACATGGGGACTGGGGCTGAGGTTATCTCAACCCACATGTCTGGCAGTCACTATTTGATAGTTGATATGTGACTGCCAGGTGGAACCTCAGCTGGGGGCCAGAGCCTCCACGTGTGACTTGGGCTTCCTTACAACATGGTGCTCCAGAAAAAAAATTTCCCAAGAGGGCCAGGAGGAAGCCATAACACCTCCTATAACAGTCTCAGAAGTTCCCCAGTTTCCCTTCCATTGTAGTCTCAGCCCTGGGCAAGGGGAGGGACATAACTCCCAGCTCCCAATAGCAGGAGTGCCCACCTCACATTGTAAAAAGAGCTTGTGGGATGGAAGAATTTGTAGCCATCTTGGAAAACACAGCCACTTCCATCCTTCCTGCTTCTCTGCTCTAATTCCAGCCCAGCTTCTGAAGCTGTGGGCCATTATTAGGCTCCTATAGTATGCCAGCTGTTTTCATGAACATCATCACACAACTAGCTACAGCTCCCCTTGGGTGAGTCTGTCATTTTCCCGTCTTACGAACAAGGGGTCTGGGCATCAGAATGCTTAAGGTACCTGTACAAAGTCCCACAGTTGTTCAGTAACTTTATTGGACATCAGTTGCCCCTTCTGGTCACAGCCCCTCTAGTTTACTTGGAGACAGCCCTTCACTCACCTCAGACCATGTGGTTTGTGTTGAACTGGTTCTCCCCATTGGTCCAGAGATGGGCATGTGACTAAGGCTCCGCCAATCCAAATTTTCCAAACCTCTGGCCTCAGTGATTGGTTCAGGGGTCATTGAATGATCCAATTCTGTCCAGTAAGAGGTATCCCAGGACTGTTGCAGGAACAGTTGGGAAGTGAGAATCTGGACTGATTGAGCATGTTTAGCTGTGCCTGCTGGGATACCATTTCCGTGGTGAAGGCAGGGCATGACTGAGGAGGAAGCCAATATGGACACAAACAACTGTGCATTCTGAGGCCATTGCTTGGGCCCCTGGATTCAGCCATACCTGAGGCCAGCACTACCTCGGAATTTACCATTACAAGAACTAATAACTTTTCCTTTTAGTTGAAGGCAGTTTGAGTTGGGGCTTCTATGATAGCCAAAGTCTCATCCGAGCACTTTGCAGGGCCGAGGCGAGAGGCTCGCCTGAGCCCAGGAGTTTGAGAGCAGCCTGGGCAACATGACAAAACCCCATCTCTACAAAATTAAAGAAAAAAAATTAAGTGAGTGTGGCAGCCTGTGCCTGCAGTTTCAGCAACCTGGGAGGCTGAAGTGGGAGAGTCACTTGAGCCTAGGGAGCTTGAGGCTGCAGTGAGCTGTGATTGCACCACTACATTCCAGGCTGGGTGACACAGCAAGACCCTGTCTCAAAAAAAATGCAGAAAAGGAATTTGAGCCCAGACCTATCTGAGTCCACAAATTCTAAATTCTTTCCCCAGAACCATGCCACTTCCCTGAGTGCCATCTACCTTCAAGGCCCAGATCAATTATCCCTTTTCCAAGACAACCTCCCTGATATCAGCTCACAGCGTCTCCCCTCAGACTCCAATTGCTGGAGTCTGTGGCCTTTGGTGTAGGTGCTTTCCAGGGAAGGCCTCCCTGATCAACATGGTGCCTTCTTCTACCAGGCATGGGTGCCTAAAATGTCACCATCAGAGCCTCATTCCTCTGGGTTAAGCATTGCTCTTTTTGAGTGACTATTTTAAAATCTTGATCCCCTGAGATTGGGAGTCGAATCACCATGGTCCAAGAAAAATGATAAGGGCATTCTTGGAGAGACAGGCAGTAAAACGAGGGAAGAGATGTGTTTCATTCTCACTAGCAAGGAGGAAGTAGCATTTAAAGCTGCACCTTCAAAGGAAAAGAGACTTTTAGAGTTGAGGTTATAGAAAAGGTATCCCAGGTAGAAGGAGAAGATCGAGAGGAGAGAACTTGTGGGACACAGTCAGGAAATAGCCAATTTGCTGCTGTTGCTGGTATACCATATAGGACTGAAGCCAGCTCAGAAGGTCCTGGGATTGTGAAATACCACACTGAGGCGTTTGATATTTATTTTCTGGGTAATAGGGGGCCATCGAAGGTGCTTGAGTCACGGCAGTGGGGTCGGGGGAGTCTCAATCAGAGCAGCAGTTTAGGAAGATGAATCTGTGCAGTGTGGAAGGGCAGTGTGTGAAGAGGCCATAGGCTGGGCCAGGGGAGCCAAGTGAGAAGTGAGGTCATCCAAACCAGAATTGCAACAGTGAGATAAGAAGTGATTAGGCACATTTTGGGGGAAAACTGGCTTGATATAGAGACAGGCCAGGAGGGGTGGAGCCTTAGAACAGCATCGGTGCTGGGTCCCCGTGCTGGGCCCAAGCTCAGCCTCTCCCTCTTTTAAGAGAAGGACCTGTCACCAGCCCACATAATAGCTGTGGCTCCATGCTGGTATGTGGATCAGGATGGGCTTTTTCATTGCTGTGTAGTTTTCCACTGTAAGGATGTACCACAATTCATTTATCCATTTACCTCTGATGGACATACAGGTAGTTTCCAATAACCTCCTTTTTAAATTTTGAGATGTCACCTTGCATGAAGCAATGCAACCTGGGACATTAATGGGATGGGCTAACTATATTTTTCTAGTATACATTAAATACATGCATAATTATTAAAAATAAAAGAGATACTCGTCTGGGACCACCTCCTGTCACTTGCTCCTGCACGAGGCTTGCTTTGGCAAAGGCTGCGAGAATTCGTCGCTGCCGCAGTTGCTGGATTGTTAGATGACGATGTCATTCAGGCCCGGTGGTGGCCCAGAGGCTAAGCTCCCCTTCCCACACCCTCCTTATCCCTGGACAAGAGGCCTTCTGGAAGGCTACTCCTGCTCTGGCCCCTGCCTGCCCTCAGCTGGAAGGAGACATTGTCTCAATTCATCCTGCCTTCAAAGGGCTCCTGTCTGAACCAGGCTCCCGGGCAAACCCCAGCCCAATCCTCGCCTGGAAAAACACACTCGGCCCTTGTTTAGACTGAGGCCGGCCTGCAGGAGGTCAGCCCAGCTGCGAGGGCAGAAGCCTCAGCTCAGCCACAAAACGTGGCGTGGGGGCCCCTCCACTTGCGGCCCCGGGCCCACCCCCGGAGATGGAGGCTGCTCAGGAAGGAGAAAGCCTCACACAGGGACCCTGTGTGCATCCCGGTGGTTGGCCAGGAAGGGCCGGTCTGTCATTCTGGGCTGGAGCTCTCACTCTTGTCAGTCCCTCAGAAACTACACACAATGGATTTTCCTTTCTTCCTTCCCAACCAGACCTTCCTGATGGCCACAAGTGCCCTCAAGACTCCCGATCATAAAAAGAAAACTTTCCCTAAACTGATGTTATAGACCCTGTTGCATCCCCCGCGATTCATGTGCTGAAGTCCTAACTTCACCCTCAGTGCCTCAGAATGCAACGTTATTTGGGAAGTAGGGTCCCTGCAGATGGAATTAGTTCAGATGAGGTCATACTGGAATAAGGGGGTCCCTCATCCAATATGATGTGCTTCTAAAGCGGGGAACTTTGGACACAGACACACACAGGAAGAATGCCATGGGAACATGAAAGCAGAAATCAGGGTGACGTATCCGCCAGCCAAGGGATGCGAAAGATTGCCAGCGAAGTACCAGAAGCTAGGGAAGAGGCCAGGAACAGATTCCCACAGAATGAACCAACCCTGCTGGCCCTTTGATCTCAGACTTCTGGCCTGCAGAACTGTGAGAGAATACATTTCTGTTGTGTAAGCTGCCCCATTTGTGGTACTTTGTTACGGCAGCCAGGGGAGACTAACGTACCCAACATTTCAGTCACAAGGACATTTATTGAAAAGGCAGCCCAGACCCATATCATCCATTTCCTTCCTTCCTGTAGCTCCTCATATCCGTTAGGGATGCCTGTTACCTGCAAGTTGCAGAAAGCTTAACTATCAGTGGCCTGAACAAAATGGGAGTTTTGTTTTCCTCCTCTAAAAAGAAACCTGGCTAAAAATCATACAGTCACATCAATAGATGCAGAAACAGTGTTTGGCAAACTCCAACACCTATCCCCGACAAAAACTCCCAGCAAACTAGGAGTAAAGAGGAACTTCAACTTGATAAAGAACATTTCCGATAATCCAATAGCTAACATCTCACTTAATGGTGAGAAACTAGGTTCTTTCCCCGTAAGGTCAGGAACAAGGCAAGGACATTCACTCTCACCACTCCTTTTCAAGGTCATACTGGAAATCATAGCTAATGCCATAAGACAAGTAAGAAAAGGTATACAGATTGAGAAGGAAGAAATAAAACTGTCTTTCTTCACAGATGACATGACTGTTTAGAAAATCCCAAAGATTCAAAACAATGACAAAAAACACTAGAATGAATAAGTGATTATAGCAAGGTTGCAGGATACAAGGTAACTATACAAAAGTCAATTGCTTTCCTACATATCAGCAATGAGCAAGTAGAATTGGATATTTAAAGAAGCCTGGCAAAAGCTGTTTTAGCAACCAGGCCATGTCAGGGCCTCAGCAGTTCTTATACCTTTCTCTGTAGTGCCAACATGCCTGCCAAAGCTCCAGAACATTCCAGACAGGAATGTGCAGGGAGGGAGGAGAGTAGATGCTGTTGGTGCTCACTAAGCCTCCTCAGGAGAGACTGCTTGAGAGTTTAACACCCTCAACCGATGACAAGTGGGGATTGAGTGAATAAATACCCCAACTATCTCACTCTTCAGGCACATAACTCTGAGCTTGTCTACGCTGTCTCTTGGTGTTCCTCAGAAGAATTGCTTCTATAAAGTGGGATTGGTGATAGTCCTTTCTTCATAGGGTTGGTGTGAGAGCTGCTGCATATAAACCACTGTGCAAAGAGCCAGGCATACAGTAAGTGCTAAATAAATGCCTGTGACTGTGAGCACTCACTCAGTATGGTTGGGGAGCAGAAGAGAGGCCAGTGTAGCTGGAGCTGGACCAAGGCCTAAGGGCAGATGAGACCATGGGCATCTTGGGGCCATCTGTGGTGACCCTTGACCTAAGAAGGTCCACAGACTCATTTTAAAGGAAGGCCACAGCTAGACTCAATCCCTAGGCAGAGTAGGCTAAGAGTGGGAAAACTCTGGACTTGCCAAGGTTCTGTTTCCACTGAATGGGGCACAAAGCAGAAATTTAGTTGAATTATAGAAAACTCTAGAGAGTTCTAGAAAAAAACCTGTAGCTGATGTGTTTGGAGTGGGGGTGGGACTCTTCCAGAGCTATGCTTTGGGCCATCAAGCCACAAGGGCCAAGTTTTTTGAGATTTTACAAGCCAGAGACTCGGGCCTCTGGTCTTCAGGTCAAAATCCCCCCACTGCAGCCTGGCTCTCTGTAAAGCCTGCCTCCAGCGTGGAAACGGGAAGATGCAATGTCTTAGTGGTTAAGCCATGGATGGCCACTAGTGGCCCTTGTCCTGGGCCCTTATCCTTGGTGTGAGATCTGGAATCTCTCTCACAGCCCCCGCTTGGTGTCTTCGTGGGTGGCAGCCTGTTGTCATGGAGGAAGCTGGGATGCAGTTGTGGATGAGTGAATTTATGATGGGGAAATTTAACACAGGGCTGATTCATGGCTTTTCATCCCAGGCCTGGGGGAAGCTCAGACCCCTGTACTCCGGCTGCCTTCATTTATTTCAGACTCGTGTGTGAAGAGGCCGGGGGTGGGAGAAGGGTGAAGAAAAGGTTGAACACCAGGCATGGGGCGAGAGCGCCTTCACCCACCAGGCTCCTCAGGAACCCAGTCCTGGGAAATGGCCTTGCAGAGGGAACAGTCGCAGCTGGGTTCCATTCTCCAGTTTCTAAAAGGAGGCAGGAAAAAAATCATTCTGCACATTTGCAGTCGTCTCCCTGCCTGGCTTTTTTTTTTCTTTCCTGCAAGCACAGAGGACGTGGTCCCTGTGTCCTGCCACAGCGCGTGGGGGCTCGTTAATTAAAGAGCCGAGCAGATGTCACTGTTCATTAAGCGCGGCCGCGTGGCTCCTTCTGCAGACACTGCCGCCCTTTGCGCTCACTACTTAATGACACCGCGTCTCCCTGGCTGCCCCAGCCCTGGAGAAGAGCAGGCAAGGCTGCGTTTCCCCCTAATTTGGCGGGGTGGGGGGCCTCCGCCCCACTGCGTCCTTGTCGGCTGGGGCGCTGCAGCCAGACACAAGGTGATGGAGACTTTTAATTTTCATCATGCCTATCCGTCGGAGCTCCGTTTTAAATCACTTTAACGGCAGATTAAAAATATATAAGCTGATATTAGAGGACATTCTTAGTGCCTTTATAAATATCTTAAATCAAAAGTTTGGCTTAATTGCACTTGAATGGGTACAGGAGGCTGGGGAGGTGGGGGCTGGGTCAGGTGAGCCCCCAGTGGCAGGAGGGGCGGGGAGGGGGCTGGATGGAGGTAGTGCCAGCACCGGGAGAGGAGGAGGAGGTTGCTGCATGGACTCAGAGTTAGAACTTCCATCTGTCCATCCGTCTACCCTGCTGGTCCAGATCTGGAGAGCACGTCAGGTATACCTGCACACCCCGGGCAGACCAAGCCCCTCTCTCCTCTGAGTTACCACCAGGCAGGGAAGATGCCAGTGAGCAAGGAATTCCACAGAGCAACAATTATTCATGGCACACTTTGCGTCGGACACTGTTCCGGGCACTTGATGTATATTATTTCATTTAATCCCCACACAACCCTGTGCATGGGGTTCATGATTATCCTCATTTTATGAATGAGGCTGGGAGAGATTCCGTGATTTGGTCAAGGTCACTCTGCTCTTCAGTGAGAGCCAGGATCTGGACACAGGCAGTCTGACTTCAGTCTGTGCGTTAACCACTGCCCCCTCCTGTCTCTCTTTCCTAATGGGACAAGTGTCAAGACAGGAAAGTTTCCAGGGAGGCATGGGGGGAGCTGACTGGGAGCCTGGCTTCAGCCTGAGGCATAGAGGAGGTTTCCGAGGCAGGGAGGTTGAAGCTGGAAACTGCTGGGTGAGTAGGGGTGGCAAAACGAAGAGGAAAGTGGGCAAGGCCCAGAATGGTAGGTGCAAAGGCCCTGGGGGAGGCACTCACTCAGTATGTTTGGGGAGCAGAAAAGAGCCCAGTGTCATTGGAACCAGACCAAGACCTAAAGGCAGATGAGACCATAGGCATTTCAGGGACATTGGTGGGGACTCTTGGCCCAAGGAGGGCTGTAAGTAGATTCAATCCCTGGGCAGGGTGGAAGAAGCCTGGGAAAGCTCAAGACTAAGCAAGGCCCTGTTTCCGCTGAATGGGACTAAAAGCAGAAATTCAGCTGAGTTCTAGAGCACTCGAGAGCCTCGCGTCTCACTCATCTGAGCCTGCTGAGGTGCGGTGGGAGGACAGCAGTGACGAGGAGGCTGATAGCATGCACTGACTGAGATGGTCTGCCTGTCTGAGAAATGAAGACGGGCAGATGCTGACCTGGAGGCTTGGCAGAAGAGAAGGGAAGTAGAGTCCCTGAGGGGTTGAGATGGCAGAGGTGAGGGGTCAGGAGCTGAGGCCGTGCTATGAAATGTCTCAAAAGAATGTCCTAGAATGTCAGAGGTGGAATGGCCTTTTGCCCATCAAGACAGGGTGGGGCAGGAGCTGAGCTGACTTCGGTCCACACTGACGCCTCTTTTTCTCACACTCCTGGATCTGCGCCATAAGCGAATCTTATTGCCCATACCTTAAAAATCCATCCTCAAGGACTGGGAGAGATATTTGCACACCTGTGTTCACAGCAGCAGTGTTCATAATGGCCAAAAGGTGGAGGCAACCAGAGTGTCCGTCAATGGATGATGGTTAAACAAAATATGGTCTATCCAGACAATGGAGTATTACTCAGCCTTGAAAAGGAAGGACATTCTGGCACAGGCTACGATGTGGATGAATCTTGAAGACAATATAGTGAGTAGAATAAGCCAGTCATAAAAGGACAAATACTGTCAGTTTGCACTGATATGAGGTCTCTGGAGTAGCCAGATTCATAGAGACAGAAGGTAGAATGGTGAGTGCCAGGGCTGTGATTCATGGAGACAGTTTTAATTGGGGAAGATGAAAAAGTTCTGCAGACAGATGGTGACGACGGCTGCACAACAGTGTGAAGGCCCTTCATGCCACTGAACTGAATGCTTGAAAAGGGTTACGATGATACATTTTATGTTATGTGTATTTTACTACAATTTAAAAAAATCTGTCATGACTGTGACCACTTCTCTCCAGCCCGCTGCCTCCCCTGGCTCCAGCTAGCATCATCTCTGGCTTGGACAGGTGCAGTAGTCTCCTCGACGGCCTCTCAGCCTTCATTCCCACAGTTGATTTTCCACTTGGCAGCCAAAGGGATCCTGCTAGACCTAAGTCAAGACAAGCCACTCCTCTGCTCAAACACCTATAACAATTTCCCTTGTCCCTGGAGGAAAAGCCAGTGCTTACCACAACCCACGATGCCCTGCGGGGTCTACTCCCTCACCCTCTGCTGTGTCCCGAGGCTCAGTGCCCCCTCCTCTCCCTCTCCCTCTCTGCCTCATCTGCTCTGGCCTCCTTGAACATACCAAGCACACACCTTCCCCAGGACCTTTGCACACCAGTTGCTCCCTCTTTCTGGAAAGCCCTTCCTTCCAGAAAGAATGGAATATTACTCAGCCTTAAAAAGGAAGGACATTCTGACACAGGCTACAATGTGGATGAACCTTGAAGACATTATATCGAGTAGAATAAGCCAGTTTTAAAGGGACAAATACTGTCAGATTCCACTGATATGAGGTCCCTGGAGTAGCCAGATTCACAGAGACGGAAATTCTCTATGAATCTGGCTACTCCAGGGACCTCATATCAGTCTCTTCCTTCCTTCCGTCATTCCTGCCTGCCTCACTTCCTCATCTCCTACAGGTCTTTTCTCGATTGTTTTCTGCTTTTCCAGCAGCCCTTCCCTGACCTTCCTATTTAAGGTCACACCTGAGTCCCCCTGATTTCTCCCACCCTCCTTGCTCTATTTTCCTCCATAGCTGGTAAATAAAATTTATGTGAGGCCCTCGTTTTGGACTGAGCTCCTGCTCTAGGCCCCAGCAGACCAAGAACGGAGCCACTCCTGCAGGTGCCGTGTAATTAAACTGAGCTTGGAAATGGGGGTAGTTTGGGCTGGGCACAGTGGCTTATGTGTCTGTAATCCCAGCACTTTGGGAGGCCAAGGCAGGAGGATTGCTTGAGGTCAGGAGTTTGAGACCAGCCTGGGCAACATAATGAGACCTTATCTCTACAAAACAATAAATAAATAAATAAATAAATAAATAAATAAATAAATAAATAAATAAATAAAAATTACCCAGGCGAGGCATTGCACACCTGTAGTCCCAGATATTCAGGAGGCTGAGGTGGGAGGATCACTTGAGCCTAGGAGGTTGAGGCTGCAGTGAGCTATGATTGTGCCACTGCACCCCAGCCTGGGTGACAGAGACCTGTCTCTAAAAACAAAAAAGAAAGAAAAAAATAAGCAGAAATAGAAGAAATGGGGGCAATTTTTCTAATAGACTGGAGATTCACAGCAACCAATCAAGGAGGGCCCAGTCAACCTGAGCCAGCCTAAAGAACCCCTTCTGCTTTAACCCTTACAAAGAAAGCAACTTGAAATAACCTGATGTTGAGCAACACGCTGTTTTGGTATCATGCTGATGCTGGCTCTCTAGTCGTGGGTGCATTTGGTGTTCAATGATATTGGTGAAGGGGCTTTATAATCTCAGCTCTGTATACACCCCATCATGGCTTCCGGGGCCACGCTTCCCCTCCTTGGACACAACAAGCTCATCCATACCCCAGGGCCATTGCACTGGCTTTCTCTCTGTTTTGAGATGTAGACACAGCTTGTTTCAACTCTGCCTTCAAGGCTCGATGTTTGAGCTTGCCTCCTCCAAGAAGCCCTCTCTGATCTTCTCCAGAGATCCCTGCCTACCCTGTTCCCTAGTTTTTTGTCTTTCTAGTCCTTTCCGTTTCTGAACGTATTTCTTTGTAGTTGCGTCTGTCTCCTCTCACAAACCTGTACAAACCTATCCAGTCTGAACACAGGGACTTTGTCAGTCCTGTCCTCTGCCATGGCTGTGTTCCCACCAGGCACAGAGTGACAGCTCAATGGATCTTTGTGGACTGTGTGACCTAAGGCAAGCCATCTCACCTCACAGGCCACCTCTTTTTCTCATCTGTAATTTGGGGTCTTCATTCAGCTTGGCAGACTCATGGGATCTAGTGAAATGTTGGTGGCTCTGTAAGCCTTCAGATCATGTTGAAATTACATTAAAAAGTGAGGCTCCTGGCTGGGTGCAATGGCTCACGCCTGTAATCCCAACACTCTGGGAGGCCAATGCGGGCGGATCACGAGGTCAGAAGATCGAGACCATCCTGGCCAACATGGTGAAACCCCATCTCTACAAACCATACAAAAAGTAGCTGGGCTTGGTGGTGCGTGCCTGCAATCCCAGCTACTCAGTAGGCTGAGGCAGGAGAATTGGTTGAACCAGGGGGTCAGAGGTTGCAGTGAGCCGAGATCGCGCCACTGCACTCTAGCCTGGCAAAAGGGTGAGACTCTGTCTCAAAAAAAAAAAAAAAAAAAAGTGAGGCTCCTTATTAAATTGTGGGGAGGTCTTCCACCCTCCCCACAAATCCCCTACTCCCCACATCCCTAAATCCAACCCTGCAGGAGGAATTCTCCCTGCCTCGCAGGCTTCAATCCCAGAGGGCTTCCTGAAGGTGGGGCCATTCTCCAGCCAGCTTTATCAGCCCTTGGGGCTGCAGGGTTGTTTCCCACATTTCAAAGCCTCCTCCTACTCCCCTGTTCCCTTCTCAAAGCCCTGAAACTTCCCCTCTGTAAGCCCTAGCCATCACTGCCCACCGCCCCGCCTCCCAGGCTGGGCCAAACATTTTCTTCAAGAATGCAAGTGGTCAAGGTCACGGCCTTCTCCTCTAGCATCCCCCGCCCCCTAGCCTGGGGAATTAGACTCTGGGCCACACCATCTGTCTGAAAACAATTAGCAATAAACACCAGCGCACTGGGGCTCTGGGTCATGGGGGCTGGTGGGGGATGGAGCGTGGTGGGCAGGGGATGGAGGAGGATGGAGCTGTGGGGGTTCTGAATGCAGAAGAAGGTTCCCGGCTGAATCAGCTTCCTGTCTGTGGGCCAAGAAAAATCCTCCCGGCCACCCCGGGGAGAGAGCTTCCCAGCAGCCTCTTGCAGAATGGAGAGGAGCCTCTACGCAGAATGCAACCTCACAAAGCCCCGGCCTCAGCTGGGGAGGCGGCGGGGGACCATCTGGCGGAGCGTGGAGATGTGTCCCAGCCAGACGGAGAAGCAGCCTTATTTGCGATGTATTGTGTGTTCCGTTTCTCAAAACACTCCACGCATATGCTTCAAGTGTATGGCTTGCAGCCAGCTGGGCCTGGGGTCGGGGGGAGGTGGGGAGACTTCCGAAGCCAAGGGGAAGGGTGACGGGCCTGTCCACGGAGTGCGGACCTCTCAAATGCTCCCCACAACCCAGCCCCAGCTGGCCTGGCACGACCCTGTTCCCCTCCTCCCCTGCTTGGCCTGCGCCTAGCTCTGAAGGCTTTCCAGTCTTGTTCAAATGTCACCTCCCCTTAGAAGGCAAGGCGAGTCTGATTAGCCAAACTGAGTTTATCTACATAAGGTTTGGCTCACCAAGCTGTTTTTTTCTTTTTGTTAATTTGAATAAGTTGCTAGTGAAAAAAAAAAAAGATTTTACATAAAAATCTGGATGTTCAGCTTCTTTTGAAAAATCGAAAGATCTGGCAAGTCTGGGCAGCAGGCCAGCACGGCGCCGGTCAGCCAGGCTGGAGGAGGTGGATGGGCGTCCCTGTAGCCAGGCGTGACTCTCCTGTCCCCGTATCCTGTTCATCCACTCACTGAGTCCACCATGCTGGGACCTGTTGCTGTGCCTGGGCTCTTACCGGGTTTAGATTTCCACAGGGAGACAGACACTGAACCCCTGAACCAGTGCATCCACAACACAATGTCCCATAGTGCCGAGTGTCACACAGGAAATAGCAGCGAAAGGGTGGAGGGGAAGACGAGTGGGAGAGGGTGCTGCTATTTTACATGAGAGGCCAGGGACGATGACGGGCCCCACGTGGAGGAAAGGCATTCCGGCGGGAGGGAACAGCAGGTGCAAAAGCCCCGAGGCTGGCACAGTTTGGGTGTCCGAAGAGCAGCACGGAAAAGCCGGAGGCCTGGTGTGGCGGGAGGTGGGTGAGTGAGCAGTGGCCAGGCTTCCTTCAGAGCAAGTGACCAGGACATGCCAGGGTTTGGGGTCCCCCAAGGTAGTCTGGGCCAGTGAGCCTCAGGGGATTTTCCAAGGTGGGGGCCAACTTTGAGAATTCCAGGTGGTTTGTCCTGGAATCTCAGCCACTCCTGAAACAGACTTTGAGGGTCCCAGTGGGGGGGCTTCCCCAGAGGCAGTGGCCCCTGGTGGTTAAGGGGCCACTTAGAGCCTGAGTTCCCCATATGTAAAATGGGGTAATTGAAACCCACCTCAGAGGGTTCGTGTGCTGTTAGATAGTATCTATGTGTATGTCTCTGTACAACTGTCCATGCACAAGGTTCAGACAATGCCAGGTGCATAGAAAGTGTGAAGTAACTCTTTGCTATTTTTTTTTTTTTTTTTTTTGGAGACAGATTCTCACTGTCACCCAGGCTGGAGTGCAGTGGCACGATCTTGGTTCACTGCAAGCTCTGCCTCCCGGGTTCAAGCGATTCTCCTGCCTCAGCCTCCTGAGTAGCTGGGATTACAGGTGTGCATCACCACACCCAGCTAATTTTTGTATTTTTAGTAGAGACGGGGTTTCACCATGTTGGCCAGGCTGGTCTCCAACTCCTGATCTCAGGCGATCCATCCGCCCGCCTTGGCCTCCCAAAGTGCTGGAATTACAGGCATGAGCCACTGTGCCCGGCTGCTGTTAGCCATTTTAATTTAAGGATCAAGTAAGATTGCTGTTTAAGGGAGCAGTTCCCAGACTGTTTGGCCCCTAGACCCTATGACACCCTTAGAAATTACTGAGGACTCCAAAAGGGCTTTTGTTTATGTGGGTTCTATTTATCAGTATTTACTGCATTAGAGATTAACATGATAAAATTTCAAAACATGCATTTATTTTAAAAGAACAATTTTATGCTCCTTAATATGTTGAGTAATATATTTTAAGAAAGATAACATTTTTTTCCCAAACATAAAGAAATAGTGAGAAGAGAGTGGCATCGTATGTTTCACAATTTTGCAAACCTCTTTCACGTCCAGTCCCTTAGAAGAGAGCTGGATTCCCAAATCTGCTTTTGCATCCGGTCTGGTGTGACTTGGCGTTTTGGTTGAAGGACATGAAGAAAACCCGACCTCACAGAGATGTAGGGAAGGAAAAGAAGGACCCTGTGGATCCCTCCAAGAGTCTCAGACCTCACTTTGAGAATCCCTGGTCTAGGGAGTCGTCCAGGACATGGTGTGGGAGGGGACATCTGCTTTGTCCCTACTGCTCCAAGGTGGGGACAGGGCTCCAGGAGGTGAAGCCTGGACTCCAGCTCCCGAATAAGCATCTGCCTGCAGCGACCCAGCAGGGAGGGAGACAGGCGTGTAGCAAGGAGTAAGCAGGAAGTTACAGCTCAGAACGATGTGGCCCGTGGCCCGTAATGGGGGGAGCACAGAGAGACGCCCCACCCAGCTGGGAGGCGGTAGGGGAGCTGCAGTCCCCTGCAGGTGTCCCTAGGTCCCCAGGATCATCAGGATTCCAACCCTGGCCACTCACATGGAGTCCCCGGGTGCCCCAGCCTGCGTGGCTCGGCGCTGGCCACGGGTGGTCACTGAAACTTCCCTTCAACTGCTTCAGTGGCCTCATCCCCATTTTATAGAGGAGGAAACAGGCTCCCACCTCCAAGATGGAGTCACTGGTGTGGGTGGCAGAGTCTGGGAGGGCATCCTGGCCCTGGGGCCCCACAGGTGCTCCTGCTGCCAGCATCGAGCACCTCTGGGTCTCTGGGTGACGACGGGGCAACAGACGGGAAAAACGGGTCCCTTCTCTCCCCTGCACTGCAGGCTCCTATCTGCAAAGACAGCTGCTGCCAGGTGGGGGCAGGGCTTTGCCCCTTGCTGGCTGCCCCCAGAGCCTCAGTTTCCTTATCCATAAAATGGGGGTAATGACATTCATGAACTACATGGGTTCCCTCCTAGGTAGCTCTGAGGGTGAACCGAGAACACAGCCCGTGTGGGCCTGGCACACTCTAGGCACACAACCAGCACCCGCCCCTGCCCGTGGCCACCTCCACTTGCAGAATGTCCCCAGCACTCACTCTGCTTTGCCTGCCATCTCCCCTCTGTGCTGTTCTTTATAAAAGCTCTCCCTTGCTGGCCACTTACAATCTCTCCCTCCTTTAAGCCTCTCAGCAGCTCTGCCAGGAGGGTAGCATCCTTATCCCCATTCTCCAGAAGACAAAACTGAGGTTGGGGTGTAAGTGTTTGTACAAGGCTACACAGGCGAGCAGACACATACGCTTTTCCCCACTCCACCCTTCGCAGAAACACCAGTGGGTTGCAAGGGTGTGAGGCTTGTGGACAGGCCTTTTCCCAGGAGGAATGAAAGAGAAACTCCACAACCCCATACGGGTGGGTCCACAGCTGCCTCCGTGAGCTCCAGACTAGGGTGTTCCTGGGACACAGGACTCATGGTACTAAGACTGGGATGGCCCCAGGCAAACCTGGATGGAGTTGGTCACTCCTGCCCTCGTGGCACCCCAGTCTCTCCCCCAGGTCTGGGATGGGAGAGGAAAAGGGATGGTTTGACCAGAGCTCCCAAGTCTCCCATCCTGGGAGCTGGTTTTAGCCTCTTCCCTCCCCAAAACCTGATCCCTCTGCGGGGTGGGACCAGGCAGCTGCAGCGGGGGGTGGGGGCAGGCACGGGCTGGCTCGAGCCTGCCAGGATGACCTCATGTGCCCACCCCAGGGCTCTAAGGATGTGACTTCACCAGCAGATGCGGGAGGCAGTTCAGGCCACAGGCAAACATGGGGCCAAGAGGAAGGGGACATTTCACATCTTGTCTAGACAGTCATGACCCTGGTGACCTTGGACGGGTGGGGACACCTCTGCCTCCCAGCTGGAGATCAATCTGGAGGTAGCCAGATGGGTGTCAAACCCAGGCCCAAGACCCTCTGCTGATAGCAGAAAAATGACAGAGGACACTAGTTCCCATCTGGACTTCCCTAGGATGCTAGCTTAATCTCTGGTCCTCACCAGAGAGCTCTCTGATAGGGAACTGAGGCAGTGTATCCGAAACCAGATCTGCGACTTCCTGGCTGTGTGCCCTTGCGCAAGTTGCCTAACCTCTCTGAACCTCTTTCCTCAATTTGACTCTCTGAACCTCCATTTTGATGTATAAAATAACCCATCTGTTAGACAGGGGCCTGGAAGGTCAAACAAGAGAACGAACCAAGTAACAAGAATATAAATTAACAGGCCTGGTGCATGGGCAGGGGGATGCTAGAGGAGCAGTCAAAGCATAACCTGTGCACGCAGCATGAGGATGAGTGTGGAAATGTGAGTGTAAACGTTAAGGAAGCTATTAAGTTTTAAGCAGGTCCCTTTGGACACCCGCTGGTCTGTACATGGCTATGACCTCAAAATAAGGGTGCTTTTTCCCAGTGCATTCTGGCCTCCACTTTTATGCCACCTTTGTCCCCAAGTCCCAGCTTTGGTGTCAATTCACACATTGCACCAGCCATCTCTGGCTTGGGGAACCTGGGAAACTTGGAAGTGCCTCCAGGGGAGGTTTTGGCCATAGGCAGACTCAGTCCTTTCCAGAGCTCTTTCTCAGTTTCTCCTGGACTGCAGGGACCAGCCAGCTCCTTCCTCTCAGCTCCCAGGGGCGTCAGAACTCTGACCCGTTTCCCTGTGAACACAGCTGGCCCTGCCTTTAATAGGCAGCTGCTGTGTAAGGGCTCATCCAGTGGAAAGGATGAGGCAGGTCCGCTCATGCTGGCACAGAGAGGCTGACGAAGGGGGTGGGAAAGGCAAGCAGCGGGGCTGCAGGCAGGGTATGGGGTGGGCAGAATCCTGTCCCCAAAGACATCCATGTCCTGATCCCCGAAACTTACATGGCACGAGAAACTTCACAGATGGGATTCAGTTACAGATCTTGGGATGGGGAGATGATCCTGGGCCCTAAACATAGTCATAATTGTCCTTGTAAGAGGGAGATTTGACTATAGGAGAAAGCAGAAGGCAGAAGCTGTGACCTCTGTAAGCAAGAGGTTGTAGGGATGCGAGGACGGGCTCACGAGAGCAGGAATGCAGGTGCCTCCAGAAGCCACAAAACACAAAGAAATGCTTCTCCTCCGGAAGGAACCGGTCCTGCTGATGTCTTGCTTAGCTCAACGAAATCGATCTCGGACTTCTGACCTCCAGACAATAAGAGAATATACTGGTGTTGTTTAAGCTGCTATGTTTATGATCACTTGTTACATCAGTAATAGGAAGTAATATAGTGCTTTAGCTCAGGTACGTGTTTGCGTGTAGAGAAAGGTACTGAAGGACACACTCCAGGCTGTTGGTGGCAGTTGTCTTTGGAATTCAAATTAAGAGAGGGGTCCATTTTGTGCCAAACACAACTTATTTATTGCTTGCTTTTTTTCAATAAAGAATACCTATTTCACGTATGATTAGGAAAAAAAGGTGTAACTATTGATTTTTAGGGTCCTATGCAAATTAATCCTCCCACCCCTGCCAAGTGGCTCCTAATGCCTCAGGCAGACTGGACCCTCCTTCTTTCTGACCACAGTCTGTTAGCACCCAGTGGCATGGCAAGGCCAGACTGCAAGCCTGGCTACCTGAATTCAAACCCCAGCTCTGCTGCTTCCTATGTGACTGTGGGGCCATCATTTAAACCATTTGGCTTTGATTTCCCAGATTTTTTGTTTGTTTGTTTGTTTTCATTTTTGTTTTTTTGAGATGGAGTCTCACTCTGTCACCCAGGCTGGAGTACAATGGCACGATCTTGGCTCACTGCAACCTCCAACTCCTGGGTTCAAGTGATTCTCCTGCCTCAGCTGCCTGAGTAGCTGGGACTACAGGTGCCTGCCACCATGCCCAGCTGATTTTTGTATTTTTAGTAAAGATGGGGTTTCACTGTGTTGTCCAGGCTGGTCTCAAACTCCTGACCTCATGATCCCCTCACCTCGGCCTCCCAAAGTGCTGGGATTACAAGCATGAGCCACCGCTCCCAGCCTTGATTTCCCTGATTGTAAAATAGGGGTCTCATAGGGGACTGGGCATGGTGGCTCATGCCTGTAATCCCAGAGCTTTGGGAGGCCAAGGTGGGTCGATTGCTTTAGCCTAGGAGTTTGAGACCAGCTTGGGCAACATGGTGAAACCCCGTTTCTACAAAAAAATACAAAAATTAGCCAGATGTGGGGCATGCACCTGTAGTCCCAGCTACTTGGGAGGCTGAGGTGAGAGAATCACCTAAGCCCAGGAGGTTGAGGCTTCATTGAGCTGTGATTGTACTGCAGCACTCCAGCCTGGGTGACAGAGTGAGACCTTGTCTCAAAAACTATATATAGGGGCCTTATAGGGTCTGTGTCACGGGTCCCCCAGGCCACCCTCAGGTTCAGGGACTTGCTGGAAGGACTCACAGAACTCAGAAAGCTGTCATACTTGTAGCTATGGTTTATTACAGCAAAAGGACACAGACAGGAATCAGCACAGGGAAAAGGTGTGCAGGGCAGAGGCTAGGAGAAGCCAGGCACAAGCTCCCAGCTATCTTCTCCCAGCAGAGTTGCATGAACAGCACTTATCTCTTCCAGAAACTGTGTGATGACACACACAAAGAATTGCCAACCAGAGAAGCTCGCCTGAGCCTCAGTGTCCAGGGTTTTTATTGGGGGTCAGGCACATAGGCATGGAGCGTCCACGTAGCTGACCTCAGTTACTCACTCTCCAGCCCCTACAGTGGTCAAATATTCTGTGTGGCTCAGGGCACCAGGCAAATGAAAACAGGCATTCAATATAGTCAGGTTGTTAGCATCAACCACGTGGTGTGGCCCCTGGCCCAGATACAAAGACACTCATATCAGGCATGATATTCCAAGGGTGTGAAGGTTATGTCCAGAGCTGATCAAGGTCCATTCTTTTCTTTGGAATGTGCAGGGTTTGGACAACCCAGGCCTGCTGAGTTCACTCTCCACTGCCTCACTGAAGTGAGGCTTGCCTGCACAAACCCGTGGACACTGCCTAGTGCTGGCTGCTATTGTCCTGGCTGCGTAGGACTTATTGTTTCCTTATAGGATTGTTTCACCAATTGTTTCCTTACGGGATTATCAACATCTTGAGGGCAGGGATTATACCTCCCTCACTTCTGTACTCCTGAAAAGCCCAGTGCCTTGGCTGGTCCAGAGGAGGCCCTCCATGAGAATCTGGGAGGAGATGTGATCTTGTAATTGTGTGTTTATATGATGACTGGTATAACTGTTGTCTCCTTCACTAGATTTGAAGCTTCCTGAGGGCAAGTTTGTTTGTTGTTGGTGTCAGATCATCTCATTTCTGTCTCTCAGAGTCTAGCTGGGGCTCGATAAATGTTTGTTGAATGAATAAATTGATTGGAAATTCTTTGTCAGCAGCTAGGCCAAAGGCTAGTAAAAATGAGAGAACAGTACATAGTTCCCACTTACAAGGGGGCCTGCATCTAGTGAGAGAAATAAAACACTATGATTGTAAAGGTGGCTGAGCATTTGCCGTGTGCCAGGCACCAGCCTGAGGGGCTGACAGGTATGTGTGATGTGTCCTTTATTCCTCAGCTGGAAAAGGCAAGTATCTCACTATCTGCACTAATTAGGTCCCTGCAGGTGACAGCTCAAATGGGGGCCATTGAGGTGATGAAATGAAGGGATGATTATAGGGGGGTGGGTGGGATTTATGGAAACAGTGGGGGGGGGGGTGTGGCACTGAGGGGGTGGCACCATGGGACCCCCTTAGTAGTCCTAATCCTGAAGGAGCAGGAGAGTGGATAGAGCCTAGAACCAGTGAGGGTCCGGTGGGAGGCAGGATAATGGTCTGCAGAGATGTCCGCATCCTAATTTCTGGAACCTGCAACTATGTCAGATTACATGGCAAGGGGAAATAGGGAGGCAGATGGATTGAGATTGCTAATCAGCTGGCCCTGAGATGAGATTATCCTGGATTACCTAGGTAGGCTCAGTGTCATCACCGGGGTCCTTAATAGTGGAAGGAGGAGGTCAGAGTCAGAGAGATTTGAAGATGCTACACTGCCAGCCTTGAAGTCAGAGGAAGGGACCATAATCCAAGGAGGGCAGGTGTCCCCCAGAAGCCAGAAAAGGCAAGAAACAGGTTCTTCCCTAGAGCTTCCAGAGGGAGCACACCTGCTGATGCCTTGATTTTAACCCAGTGAGACCCATGTAGGGCTTCTGCCCTCCAGAGCTCGGAGATGATAAATGTGTGTCCTGAAGCCACTGTGTCTGTGGCCATTTGTTACAGCAGCAACAGAAGACTGATACAGGCAGTTGCAAGAACAGGCTAGGCCAGGCACAGTGGCTCACGCCTGTAATCCCAGCACTTTTGGGAGGCCAAGGTGGGAGGATCGCTTGAGCCCAGGAGTTCGAGACAAGCCTGGGAAACATATCAAGATACCGTTTCTACAAAAAAATCAAAAAATTAGCCAAGTGTGGTGGCGTGCACCTGTGGTCCCAGCTACTGGGGAGGCTGAGGTGAGAAGGCTGCTTGAACCTGGGAGGTTGAGGCTGCAGTGAGCTATGATGGCACCACTGCTCTCCAGCCTGGGCTACAGAGTGACACCCTGCCTCAAAAAGAAAAATAAAAAAGCGCTGCCCAAAGGAGCTGTGATGTCAGGAGAGGGACACAGCCACTCCCAAACCTCAGCCCTGGTGGGCAAGAGCCGGGGGATGACTGCCCCTACTTCCTCCTGTCTGCCCTCCATCTGCTGCCGGTGATTCCCATTGGTCAACCTCAGCCAGAGGCCGGCAGGTCGGAGTCTGTTGATGCAGCCTATGTGGGTCAGCCCCAGGGGACACAGAGCCAGGTAGAAGAGTTGGGGGGAGGGGGGCATTCTAAATAGTCCTCCTTACTTTACAGTTGGGGAACTGCAGGCCAAGAGTGGCCGATCCCCTTGCATGAGGCAGGATTTGAATCCGGGATGTCTGGCTCCTGGGCCCCGGCTCTCCACCCAGGCAGGGGAGCGGTGTGTGTCTGCGTGGGGAGCCCAGCCACGTGAGCACGCGGCGTGTATGTGTGTGTACTCGCTGCTTCGCGCCCACCCTGCCCCCGCGCTCGGGTTTCTGTGGGCGTTCTCTTTTTTCCGATCTGTGTTACCAGCAGCGAGTTTCAAAAGCAGGGAGAGAAATGAAATGACACTTTCACTAAACAGGAACCTCACCCACCATCTCCGCTCGCGCGGTGCCTGTGTCTAATTAGGGGTTGTGGAGTTTGGGGTGTGAACGTGAAGCTGCTGCTCCCTCCACAGGCGGGCGGCTGGGGTGGGCGAGGTAGACACCCCGATTCTGGGAGGCGGGGCCCCTCCAGAGGCCCTGGAGACTAGGGAAGCGCCCAAGGCAAGTTGCAGGAAGGGCTCTGTGTGCACCCACAGATGTTCTAGGAAGCAGGAGGTTTGGGGGCCTCGTAGGCCAGCACGATTGCAATTAGGTTTTTCACGACACCGTGGTTTGAAGCCTGTTCCTTAGGACTTAAAGGAGAAGGGGAAAGAATTCCATGCAGGTGAGAATCAACTACATATGACTCCATTTCATGCCGGCAGCGGCCAAGGAACTCTCATGACACCTGACTTGCAGTGGGGCTAGGATCAAGGGCAGCTTCAAAGCTCCGCATTTGGCCCCCCTGGGGCTGGGTGGGGACCCCTGTCTGCCGCCCCCTCCCCCCCAGCCCCACATCCTGCACTGTGCTCAGTCTTTAGCCCCTTCCCTCCCCCACCGCGCTGCTTGCAGCTTGGGCCTTAGTACATGCTGGTCCCTCCAGGGCAGTGCTGTTCCCTGCTAGTCCCTGCTTTCCTGGCTGTCTTAGCTTGGGCTGCTATGGTAAAATACCATCAGCTGGGAGGCTCAAACAACAGACGTTTATTTCTCATGGTTCTGGAGGCTCGAAGTGTGAGATCAGGATACCAAAAACGCTGGATTCTGGTGAGGGCCCTCTTCCCGGCTTGCAAATGGCACCTTTCCCTGTGTGCTCCCCCGACCTTTCACCAGTGCGTGCCCCTAGAGAGAGTGGAGGTGCTGGATCTTATAAGGACACTAAGCCCATCCCGGAGGCTCCGCCCTCATGACTTTAACCCAATCACCTCCCCAAAGCCTCCATCCTAATAACACTCGTGTGGGGGCTGGGATTTCAACTAGACGTCTTGGGGGTCACGTCCAGTCCATGACACTGGCCTTGTGCATCCTATTCATTTCAGCCTCCCCAGGCCACTCCCTCTGGGGCAGACGAGAGTCAGGCTTAGGGCTTTTGGAGCTGGACCACCTGGGTTCAAATCCCAGCTCTGCCACTTGAACTGAGTAACTTTGGACAAGCGACGTGAGCTTTCTCTGCTTCAGTTCCATCTGTAAAATGGGAATAGAGATAATATCTTCCTCACAGAGCTGCTGATAAGAATGGAATTAAGAAAAGTATATAGAATATACAATCGTGGGGGAGGAGAGAGAAGCATTGGCCACTATTTCTCTTTGACCCATTCAAACAGATCTCCCTGTAAGGAGAATGTGCGGCCCGTCCCAAAGCTCCCTCACTGACTTGGAGCAGCTGTCGTGAAGCAATCTGCAATCTGCAATCATGTGTGTTTATCTGTTTAACGTCCATCTGTCCTGCTTGTCCATGAGCCCCTTGGGGATGGAGGTCATATCTTTTTTGCTCTCCCTGTGTCCCTAATACCTTAGCCTCAGCACCTGCACATAGTAAGGACTCCGTTAAAAAGTTCCGTAACTGGGCGCAGTGGCTCACACCTATAATCCCAGCACTTTGGGAGGCTGAGGCAGGTGGATTGCTTGAGGCCAGAGGTTCGAGACCAGCCTGGCCAACATGGCGAAACCCCATCTCTACCAAAAATACAAAAATTAGCCAGGTGTGGTGGCAGATGCCTGAAATCCCAGCTACTTGAGAGGTTGAGGCAGGAGAATTGCTTGAACCCAGGAGATGGAGGTTGCAGTGAGCTGAGATTGTGCCACTGCACTCCAGCCTGGGTGACAGAGTGAGACCCTCTCTCAAAAAAAAAAAAAAAAAAAAAAAAAAGGCCAATTGCCTAATGAATGCCAAGGGCCAAAGCCCCTGGGTTTCTGCTTCTAAAATAGAGCACACAGAGCAAAGTGCACCAGTGTCAGTGGAAAGCATATGCATGAAGCTAGCCCCCATTCCCAGCGCCCAGGGCAAGAAGTAGAACATGGCCCTCTTGAGATCCTCCCTGTACCCCCCACCTATGTGCCCCTTCCCAGCTACCCTTCCCCTCCTCCCCAAGGGCCAACCAAGCCCCTGCCCCTTGTGGTAGCCCCTTCCCTGCCTCTCCTTAGAGGTTTTCCACCCAAGCGTGCACCCCTAACACTATGGACTAGTTTTGCCTCTTCTAGGAATAAAAAAATGGAATCAGGCCGGGCACGGTGGCTCACGCCTGTAATCCTAGCACTTTGGGAGGCTAATGCAGGTGGATCACCTGAGGTCAAGAGTTCGAGACCAGCCTGGCCAACATGGTGAAACCCCATCTCTACTAAAAATACAAAAATTAGCTGGATGTGGTGACACATGCCTGTAATCCCAGCTACTCAGGAGGCTGAAGCAGGAGAATCACTTGAAGGAGATCGTGGAGGTTGCAGTGAGCTGAGATCATGCCACTGCACTCCAGGCTGGGCAACAAAGTGAGACTCCATCTCAAAAAAAAAAAAAAAAGGAATCAAATGGTGCATTCTTCTTTTTATTACTTTATTTTGTTTTAGATACAGGGTCTCACTCTGTTGCCCAGGCTGGAGTGCAGCGGCACAATCACAGCTCACTGCAGTCTCGAACTCCTGGGCTTAAGCCATCCTCCTGCCTCGGCCTCCCAAATAGCTGGGACCACAGGCCTGTGCCATGACGCCTGGCTAATTTTTGTATTTTTTGTAGAGATGGGATCTTGCTGTGTCGTCCAGGCTGGTCTCAAACTCCTGGGCTTAAGTGATCGTCCTATCTCAGCCTCTCAAAGTGCTGGCCTACCTCAGCCTCTCAAAGTGCTGGGCTTACAGGCTTGAGCCACTGCGCCACGTCTGGCTTTTTGTTCGCATGAGATCCACACACGTGTGTGTATCAGTCCTGTGTTTCCTTTAATTGCCGAGGCTCCATCTTACGGCTGTCCTGTGATTTGTTCATCTTTTCACCTGTGGATGGACATCCGTGGGTTGTTGGTCTTTTTATTCTTTTTCCAGTTCCTGGCTGCTATGGATAAAGCGGCCATGAGAATTCATCTTGATGTGGGCATATGATTTCATTTCTCTGGGGAATATATGGCAAGGAGTGGGATTGCTGGCTCACGGGATAGGATGATCTTCAGTTTTAGTACCTAATATTGCACGGATGTCCAAAATGGCAGAGCAGGTTCAGCAAGAATCCCCGGTTCTCTGCAGTGCCGCCAGCTCTTGATGGTGTTGGCCTCTAATTTTTGCCCATCCGTCGGGCATGGGTCTCTCCTCCTCTTGTGGTTTCCCCCATCGCTGGAATCACCACGGCAGCACCAGATCGTGCTGGCGAGCACAGGTCGGGAGCCCAGGTCCTGAGTTGGAACCCTGGCACTGCCATTGCTTGGCGATATGGCGTTGAGCAGGTTACTTATCCTCTCTGTGCCTCAGTCTCTTCACCTGTAAAGTGAGCGTGTTGGTCCATTCTGGCTTCGATCACAAAGTATCTTAGGCTGGGTAATTTAGAAATAATAGCAATGTATTCCTCACAGTTCTGGAGGCTGGCGAGGCCAAGTTCCAGGTGCCAGCAGGTTCTGTGTCTGGTGAGGGCCACTCTTTGCTTCATAGATGGCACTTCCTGTGTCCTCACATGGTGGAAGGCAGAAGGGCAAGGAGACTAGGGCTCTCTTTCCATCCTCTTTTTTTTTTTTTTTTTTTTTTTTGAGATGGAATTTAGCTCTTTTTGCCCAGGCTGGAGTGCAGTGGCATGATCTTGGCTCACTGCAAACTCGGCCCCCAAAGGTTCAAATGATTCTCCTGCCTTAGCCTCCCAAGTAGCTGGGCTTATAGGCACCTGCCACCATGCCTGGCCCTTCAACCTCTTTTGTAAGAGCCCTGATCCCATTTGTGAGGGCAGAGCACTGATGATTTAATCATTCCCCCAAAGGCCCCTCTTGATACTACTAATATTAATATCATGTTGGGTGCTAGGCTCCAACATGTGCATTTTTGCTGCACCCCGAACATTCAGACCACAGCAGTGGGTGTGACAACTGTACCGTCCAGAATGAAGGGGGCTGACACAGGTAAGGAGCCTGGTGTACAACAGGCACTCAGGGAGCCTCAACTTGAACTATTATTTTTTATTTTTATTGTTAGAGATAGGGTCTTGCTCTGCCGCCCGGCCTGGAGTGCAGCGGCACGATCTCGGCTCACTGCAGCCTTGCCCTCCTGGGCTCAAGTGAGCCTCCTACCTCAGGCCCCCGAGTAGCTGGGACCACAGGCATGCACCACCATGCCCAGCTGAGCTTGTGTGTTTGTTTGTTTTAGTAGAGACAGGGTTTTGCTATGTTACCCAGGCTGGTCTCAAACTTCTGGCCCCACGCTCTCCTGCCTTGGCCTCCCAAAGTGCTGAGATTACAATTGTGAGCCACCGTGAGCATCCAATGCTAATTATTTATTTTTAAATATTGTTACTCTGCCTGGGATGGGGCATTTGCTTCTCTGTCCTGCTTGCAGAACTGGGAGCTCCTCAAAGGCTGGAACCTCCCTTCTGCCCAACACCCCTACATCTTGGGCACTTTGCACCGTGAAGGTTTGTTGAATGAATTACTGACTGACTTGTGCTGGATCCCAAGTGAAGAGCCTTAAGACCCAAAGGTTGGTAAGATGAGGTTTAACCGAGATGGGCTGGAGCCTCCCTGGGGGGAACAGGCAGTGCTGGGACCCTCCCCTGCACAGCCAGAAGCCAAGACAAGGACTGCAGGCGCTGGCAGTGGGTGTGGTGCTGAGAATGGAGCTGGTGTGGCACATATGCTTAAGAAATTCCTGTTGGCATCTGGCGGGGTGGCGCTGGGTCAGCACTTTGCAGGAAGCCTCTCTCTGGGCAAGGAGGGAGCTAGGGGCTAAGGAGACAGGCACTTAGCCAGAGGCAAGCAAATCAAACACCAGAAGATGTCGCTTCTCTTCTTGGCCTGTTATTTCTAGGGTAACATGGTGGTTCCCCCGTAAGCTTGCTTGTCCAAGCCACTCTCCAATCTTGTCCGCCAGATCTGTGACCCCCAGGGACTGACCCTGATCCCGTTGTCCTCTGGCTCCTGGTTGGGTTTGGCCAATGGGAGGCCCATCAGAAGATTGGAGAGTGGGAGGAGAGAAACCAAGGCCAGGGAGAGAAAGTCACTTTCTCAAAGACAAACTCATTTAGTGGCAGAGCTGAGACATGATCCCCAAACCCCTGACGCAGATTGTGTGTGTGTGTGTGTGTGTGTGTGTGTGTGTGTGTGTGTGTGAAAATATACATGATATAAAATTCTCCATCGTAACCATCTGAAAGTGTACAGCTCAGTGACATTAAGTGCCTCCACCATGTGCTTGGGGACTTCCAGATCATCGAGAGCTAGCTCCAGAACACATTCGTGGCCCCAGAAGGGAAAACCAAACCTGCTAACCCTTGATCTTGGAGTTTTCAGCCTCCAGAACTGTGAGAAAATAAATGTCTATTGTTGAAGCCACACAGCCTGTGGTCTTTTGTGACAGCAGCCCGAGCTGATGAACACACCCACCAGCAGCCACGTGTGTGCGCCATCTTGGAAATGGGTGTCTCTGCCTCAATAAAGCCTTGAGATGACTGCAGCCCCAGCTGATACCCTGATTGTACCCTCGTGAGAGACCCTAGAGCAGAGCCACCCAGCTAAGCTGCTCTCCAATCTCTGACCCACAGAAACTGTGTGAGATCACATATATTTATGGTTGGTTTTAGGATATTTTGTTACGTGGCAGTGGATAACTAATACACCCACCAAGAAGGAGCCGTGCAGTCATTTAGTTCCCAGGCTTGGTTTGACCCAGCCCATGGAGGTGCTGTTTCCCTCTCCCTTCTGGAGCAGATGAAGCTCTGTGCTGTGGAGTGTTGGCTCTGGCTTTCCCAGAGCTCTGACCCATGAGACGTAGGAGGTGGATGGAAGCTAGCACAGTCTCATGTGACCCACTGTCCAGCTGTGGTTGATGTGATGCCATGACCATCTCAGAGGCCCGTCACCTTGTTTGTCCCTTTGCTCTCACTCTTGCCGTCCTAAGCTTGCACCCCATCAGAATAGCATTAGCCAGGAAACCCTGCCTCAGCCTCTGTGCTCCAGGTAACCTGGGCTAAAACAAAGAGCTGCCAATCAAGGAGCTCCACCTTCTCCTGATCAAGAGTTGACCCAAGTGAGGCCAGCAGCCTCTCTTACCCAGATTTTGAATCTGGGAAAATATGAAGAAATAGCAGGGAGACGATTCATGCCACAGGCAGTGCCCAGGCGAGCCGAGTTGAGCTGTTCTGTCATTTTTGTGAGTCATCCTCTTTCCTTCCCCAAACCCCCTTCGTGCTTGAGTTTTGGACTTGGTTTCTGTTGCTTGCAGCCAAAGATCTCTAACTCAGAGAGATACAGATTCTAGCTGTTATTTTTGCTTTTTAATTCAATGACTGATTTATGCTCAGCATATAGTTGATGTTCAACAAACACTTGTCAACTATGAGTGAATAACACACCCAGCATTCCGCAGGAGGCTCCCAGGCAGATGGGCACTTAATCAGGACTACTTTTTTTTTTTCAGGACTATTTTTAAAGTTCTGCAAGGAAAGACACTCTAAAAATTTCCCTTAGCAACTTTTCTAAACGTCTAGCAACACGATGTCATGGGTTTCTTTCTCACACCCGAGCCAGTTTTTACCTATTGCATCTAAAACTCTCTTCTTTCTTTCCTTGTTTTTTGTTTGTTTCATTCTTGTTATTCGTTGAACAAATCTCTGTTGTACACTATCTCTTCACCATATCCCACAGGGAGAACATAAATGATAGATGTCCCTTTGCCCTCGAGGAAAGAGACTGTTGGCTGGAAGTCAAGGGGCCTGAATTTTAGTCCCTTCCTGTTACTGGGCGTCAGTTTCCCCACTTACGAAATGAGGGCTTTGTGCTAGACTGGGCACAGCCAGGAGCTTTAATCCTGTGCCAATTCCTAGATTGCACTAAGGTCTAGGCTGAGGATTCTCAGGCAATGCTCAAGCTCAATGGGAGAGAGAGCTGGGATTGATTTCTGATGTCTGCCTAGGTGTAGGCAGGGAAAGTGCTATGTATTCGCCAACCCTGAGCTTGGCCATCTCAGAGTTCCCTGCAAGTTTCAGCAGTCTCTGACCTGGGGAAACTCAATGGGGGAGACATGGAATATTCACTCACAGACATCAAGTAGGTGGCAGTTGCAGCCAAGATTCACTGAGAGTTCTGAGCAGGGAACAGTAGCTGGGGGCCAAGGATCCTTTCCAGTTGGTAAATGGGTTGGGAGTTGCCTGGCTGGGGAGATGCAGAGATTTTGGCAGACAGATGGGTAGCTTTTCTAGGACGTTGAGAGAAGGCCTGGGGTGAATTGGGGATGTCAACTCAGTTAGTCCTTCTGGGCCTGAGGTGCATTCCAAGGTGTGGGAAGGGGTGTTAGAGGAGGGCGGTCCCAGCTGACCCCCTCCTCCCCTGAGGTCCCAGAGTCTTCTTTGGGTCTCGGACCTGGGCCCCCTTACTTGGAGGAATTAAAGTATCTTACTTTTCCCGGATTCTGAGCTTTGGGGGATTAGATTCGGTATGAGCCTCTGCTGGCATATGGAAAGGGCCTGTTGGCAACAATGATATCACAGCAATATCCACCCTGACCATCATGGGCTGAGCACTCATCACAGGCCCAGCGTGATGACAGCGACCTCCAGGACGCCCCTAGGAGTTGGTGCTGCCCTTGCCTCCTGCAGTCAGATCCCCAGAGGACAGTCAAAGCAACACTTGCCATCATCCATCAGACAATGCGCAGCCTTGCCTTCAATTTCCAGAGGCTCTCGTTGCTTCTAGAAGAAATCTGCATGCATTACCATGACTTTCAAGGCCCCACCCACCCCTCCATCTTATCGCGGACCTCTCTTCTATCCCCTCTGCTCCGTTCCCAATAGCTTTCCCTCTGTTCTTCGGACCCACTGACTTGTTTCTGCCGCAGGACTTTGCCCTTGCTGTCCCCCCAGCCTGGCACGCCTTCCCCCCAGATGTCTGCTTGGCTGGCTCTTCCTCATCCTTCGCTTCTGTCTTAATTCTTTTAAACACCAGTTGGCAGCGCCAACTCCTAGGGACGTCCTGGAGATCACTACAACAAAATACCATAGATTGGGTGGCTTATGAACAGTAGAAATTTATTTGTCGCAGTTTTGGAGGATGGGAAGTCCAAGATCAAGGCAGATTGGGTGTCCGGGAAGGGCTCGTTTTCCGGCTTATGGATGGCCGTCTTCCCACTGTGTCCTCACGCGGTGAAAGGGACGGGGGTCTCGTGAGAGCCTCTGTTATGACGGCACTAATCCCACTCATGAAGCCTCCACCCTCGTGACTGAATCACCCCCACAAAGGCGCCATCTCCTAAACCCATCAACTTAGGAATTGGGATTTCAACATATGTTGGGGACACCAACATTAAGACCATAACAGGACAAAACATTGTGCAGCTGACATCGGTGCTGGCTTCGTTGTGATGAAATGTGGCTTCTTTACACCCATGGTCCAGACAAGGACACGGAGGCCCCAGGATGCTGACCTGGGAGTGAAGGAGCGTGTGTGCTGGGCGGGGCAGGTCTCCTGTACATGCTCCGGAGACTCCCCCCGGTTTCCCGGAGGCCAGCTCTTGCTGCACAGGAGTGAGCCTGCCACAGCCTACCTCGGGTGCCAGCGTCCCCCTGGGGTGGCTGGGAAGTGCCACAGATGCGGGATCAGCATGCAAGGAAGATGCAGCCCCGGGGCCGGGACTGTCTTTCTATTTATTACCCTATGAATCACGGCTTGGCTTTTCCCAGCAATCCTCTTGGCAGCTAATAGATTTTTATCTTCAGCTGCTGAGCTGGAAGGCACCTGGCTGTGGACAGGTGAACGCCCAACCTGACTCCTTTCTTGCTGGGGCGCTGGGACAGGGGTGGGGGTGGTGAGGAGGTCAGGTGGTTCCCCATGATCAGTGTCCTGGGGCTAGGCCCCCAGAGTCAGACGTGTGAACAGAGAGCAGGAAGCGCCCTTCGGAGCCTGACCCTAGGGATCCAGGAAGCTGGGGGCCTCCCAGGCTCTAAAGCTGTGACTCCCAAACCCATGATCAACGCTTATTCTCCATCCTCCTGATTCCAGGTGAATAAGAACAAGACTGGGGAGACGTACAGTGCAGTTGTTAAAAGCAAAATCATTGCTCTAGAGCTGTGTGACCTTAGGCAAGTCACCTCGCCTCTCTGAGCCTCTTTTTCCTCATCTGTAAAGTGAGGATAATAACAGTAGCCATTTGGGCCAGGCATAGTGGCTCACACCTATAATCCCAGTACTTTGGGAGGCCAAGGTGGATGATCACTTGAGGCCAGGAGTTCAAGACCAGCCAGAGCAACATGGTGAAACTCAATCTCTACTACAAGTACAAAAATTAGCTGGGTGTGGTGGCACACGCCTGTAATCCCAGCTACTTGGGAAGCTGAGGCAGAAGAATCGTTTGAACCAGGAGGTGGAGGTTGCAGTGAGCCGAGATCTCACCACTGCACTCAAGCCTGGGTAGCAGCAAGACCCTGTCTCAAAAAAAATTAATAACAATAATAATGATAGTAGTCATTTGAATGGAGTGTTATGAAAAAATAAATGAGTTGATATAAATTGAATGGGTTAAAAAAAGTCGTGCCTGGAATATCACATGTTATACAAGTTAGCTGCAATCATGTGTCTATATATGCGAGGAGAAAAAAGATGGGAAGGAAATACACTAAAATGTCACTGTGAAACCGCCGTTGCGGAATTATGACTGAGACAGTGAAAGAGATCTAACTAAACAAACTCCATCTTGCTTCTAACCTCCAAGCTGTCCTTGTTCATTCCTGGGCTTAGGCTGAACTAACTTTGGAAGAAACTTAGTTTCTAGTTTAAACAAAGACAACATAACAACCCTTTCCTAAAGCAGCCTCCTTCTTGCCTGGGGACTAGATTGCCTTTATAGGACTCACATTAGCCACAGGCTTAGAAATTATGGTTTAGCAGTCATGCAGCTGGAGGCTACAAGATTCTGACCCTCCCTAAACTGCTCCTAAAGTCAGGGCTTGAGATGTTTTGCAGACCCTGCACGTGATGCGTCAGCTGGCACCACCCAGATGCATAAACTGGCTCCTCTGATCTTGTGGCCCCCACCCAGGAACTGACTCAGCACAAGACGACAGCTTCGACTCCCTATGATTTCATCTCTGACCAATCAGCACTCCTGGCTCACTGGCTTCTCCCCACTCACAAAGTTATCCTTAAAAGCTCTGCTCCCTGAATGGCTTGGGGAGACTGATTTGAGTAATAGTAAAACTCTGGTCTCCTGCACAGCCGGCTCTGCATGAATTACTCTTTCTCTATTGCAGTTTCCCCATGTTGATGAATTGGCTCTGTCTAGGCAGCAGGCAAGGTGAACCCCCTGAGTGGTTACAAGTGGAGGTTGTTGGACCAGAATGAGGGGACAGATCTTTATTTTTATTTTCTTCTTTAAACTTGGAAGTTTTTCCAATATTTTGCAATAAGCACATTTTTATGGTCCTAAAAGCTAACCCCCTTTTAAAACCTGCAAGTTAGAAATTCCGTTGTTGAGATGTCATTGACAGCCCTGTTGTCTTGGGAGGTGACAAGGTTTGGTATTGACAGCCCATCTTGGAATTGCCATCTCAGGGCCACAGAAGGCAGAAAGCAGCAGGTGGGGGTGGTTCACTGACCCTGGGGCAGGAGACTGGGCACAGTGTGAGTGTCCCAGCATCGGGGGCTGGGCTTCCAAGCTTGGAGCCAGGGACATTGTCAACCACTTTGGAAACAGTTAGGAAGTTCCTACTACATCTGAACATTGCCTACTCTTTGACCCTGCAATTTCATTCCTTGTGATACAGCAGTGCATTTATATGTCTAAAATAAGACACCCACTAGGAGGACATTAACCACAGCGCTCATCATAATTGCCAAACAACCCAGATGTCTATCAACAGGAGAATGGTTAAATAAATCATTCTATCTCACAATGAAACGTTATATAGCAATGAAAAAGAGCTACCTGCAGCTATACTCGACTGCATAGTGTTTTTATGAGTAAGTTCGTAATGTAGTGCAGGCAAGAAAAGCAGGTAGGCACAGCAGCAAGAAAAGCTAGGCACACAAGCACACGTGTGTAGCATTCCATTTCTATCAAAAGCATAGACCGCCAAGATTCAGCCATCGTGGAAAAGGTAGTGGCTGAGGGGGAGCAGAGGGGTTTCTGGGTGCTTCTCCTCTGGTCATGTTCATCTGGGTGTTGGGTACACGGACATGCTCACCTTTGGAAATGCATTGCTCTGTGCACTTATGATCTATGCACTTTTTTTTTTTTTTTTTTTTTTTTAGGTGGAGTCTCACTCTGTCGCCCAGGCTGGAGTGCAGTGGCTTGATCTCATCTCACTACAACCTCTGCCTCCCTGGTTCAAGTAATTCTCCTGCCTCAGCCTTCCGAGTAGCTAAGACTACAGGCATGTGCCACCACATCCGGCTAATTTTTGTATTTTTAGTAGAGATGGGGTTTCACTACGTTGGCCAGGCTGGTCTTGAACTCCTGAACTCAAGTGATCCATACCCGCCTTGACCTCCCAAAGTGCTGGGATTACAGGTGTGAGCCACCGCGCCCAGCCTGTATTTTGTATTTCAGTAAAAATACTGGAGACAAACGAGAGATACAAGATCATGGCAGTTCTCTCTTCTTCCACCGGACATTGCTGTGTCTGCCTAAAATGTCGAATTGGCAACAGCCATTTTGTAACCACGGGACACAGAGCAAAGTCCGCAGAGCAGAAAGGTGGAAGGATCCTGGATTCCTGGTGAGGTTGAAGCACTCAAAAGGTGGGTCTTGGTCCCCTCCGCTTGAACCCGGATGGACTTTTGTGATGACCTCAACCACTGGGTGTGGTGGAAGTGGCTGCATGAGTTCTGAGGCTTGGTCATTAAAAGTGATATGGCCGGGCGCGGTGGCTCACACCTGTAATCCCAGTACTTTGGGAGGCCGAGGTGGGCAGATCACTTGAGGTTAGGAGTTCGAGATCAGCCTGGCCAACAGAGTGAAACTTTGTCTCTAATAAAAATACAAAAATTAGCCAGATGTGGTGGCACACGCCTGTAATCCCAGCTACCTCAGAGGCTGAGGCAGGAGAATCGCTTGGGCTGGGAGGCGGAGGTTGCAGTGAGCCGAGATTGCACCACTGCTCTCCAGCCTGGGCGACAGAGTGAGTGAGACTCTGTCTCAAAAAAAAAAAAAGTGATATGGCCTCTCCTTGGATCTCTCTTGGGACACACTCAGGGGACCCCCTCATGAACTGCAGGAAAGACGTCTGGCTTTCCTGAAGCCACCATGCTGAAATGAACACACAAGCAGGAGAGCGACGCCCGAGGAGGACCAGCTGTTTGAGTCTGCCCAGCCCAGGTGTCAGACTGTAAATGAAGACGGCAGCCAGATGACACTGCCAGCCACCAGCCCCTCTGACTGCACCCTCCAAGAGATCCAGAGCTCAAACCGCCCTGGGGAGCCACTCCCGAGATCTTACCCCCAGAAACCATGAGGTAGAGAATGATTCTTGTTGCTTTAATCCTCCAAGTTTGGGGGGTGATTTGTTGTGTAGTCAGAGATAACGAATACGCCACCTTCATTCTGAGCATTCATCATATGAAGTAATACGTCTTCCTTATTGCTTAAGCCAGAGGTCGGTGAAAATTTTCTGTAAAGGGCAGACATTAAATATAATTTTAGGCTTTCCAGATCACATGGTCTCTATTGCAATGACTCAGCTTGCCGTTGTTGCATGAAAGCAGCCATCGGCAATAGAAATGGGTGGGCGTAACTGCATTCCTATAGACCTTCATTAACAAAAACAAGGAGCCAGACCATAAGCAGCAGTTTGTTGACCCCTGGTTAAAGCCATTTTTGAGTTAAGTTTTCTGTTACTTGCAGCCCAAAACATACTGTTACAACTATCCAATCAGAGAGCTCCAGGCAAAGGGCAACCACAAGAGGCTCTAGGGTGTGTGCATAGTTCTCTGGGGTGTGTGCCTGGGCTCTGGGGTGTGTGCATAGTTCTCTGGGGTGTGTGCCTGGGCTCTGAGGTGTGTGTGAGCTCTGAGGTGTGTGCATAGTTCTCGGGGGTGTGTGCATCGTTCTCTGGGGTGTGTTCTTGGGCTCTGGGGTGTATGCCTGGGCTCTGGAGTGTGTGCACAGGTCTGAAAATGTGTGTAGAAGTCAGGATGTGTACACAGGTCTGAGTGTGTTGTGTGGGCTCTATGGTGTGTGCCAAGATCTGGGGTGTGCATGGGTTCTGGGGGTGTATGTGTGAGCCCTAGCATTATGCGAATGGGCTCTGGGATGTATGCACAGGTCTGAGTGTGTGCATGAGCACACAGGTCTGAGTGTATGTGTGAGAGCTCTGGGGGTGTGTGCATGAGCTCTGGGGGTATGTACAGGTCGGGATGGGTGTGTATGAGCTCTGGGGGGGTGTGCACAGGTCTGGGTGTGTGTGTTTCTGTGTGTGTGTGAGCTCTGGAAGTGTGTGCATAGGCTCTGGGGTGTATGCATAAGCACACAGGTCTGGGTGTGGGTGTGTGAGCTCTCGGGGTATGGGCACGGGTTCTGGGGATGCATGCCTGAGCCCTGAGCGGGCCCCACTCACCCACCATCTTATCTACTGAGACAAGAAGGGCTGGGCTGTTCGTTCATGAAGTCTCCTGGGCATCTCTTATCATGTGATCCCCAGCCTCTGCGTCCTCCTCCTCCTCACAGGCTCCAGGATCTCTGGAATCCAACTCACTGGACGCCCAGCCAGTCAGGCAGGCAGGGAGTGTGGAGGCCTCCCCTCAAGTAAGGACCTAATGGCTAAAGCTGGGCATGGGACAGGCCTGTGCAAAGAGAGGAGAGGGAGGAAGGACCAGGGTGTGCTGGAAGCGTATCCTCCCTCTCCCCGGCCTCTCTCCTCCCACCTCAGATGGGCCTGGAGGAGATTAGCTTCACTCACGGCAGTAATTGTTTGCTGAGTGCTTGCTGTGTTTTAAGCTCAGCATTTACAAGCAGGTGACATGGAGAACTCTAGGTGCTGGACATGCTGTTAGCCCCATTTCATGGACGAGGGAATGGGCGAACAGAGAGGGAAGTCACTGTCCTGGGGACCCACAATAGGAGGCAGGATGCCCACCCAGGCTGGCTGTCCCCACGCCAAGATCTAGGATGAGTCCTCAGTCAAAGCCAGAGCAGACCCAACGGAACCGCTCAGCCCCCTGACAAGGCAATGAGTCTCGCCGGCCAGGGGGGCTCTGCCCCCGCCCCCACCCAGGTGGGTCCCCTGCCCCCAGGCTGGCAAGGTGCTGGGGGGCTGATGCCGGAGCCCCTGCTGCTTGCCGCCTGCCTGCTCATCTTGTTTGTTCCAATTATGTCAAGTAAGTCATTATAATTTTATGTTTTTTAGATTAACATTTTTGCTCAAGGGCATAGTAATTAGCAAGCGGCTGGGAGTTGAACGATTCTGAGCAATAGCAAGGGAAAGTTTTTCCCAGTATATCTTTGGAGAGGCCTAGAGGCTTCTGGGCTGCCCAGGCAGCCCCTTAGCTCCAGGAGACGGAGGTTTGCACAGTACAGACAGGCTGGGTGAGAACAAAATGGCCCCGAAGTCCTGTCCACCAGCCCAGGGCGGTGTGGGGGCCACACAGCAGAGGGGCGCCCCACGGCCGAGACTTCCCATCACATCTGTCCCTGGGGAGTCCCTGCTGGGGAATTCCTCTCCCTCTACCCATTTTCCAGGTGCCTTATCTGTGTTGTCCAGGGCCTAGAATTGTGTGTGGCACACAGTAAGCGCCCAGTAAATGCTTACTAATTAAATAAATGGAGAGAGGTTACAAACTGGGGGCTCGTAGGCAAATCCAGCCCTTGATGTGTTAAACTGAGCCAGCACAATCTATTTTATACCTTTCTTTCTTTTTCTTTTCTTTCTTTCTTTTTTTTTCTTTTTTTGAGACAGAGTCTTGCTCTGTCACCCAGGCTGGAGTGCAACAGTGCGATCTTGGCTCACTGCAAGCTCCAGCCCCCGGCTTCACGCCATTCTCCTGCCTCAGCCTCCCTAGTAGCTGGGACTACAGGAGCCCGCCACCACGCCTGGCTAATTTTTTGTATTTTTAGTAGAGATGGGGTTTCACTGTGTTAGCCAGGATGGTCTCGACCTCCTGACCTCGTGATCCGCCTGCCTCGGCCTCCCAAAGTGCTTGGATTACAGGCCTGAGCCACCGTGCCCCGCCGGTTGCCCATTTTTATGGTGATTTCTTGACGATATGCTAAACAAGGGGTGGATTATTCATGCCTCCCCTTTGTAGACCATATAGGGTAACTTCCTGACGTTACCATGGCATTTGTAAACTGTCATGGCGCCGCTGGGAGTGTAGCAGTGAGGACGCCCAGAGGTCACTCTCGTGGTCATCTTGGTTTTGGTGGGTTTCTACTGGCTTCTTTACCGCAAACTGTTTTATCAGCAAGGTCTTTATGACCTGTGTCTTGTCCTGACCTCCTGTCTCATCCTGTGACTTAGAATGTCTTCACTGTCTGGGAATGCAGCCCAGTAGGTCTCGGCCTCATTTTACCCGGCCCCTGTTCAAGATGGAGTTGCTCTGGTTCACACGCCTCTCACATTCCCACAGAGCTATAAGTGCTGGAAGCAAAACGTGGCTACACCCTCTCAACGTTTCCCATCTGACCCAGTGAGATTTAGGTTCAGTACCTTGATGTACAGAGGCTCACTCTAGCGGCTTTACACAACAGAGTCTCTTCCCTGTAGAACGGTTCATGGTCAGCGTGGGCATTTGGGTAGAGGAGGGTTCCTGCCATCCTGGGGTCCACTGTGCCCCAGAGCTTCAATGCTGCAACAGCTTCCACTTGGTGGAAAAGAAAGGGACCCAGGAGCACACAGGGGAGGCTTGGAGGGTCAGGCCTGAGAGGGGCCCACGTCACTTCACTCAACTTCCATTGCCCAGAGCTTGGCCCCATGGCCACTAATGACTGCACAGGAGGCTGGGAAACTCTGTCTTGCTGTTTTCCCAAAGGAAAGGAGAGCGGATTCTGATGGAGGCAAGTGGTCTCTGCCCACAGCCTGCTTCTCTCACCCAGCCCAGGAAAGCCATCATCTCCTCCTGGGTTTGCAGTCTGGCTCTTTCATCGTTATACGTAAGATCCTTCCCCCCACCCCCAAATCTATTGTTTTTGCCATAAAATTGATATCTGGAACTCTTCCTGGCTGAGGTTTTGCAGCTCAAAAGCCCAGATTCTTGGAATCTGAAAGCACTGGCTTCTGAAACTGAGTAACATTTGTTACGCTTTTCTCTCCTACTTTTCCTCCCCTGGGCATTGGATGGCACACAGTCTAGTTTGGCAGAAGGCACAGGGAAGGGGCAAATAATTCCTGGGATAAAAGGGCACTGGTTAGAAATAGTATCCTGAGATGTGACAATATGACACAAAGTACAACGTGGCGCGTCCTGACCTAGCAATTCCACTCCTAGGTATTCACCCAAGAGAAGCAAAGGCATGTGGCCTACATATTCCAGCAGACAAACGCTCGTAGTAGCTTTATTCATAATAGCTAAAAACTGGGAACAGTCCAAATGTCCGTCAGCTGAACAGATAAATTGTTGTGTAGTCATGCCATGGAGTCCCACTCAGCACTAGAAAGGGATAACCTATTGATACACACAGCGCCGTGGATGACTCCCAGAGCCACCATGCTGAGGCAGGGGCTGGCACGGCTCTTCTATCCAAAGGGCTGGGTCAGCCCGGGGCACGGTGGCTCATGCCTGTAATTCCAACACTTTCGGAGGTTGAGGCGAGTGGATCACTTGAGGTCAGGAGTTCAAGACCAGCCTGGCCAACATAGTGAAACCCCGTCTCTACTAAAAATACAAAAATTAGCCAGGCATGGTGGCAGGCGCCTGTAATCCCAGCTACTTGGGAGGCTGAGGCAACAGAATTGCTTGAACCCGGGAGGCAGAGGTTGCAGTGAGCCGAAATCATGCCACTGCACCCCAGCCTGGGTGACAGAGCGAGACTCTGTCACAAACAAACAAAAAAACCCCGAAAAAACAAAGGGCTGGGTCAAACTTCTTTGGCTTTGCGGGCCTCCAGTCTCTTTTTCAGCCTCTCAACTCTACCTATGTAGCATGAAAGAAGCCATACCCAATACACAGGTGAATGAGCATGGCTGTGTCCTAATAAAACTTTATTTATGGCCAGGGGCAGCAACATATGCCTATGATCCCAGCACTTTGGGAGGCCAAGGTGGGAGGATTGCTTGAGCCAGGAGTTTGAGACCAGTCTGGGTAACATAGAGACCCTGTCTCTACAAAAAAATACAAAAATTAGCCAGGCACGGTGGCACGTGCCTATAGTCCCAGCTCTTCAGGAGCCTGAGGTAAGATTGCTTGAACCCAGGAGGTCGAGGCTGCAGTAAGCCATGTTCACACCACTGCACTCCAGTTTGGGTGCCAAAGTAAGACCTTGTCTCAAAAAAAAAAAAAAAAAAAAAAACAAAACTATTTATGGACACTAAAAATCATATCTCATATAATTTTTATGTGTCATGAAATATTCTTCTTTTGGTTTTTTCAACCACTATAAAATGCAAACGCCCAGGAACGCTCCCTCACTGCTGGTGGGAATGCAGAATAGTTAAACAACTGTGGAAGACAGTTTGCTGGTTTCTCAGAGAGCTAACCATAGTCTTAGCAGACTATCCAGCAATCACACTTCCAGGTGTTTACTCAAGTGATTTGAAAACTTACGTCCATGCAAAAATTTGCACATGAATGTTCATAGCAGCTACAGTCATAAACACCCTAAACTGGGAGCCACCAAGATGCTCTTTAATAGGTGAATAGGGTTGAGGCCCCGTGGCTCATGCCTGTAGTCCCAGCACTTTGGGAGGCCGAGGCAGGTGGATCCCTTCAGGCCAGAAGTTTGAGACCAGCCTGGGCAACGTGGTGAAACCCCGCCTCTACTAAAAATACAAAAATTAACTGGGAGTGGTGGTACCCACTTGTAATCCCAGCTACTTGGAGGCTGAGGCAGGAAAATCGCTTGAACCCAGAAGGCAGAGGTTGAAGTGAGCTGAGATCGTGCCATTGCATTCTAGCCTGGGTGACAGAGCGAGACTCTATCTCAAAAATAAATACATAAATAATTTTTTTTTTAAAAAGGGTGAATGAATAAACAAACTGTGGCACATCCAGAGAGTGGACTATTACTCAGTGCTAAAAAGATGTGAGCTATCAAGCCCCAAAAAGACATGGAAGAAACTTAAATGCATATTACTAAGTGAAAGAGGCCGTTCTGAAAGGCTGCATGCTATGATTCCAACTATGTGACATTCTGGAAAAGGCAAAACTATAGAGACAGTAGAAAGATCAGTGGCTGCCAGGGGACTGAGGAGAGGGAAAGAGGGATGAAAAGATGGAGGCCAGGGGACTTTTAGGGCAGTGAATCTCTGCATGATGCTACAATGGGGACTACGTCATGGTACATTTCTTTTTCTTTTTCTTTCTTTTTTTCTTTTTTTCTTTTTTTTTTTTTGAGACAGACGCTCACTCTGTTGCCCAGGCTGGAGTGCAGTGGCGTGGTCCCAGCTCATTGCAACCTCTGCCTCCTGGGTTCAAGTGATTCTCTTGCCTCAGCCTCCCGAGTAGCTGGAATTACAGGTGCCCGCCACCACACCCAGCTAAGTTTTGTATTTTTAGTAGAGAAGGGGTTTCACTATGTTGGTCAAGCAGGTTTCGAACTCCTGACCTCGTGATCTGCCCGCCTCGGCCTCCCAAAGTGCTGGGATTACAGGTGTGAGCCACTGCGCCCGGCCGGTACGGTTCTTAAAACCTATAGAACCCTACAACTCCAAGAGTGACCCCCAATGTAAACTAGGGACTATAGTTCATAGTGCTGTGTCAATATTGATTCCTTAATTGTAACAAGTGTACCACACGAATGCAAGATATGAATAACAGGGGAAACTGTGTACCGGGTTGGGGGGGTGGGAATTGAGTGTGTGTGCATGTGGAATTCTCTATACTGTCTACTCAATTTTTCTGTAAACAAAAAACTGTATTTTAAAAAGTCTATTTATTATTTTTTAAAATACAAAAACAAAAGTAAAAACCATTCTTGGCCTGCAGGTCCTACAAACCAGGCAACAGGCCAGATCTGGCCCCGGGAGGCCTGTATTTTGCTGAGCCCTGTGCAAAGGGAAGGAAGCCAGGCCTAGAGAGTTCACAGCACAGGATTCCATCAAGAGCAAACTCCTGAAAAGACAAAGCACCCCTCACATTGTCAGGCCAATCGATTGGCTGGGAAAGCAGCTTTGGGATGAGGGAAGAGTCCTCTGTGTCGATGGGGGTGATGGCTGCATGATACAGTTTCATCAGAAGTCCCATGGCTGGGTGCGGTGGCTCATGCCTGTGATTTCAATGCCTTGGGAGCCTGAGGTGGGAGGATTGCGTTAGCCCAAAAGTTTGAGACCAGCCTGGGCAACACAGCAAGATCCCATCTCTAAAAAAAAAAAAAATTTAAATTAGCTGAGTATGGTGGTGCACATCTGCACTGCCAGCTGCTTGGGAGGCTGGGAGGCTGAGGCGGGAGGATTGCTTTAGCTGAGGCGTTCGAGGCTGCAGTGAGTTATGATGGTGTCACTGTACTCCAGCCTGGGCCACAGCGTGAGACCCTGTCTCTAAAAACATATGTACTTAAGATTTTTAAAAAAGTCTTTGAATTGTATATTTAAAATGTCTACACTTCATTAAAACATGTCACAGGCTCCCACCCAACCCCCTACCCTGCTCCCGCCGACCAATTGTCAGCTTCTGGAGGTCCTGAGGTGAGGGCTCTGCCTGTGCCTTCCAGAGGAGAACAGAGGAGAGCTGTGTGCCCATCTACTGAGTGCATGAAATGAAATGAAGCCAGCAGGGCGGGGTGGATGGAACGGGGCTGGACCAGGCTCCCCCAGAGATTTCTGAGCTGGAACTTGCTGGATGAGTCAGGCACGTCAGGAGCAGAAGAGGAAAGGGCCAGGGCAAAGGCTGGGCTGGAGGAAAGGGCTGTGGCTTTGAGGAAGCAGCTGGGTGTGCCCCGGGGTGGGAAGGTCAGCGGGGCCTGGGCCCCTGGGGGTGGGGCCGTGTGTGGTCACAGACCTATTGTATTTAGTATCCACCCTGCAGGCTGGCTCTTACCCGCTGGCTGCTCGAGGTGGTGGCCTCTGGCCCTTGGGGGGTGCCGAGGTCGGAGGGAGCAGCCTCCAAGTCCAGGAGACAGGCTTTGGGGCAACCTGACCCCAGTGAAGGACTTGTCCCCACCCATCCCAGAGGAGGAGGAGTGTGGAGGGCAGAAGTTTGCCAACCGAGGCAAGAGCGGGTTCAGAAGCTTTCTGTAAAGGAGGGCATTTGGATGACGTGTGGATTTCCTATTGCTGCTGAACAAATCACCACAAACATAGAGGCTTAAAGCAACACAATATTGTTATCTCCCCGTTCTGGAGGGCAGAAGGTCCCAGTGGAGCTTATGGAGATGAGGTCAGGGCACTGGCAGGGCTGGTTCCTTCTGGAGGGTCCAGAGGAGGCTTCATTCCTTTCCTCTTGCAACTTCTAGAGGCTGCCACACTCCTTGGCTGGTGGCGGAATTGCCCTGACCTCTGTTTCCACCATCTCTTCTTCTTCTCTTCCACCTTCTCCTACTCTAACCCTCCTGCCTCCCTCTTATAAGATCTTTGCGATGACAATGGGCCCCTTGATCATCCAAGATAATCTCCCTATCGCAAAATCCATAACTTCATCCCCTCTGCAGGAGCCCCTTCACCATGGATTGAATTGTATTTCCCACCCCAAACTCACATCCTAAAGCTCTCACGCCCCAGTATCTCACAATGGGACTGTATTCGAGGACCGAGTCTCTAAAGAGGTGATTAGGTTAAAATGGGTTCGTTAGGTTGAGCCCTAATCCAATAGGCCTGGTGTCCTTTTTTTTTTTTTGAGTCAAGGTCTCACTCCATGGCCCAGCCTGGAGTGCAGTGGCACCATCAGAACTCACTGCAGCCTTGAACTCCTGGGTTCAAGCAATCCTCCTACCTCAGCCTCCTGAATAGCTGGGGACTATAAGCACACACTACCACATCTAATTTTAAAAAAAAATTTAAAGAGATGGGATCTTGCTATGTTATCCAGGCTAGTCTTGAACTTTTGGGCTCAAGTGATCCTCCCACTTCAGCCTCCCAAAGTGCTGGGATTACAGGCATGTGCCATCATGCCCTGCTTTGATGTCCTTATAAGAAGAGGAGATTAGGGCATGGCCATACCCAGAAAAGCCCGTGTGAAGACACAGGGAGAAGACAGCCATCTGCAAGCCAAGGAGAGAGGCCTTGGAGTGAACCAACCCTGCTGACACCTTGATCTTAGACCTCTAGACTCAGAAGGCGTTTCGGTTGTTTAGCATTCCCCGCCTGCTCTAACCCCAACCCCTGTCTGCGGTGCTTTGTCACGGTGGCCCTGGCAGTGCACTGCACCGTGGATGGTAACATGTTCTCAGGTTCTGGGGAGTGGGATGTGGATATCTTTGCGGGGCTGTTAGTCTGCCTACCACAGGTGGGTTCTGTGAAGGTGAGTGCCCCTCCCTCCTAGTGCCCCAGGGGAAAATGGCAGAGCCGGGCAGGGCCGGGGGGTGGGGAGGGAGGAACAACTGGCTGAGGCCTTGGGGATGCTGGAGCCAGGTAGCAGCCACTGTGCCTTTGCAGACCATCACAGGGCTGTTCATCAATGTTCCAGTTCTCCTTTTCCAGGCACTTCCCGACCCTTGGTGGGTAGGGGGCACTGCATGAGTGTGAGTGGAAGTGATGGATCCAGGCTGGGCACACACTGGCCAGTGCAAGACTTTCCAGAGCTCTCTTTCCTTCTGTCACAGTGGCCAGTGATGTTCCAGCAGGTGGCTGGGTCCTGCTGTGAGGACAACATGGAGCAGAGCCCAGGCTTACCTACAATGGACATGCAGTGTGAGTGACAAGAAACCTCTGTGTGCTGAGCTGTTGAAATCGCCAGGTTGTTTGTTACCACAGTATAACCTGGCCTATCCTGACCATTGCAGGCTCCCTTGCCTACACTTGGTAAGGGATTGCCTCCAAGAACCACATCAGCGTGGACCATGAGCGTAGGCAGATGAGGTGCATGCGAACTGCTTAGCCAGCAGCTGCCACAGTGGAAGGTCTATGTCATTGCTGCTGCTGCATGCTCGTTGTGGCTGTGATTGTCATCAGCAAAGACCAGCAACAACAAAAGGCCACAGAAGCCCTTACCATACATTCTAGAAGGCTTAAGTCTACTCTGGTCATTTCAACCTTGGGCAGAGAAGGTGGCCTCTTGGAACCTCTCTGAGATTTCATTCTCTCACCAGGTGGGTGAGAGGACAGCAAAGAGCCATGTTACGAAATTCAATGAAAGGCTCATTTCCTACCCCTGGGGAAAGCAGCAAAGCCAGGCTGACACCAAGGAGTTCTAAACAGAGGAGGGCCTGACTTGCTGGCCGGGTGGGCAGAGGAAGACAGGGAGCCCAGTGATAACGCCTGGCTGGAGGTGGAGCCACGGTTGCCAGGGTACTTGTGCTGTGTAAGGAATCCCTCAAAACATTAGGGCGCCCAGCAGCCATCGTATTACGCTCACAGATCCTATGGCTCAGAATCACACAAGGCACAGCACAGATGTCTTGTCTCTATTCCAGGATGCCAGGGCCTTCTGGAAGTGCCTGTTTGGCAGTTGGAGCTGGCTGGGGGCTGGGACGTATCTGGACTGTCTGCCACAACACCAACCCACAGCCCCCTTTCGGGCTACTTGGACTTCCTCACAACATGGCGGCCCTGGGCAGTCAGATGCTTACACAGCATCTCAGGGCTATAGCACGAAGGCACCTGCATCACCTTCTGTGACCTAGCCTTGGAGGCCACGCAGCGTCTCTTCTGCCACATTCTATTAGTTGTGAGTGAGTCATGAACGTGCTCAGATTCAGGAGGGAGAGAACATAAACCCCACTCTCCAGCAGTGGGAGGTAAAGGTCATATGGGAAGAATATCTTGTGGGATGGGAGAAATTGCAGAGGCTGTCTCTGGAAAATGCCATCTGTTACAAGGGACTTAGACCACCCCCGTCCCACCTCTCCTCCAGGCCTGGGTCCTTCCCATGGCCACCTGCTGACCACTGGGGACTTCTGTGTCATCCCTCCAGCTCTGAAGATTCCTCTCAGTGAACTTCTTAGCTAAGCCTGCCAGCCCACAGCCTTCTCTCGTGTCCTGCCTGGCGAGGGGTCTGGCTGGTGTTGAAGGCAGCCCCAGGGCCTCACCTCACACTGCACAATGACCCACGGTGCCCTGGACAAGAGGCTGCCCTTGGCATTCCAGGCAAAAAGTCGCTTCCCTGAAATGTTCTCCAGTGGGAAGCTAAGAGCGTGCCTGCCTCCCATCCTGACCTCCTGCCCCTTCAGAAGCGTCCCTGCAGCTCCTGCCTGCACCTGGCAGGGAGCACCGCTACAGAGTTTGCTGCTGTACCGGCTCAGAAACGGGAGTTCCCGGCACAGGGCCATCGGCGAGCCTCCCAGCTGGAGTGTGGGCAGAGGCAGACACTGGGGCTGCAGGGGAGTGGCCCCCAGGGTGTGAATAGGAGGGCATCCTGCAGGCTCCAGACATTGCCATGCGTGTTGCTGTGATTAACCCCCAAACCCAGCTCCATCATTCATTCACTCCTTCATTTGTTCATCCTATTGTCCCAGGAGCTGGGCTATAACAGAAAGGAGACAGGCCACAGACAGACAGGCAAGGCCATCCCAGGCAGTGAGAGGCGACGTGAACTCTGTGAACTGAGATGATGAGGAAGAGAGGAGAAGGGCGGGGCCGCTTTAGAAAGGCTGCTGGGGATGTCCTGTTTGAGGAGGTGACCCTGTCACTGGAGCCAAGCCAAGAGCTGGGGAAGAGCATGTCAGGCCCCAAGAACTGCAGGTGCAAAGGCCCTGAGGCAGGACCCTAGCAGGACCCTAGCAGGTGCAGGTGCAGGTGCAAAGGTCCTAAGGCAGGACCTGAGCAGGTGCAGGTGCAAAGGCCCTGAGGCAGGACCTGAGCAGATGCAGGTGCAAAGGCCCTGAGGCGGGACCTGAGCAGGTACGGGTGCAAAGGCCCTGAGGCAGGACCCGAGCAGGCATGTCTGAGGGTCATAGGAAGCCTGTGTGCCTGGAGCAGAGGGTACAAGCCCAACGTGGAGCTTGTGCATGGCTCTCCACTGCCTCCCAACTCAGTCCAGGGGCTTCTGCTCGGCTTTCAATGCCCTCCACTGTGGGGGCCCTGCCACACCTCCCCATTCTCTGGGGGCCCCAGGATTTCCCACATCCTTGTTTTTTCCCATATTGCATTAGGATTTGACTTTATTATTTAAACAAGAAGCAGAGGCCCCCACTCCTTAGGGCGGAAACGTTGCTCAGAATCACATCCTGGAGGATGGAGTGAAAGGGATGTTGGTCTTAGAAGCCCTAAGAGAAGACGGCACAGAGTGGCTGGACTGGGGGTGGGGGTGGAAGAGACTGAGGAAGGCCAGGTGGACAAGGCGGGGTGGGGCCCACAGTCCTCATTGCCACAGGGCTTTGCCATCTTGCCAAGGAGCCAACTTGCCCTGATTCCACGGAGCAGGCCACTGGGACTTCCCACTTCTGTGGGGGCGCTGCGACTGCCTCCAAGATCCTCCCCAAATCTCTCTGGGCCTCAGTGAGGTGCCTGGGGAATGGATTTAAGATTGGTGGCCCAGTTTCCGGACAGCTGGGAGATGAGCTCAGCCTTACTAATGTGATCGAAGTTGCCAACCCCTGCCCCGCACATCCTCAGGGGACCCTAGGCTGCTGGCCACCAGCAAGGTTGTCTTGTCTGTTTGATCTTCGATTCCTGAGGGTAGTGGGCACCTCGGTAGGTGATCCTGCCCAAATCCCGCCTCCGCTTGTCCTCTTGGCAGGGCGGCCTCCCTCCCGCATACCACAGCCTTCCTGCAATGCTGCGACTCGGGTTCATTCCAGGGGATCCTTGAGCGCTGGCGGCACAGAGGGGCCAACCTTGAACTCAGCAAAGAGGAATGCTTGACTCCTCTCCAGCTGGAAGGCTGTACCTGGGCTAAGAACTGATGAGCCTGCTTGAAGGAAACACTCCGTGCTTTTGTTAAAGGGGAAGGGAAAATAAAATCCCAAATCAACCTTGGATCAATGTCTCTTCCCCAGACGGCAGCCCAAGGCCTCTGCGGCCTCTGCATCAGTCAGCTGGGAAAGCGGCACAGCCCCTGGGACTGTGGCTGGGCCAGCCAGCCTCCACCCAGACAGAGCCCGCAGCAGGCCGTTGATTCACCGTTCCCCAGCAAAAGCGTCATCCTGAGTCCCATGGAAGAGACTGGTTAATCTCTTACTGTGTAATTAATCTCTTACTGTGTACCAGGCACATGCATACATCCCATAACGCATTCAGCCTCACACCATCTACTTTACAAAGCACATAGCACTACTGTCTTCATCTGGCAGTTAGCAAACCTGTGGCCCAGAGGGGTGGACCAATTTACTCATAGCCACATAGCTGTCAGGAGCTGAGATACAAGCCCAGGCGTGGTGGATCCAAAGCCTCTTGTCCTGGCTGGGCATAATGGCTCACACCTGTAATCTCAGCACTTTGAGAGCCTGAGGCAGGAGGATTGCTTAAGGCCTGGAATGTAATATCAGCCTGGGCAACATAGCAAGACCCTGTCTTTATAGAAAAAATTTTAAAAATTGGCCAGGCATGGTGGTGTGCCTGTGGGCCTGGCTACTTGAGAGGCCGAGGCGGGAGGACTGCTGGAGTCCAGGAGTCTGAGGCTGCAGGGAGCTGTGACTGCGCCAGTGCACTCCAGCCAGGGTGAAAGAGTGATGCCCTATCTCAAGAAAAAAAAAAAAAGCTCTTGTCCCAAACCCTATATCACCAGGTCCGTAGAAGCAGGAGTGTATTGAATCCATTAGGGAGGCACTTGGCTACAAGTAACAAAAACCTTGGCTCACAGTGGCTTAAAGCATAAGGTCATTCATTGTTTATTTCGGAGGACATTGAGAAGCAGGCATAGCCCAGGTGGGTTCACTAGTTCCTCAGTGTCAGGATACAGGGCTGGCATCTCTGCAATTCTCTTAGCCTTCTCCTCATGGTGGCACCATGGCTGCCACAGCTGCAGACATCACTTCATCCCACAATGACATCCAAAGGCAGGAAGGAAGGTGAGGTGGGAAGGAGGCAAAAGGGACCAAACCTCTCTTCCTGTAACCTTCTCATTTTCTAGTGAGACCTTTTTCCCAGGAGCCGCCAGCATACTTCCCTCACGTTTCTGGCCAGAAGTGGATCACAGGCCTTCCCCGGATTACTCAGGCCCAGAGGGTGCAATGTGGTCCCCACTACATGGTAGACAGGATTTGAACTAAACAACAGTTCGCTGGAGTGGAAAATAAAGGATGCTACATTTTCTTATTGTGATAAAAAATATATATCATAAAATTTACCATTTTAACAATTTGTAAGTATACAGGTTGGTAGCATTAAGGACAGTCACATTGTTGTGCAACCACTACCATCCATTTCCAGAATTTTTTCATCTTCCCAAACTGAAACTCTGTCTCCATTAAACACCAACTCTCCACCTGGCTCCTGCCAGCCCCTGGCTCCCACCATTCTACTTTCTGTATCTGTGGATTTGACTATTCTAAGGTTGGACTAGTCCAACCTGTACATAAATTGAATCATACAGTATTTGTCCCTTTGTGGCTGGCTTATTTCACTCAGCACAGTGTCCTCAAGGCTCATCCATGTTGTGGCCCGTGTCAGAATATCCTTCCTTTTTCAAGGCTGCGTCGTATTCCATTGTATGGATACGCCACCTTTTGTTTACCCATAGTCTGTCACTGGATACTTGAGTTGCATCCATCTGTGGGCTGCCGGGAATCATGTATGGGGTCTTTAATGACTTTCAGCATCTTCAAAAGCATCTTCTCTGATGGAACGACGGTGGTGTGCGACGATGGTGTGCTGGGTATTGTATTGGCAAAAATATTGAGCAACTGGAACTCTCATCCCCTGTCTCGGGGATGCAAGATTTGGAAAACAGTTCAGCAGTTTCTTTCTTTCTTTCTTTCTTTCTTTCTTTCTTTCTTTCTTTCTTTCTTTCTTTCTTTCTTTCTTTCTTCTTTCTTTCTTTCTCTCTCTCTTTCTTTCTCTCTCCCTCTCTCTCTCTCTTTCTCTCTCTCTCTTTCTTTCTTTCTTTCTTTCTTTCTTTCTTTCTTTCTTTCTTTCTTCTTTCCTTCTTTTTTTTTTTTGAGATAGGGTCTCGCTCTGTTACCCAGTGGCGTAATCTCGGCTCACTGCAACCTCCGCCTCCCAGGCTCAAGCGTTTCTCCTCCCTCAGCCTCACTGAGTAGCTGGGATTACAGGTGTGCCCCACTACCGCCCAGCTAATTTTTGTACTTTTAGTAGAGACGGGGTTTCACCATGTTGGCCAGGTTGGTCTTGAACTCCTGACCCCAAATGATCCACCCACCTCGGCCTCCCAAAGTGCTGGGATTACAGGCGTGAGCCACTGTGCCTGGCCAGTTCAGCGGTTTCTTAAAAAGTTTAACCTAGACCTACCGTATGATCCAGCCATTTCACTCCAGAGAGTCTGCCTAAGAGAAATGGGAACATACGTCCACCCAGAAACTCACAGCACACATGTTCACAGCAGCATTGCTCACAAGAGCCAACAGGTGGAAGCAACCCAGGCGTCCATCAGCTAATGATGGTTAAACACGACGTGGTCCGTCCATGGGGTGGAGTATGATTCAGCCATAAGGTGGAACGCAGCCCTGGCTCACGCTACGGCACGGATGAACCTCGAGAACGACGCAGGTGAAAGAAGTCAGACACAAAAGGTCTCGTGTACGATTCTATTTATATGAAATGTTCAGAATACGCAAATTCATAGAGACAGAATGTGGGTTGGTGGTTGCCGGGGCTGGGGGAGGTGGGAACGGGAACGGGAGGTGACTGTTAATGCATGTGGGGTTTCCTTTGGGGGTGATGGAAATGCTCTGGAATTAGGTAGTGGTGATGGTTGTGCAATATCCCAATGAATCACATTTTTCTGAATATCCTGAAAACACCTGGATGGCATACTTAACAAAAAAAAGGTGAACGATGGCCCTGGAAACTGTTATTTTCCCTATTTTACGGATGAGAACACTGAGGCTCAGAGGCGACAGTGACTTGCCCAAGGACACAGAGCTGATGAGTGGGAAGGCAGGGATTCCAACCCCAGCCAGCCCTGCCTCTGAAGCCGCACCGGTGACCCTGCCCCTGACGGAGCCTGCAGGTCTTGGGCAAGTCTCCTCGCCTCTCATTGCCTCAGTGTCCCCATTTGTGCAATGGGCGTGAATCGAAGGGGCACAAACGCAGTCAGAACTGCATAGGCACAGACAAGATGCCTCCAGCGATGTGCCCTCTTCCTTCTCCACCGCAGGGGAGCGGAGAAAACAGCCACAGCTCTTTGGAAGGCAAGCACGAGGGCTGAGGAGGGCCCCGGCTGCCTAGGGAGGCTCGGTCACCTCCCAGCAGCCATCCCCAGATGGGGAGTGAGGCCGTGCACTGTGTTTCTGCCGCCAGAGTGCGGGTGTTTCCCCGACACCCTCTTTTGTGCTCCGGCAAACACGTCCCTGGTGACGTCCCCGTTGCCATGGCGAGAGGCGTCCTCTCCTATGGAGAGTGACAGTCACCACCTCACTGGGACTGGAGCCAGCGCAGCCCGAGGACAGGCTAATTCTGCCACCAGAGTTGGGCTCTGTGGGCTCTGCGCCTCCCAGGAAAGGCCAGCTGCAGGGCCTTCTGAGGAGGCAAAATGGGGGCACGCCGGGGTTGGGGGGCTCCTCCTGAGCTTCACCCTGTTCCCCAAGACAGCGCTGGGTTGGGAGAGGGCAGGTGACCCGGGGTTCAACGCTGGAGCCTCTGTTTACCTGCTGTGACCCTGAGCCTCAGTGTCTCTATCTGAAACATGCAGATCTTAATACCTCCTTTGCAACCTCGTATTAGGGGATCACTTATTCATTCAACCAACAGCCACTGACCTCCAACTAAAGGCCAGGTACTGGGGTGAGAGCAGGGGACCAGAGGCACGGCCCCTGTGCTCCCTGTCATCGAGGAGAGGGACATGAGAATTGCATTTGTGAGCGGTGCTATGCAGTCATGAAACCCAGGTGAGGGCTAAGGAGGGACTGCAAGAGGTGACTGTGACTTTAGCCCCGGGGGCAGGGGGTGCTGGGAAGCACTTTCTGAGAAGGCAGCCATGAGCAAACCAGGGGGATGAGCAAGGCGGGCAGAGGAGCTGCATGTGCAAAGGCCCCAGGGCTGGAATGGGCTTGGCGTGTTCAAGGAACGAGAGGGCAGATGTGGAGGGGTAGAAGTGTGAGTAAGGGTGAGGCGGGAGGGGAGGGCGGAGGCCGACACGCAGGGCTACGCAGGCTGCCAGGGGAGTCTAGATTTTGTTCTAAGAGCAAAGGGAAGGGACAGGAAGGATTGAAGCAAGGGAGAAGTAAGCTCTGCTTCCCGTTCGACAAGGGCTGCCCTTGCCCGGATAACTGCATTTCAGTTTCACAAACTGCATTTCAAAAGGGGAAACGGGGCTCAACAGATCTCCTTTGAACAAATCAATGACTTTCATGAAACAGACAAGGAATCATCCTTGAGAATGAAAGTGTGAGGAGCAGCACACATCCGCCCGCTTATTGATGTTCCCACACTGTCGGCACCGGCCTGGCTACGGTCCCCAGCCAAAATCTGACAGCAGCCCTGGATGCAAGCAGCTATCTGTGCACCGATGGTTATAGCAGCATCATTCAATATCCTGATGTGAAAACTACCCAAGGATGTGTCAGAGGTGTTTGAACCAGAGCAACTCCATCTTGAATGTAGCTAGGTAAAATGAGGCTGAAACCTACTGGGCTGCATTCCCAGATAGTTGAGCCATTCCAAGGCATGGGATGAGACAGGAGGTCAGCGCAAGATACAGGTCATAAAGACCTTGCTGATAAAACAGGTTGCGGTAAAGAAGCCAGTGGAAACCCATCAAAACCAAGATGGCCACGAGAGTGACCTCTGGTCGTCCTCACTGCTACACTCCCACCAACGCCAGTTTCAACTTCAGGGAGTTACCCTATATGGGCCAAAAAGGGGAGGCATGAATAATCCACCCCTTGTTTAGCATACCATCAATAAATAACCATAAGGCCGGGCTTGGCGGCTCACACCTGTAATCCCAGCACTTTGGGAAGCTGAGACGGGTGGATCACTTGAGATCAGGAGTTCAAGACCAGCCTGACCAACATGGTGACACCCCATCTCTACTAAAAATACAAAACTAGCCAGGCATGGTGGCAGGCGCCTGTAATCCCAGCTACTTGGGAGGCTGAGGCAGGAGAATCGCTTGAACCCAGGAGGCAGAGGTTGCAGTGAGCCAAGATCGAGCCATTGTACTCCAGCCTGGGCAACAAGAGTGAGACCCGGTCTCAAAAAAAACAAAAAAAGGAAAGAAAGAAAGAACCATAAAAATGGGCTTCCAGCAGCTCTCGGGGCTGCTCTGTCTGTGGAGTAGCCATTCTTTTATTCCTTTACTTTCTTTTTTTTTTTTTTTTTTTTTTTTTTTTTAATGACGGAGTCTCACTCTGTCGCCCAGGCTGGAGTGCAGTGGTGCAATGTCGGCTCATTGCAAGCTCCACCTCCCGGGTTCACGCCATTCTCCTGCCTCAGCCTCCCAAGTAGCTGGGACTACAGGCGCCCGCCACCACGCCCGGCTAATTTTTTGTATTTTTGGTAGAGACGGGGTTTCACCGTGTTAGCCACGATGGTCTCGATCTCCTGAGCTTGTGATCTGCCTGCCTTGGCCTCCCAAAGTGCTGGGATTACAGGCGTGAGCCACCGCGCCCAGCCTATTCCTTTACTTTCTTAATAAACTTTCTTTCACTTTACTCAATGGACTTGCCCTGAATTCTTTCTTGTGTGAGATCCAAGAACCCTCTCTTGGGGTCTGGATCAGGACCCCTTTCCTGTAACAAATTCACCGATGGATGATGGATAGGCAAGGTTTGGGCTAATCATGCATTGGAGTAGGGTTTGGCCTGAAAAAAGAAGAGCTTTCTGACACAGGCCACAGCACGGGTCCACCTGGAAGACACTGTGCCGAGTGAAAGAAGCCAGACACAAAGGACAGAGACCCTGTGATCCCACTTATGCGAGGCACCTTGGAGCAATCAGATTCCTAGACACAGAAAGGAGAAGAGGGGCTGCCAGGGCCTGGGGGGAGGGGGCATAGGAGTTAGTGTTTCATGGGGACAGAGTTCAGCTGGAAGATGAGAAGCTTCTGGAGATGGACAGTAGTGGTGGTTGCACAATAACGTGAATGTCCTTAATGCCACTGAACTGTACCCTTAAAAATGGTTAAAATGGTAAATTTCATGTGATGTCGATTTTACGACAATTTTTTTTAAAAAAAGCACCCCAAATGCAAATTGCTAGTTAAACATTGCTTGATCAGAACATTCACTCCCTTTGAGAGGTAGAATTCTAAGATGACCCCCAATAACCCCCACCCTTATGTAATGTTCTCCCTTTGGATGTCAGTGAAACCTGTAACTTGCTGCTAACCAATAGAATATGGCAAAATGAAGGGAATTTACATATGGCAGCAAGATCCCTAATTGGTTGCCTTTGTGTTAATCAAAAGGGAGATGATCCCTAGTGGGCCTGCCCTAATCAGGGGAGCCCTTTGAGAGTTCAGAGGTGAGAAACAGGAGGTGGCTCTCTCTCTCTCTCTCTCTTTCTCTCCATCCCATCCCCTCCCTGCCCACTGGCCTTCAAGAAGCAAGCTGCCCTGAATCCTACAGCTGCAAGAAAATGAATTCTGCCATTAGCTTGAGGAAGTGAGGGAGCGTGGAAGTAGATCCCTCCCCAGTCAGGCCTCCAGATGAGAACACAGCTCCACCCACACCTTGGTTGTAGCCTGGTGAGATGCTGAGCAGAGGACCCAGCAAAGCCATGCCTGGACTCCTGGCCCCCAAAGAAGGTGAGATAGTTAATGTACATTGTTTGAAGCGGCTACAGTTTGGTGATGTGGGACGCAGCTGTACCTCCTGAGTGCTCCCAATGGAGCAGCCACAGCAGGTGGAAGGAACGTGGGCTTTTGAGCAGGTGGTCCTGGGCAAAACCCTGGCTTCATCCCTCCTGGGCTGTGTCACCTCAGACAAGTGTCACCCAGTGGACCCTCATAGCTCACTGTAGCCTGGAACTTCTGGGCTCAAGCAATCCTCCTGCCTCAGCCTCCTGAGCAGCTAGGACAACAAGTATGCACCACCATGTCCAGATAATTTTTAAAAAAAGTTTTTTGGTGCATCGCTGGAGGCATCTGCTCTGTGCCTGTGCAGTTCTGGCCACATTCATACCCCTTTGATTCACGCCCATTGCACAAATGGGGAGACTGAGGCAATGAGGGTCTTACTATGCTGCCCAGGCTGGGCTCAAACTCCTGGGCTGAAGCAATCCCCCTGCCTCAGCCTCCCAAAGTGCTGGGGTTACAGGCATGAGCCACCATGCCTGGCCCAAGAACATTCTTAAAGTCACAAGTGCTTGGGGGCCAGGGATCTCCAAGGGTACTCCGGAAAGGACCGGGACTCACACAGCAAGGATGTGGGTGAGTCAGGGATATGGGACCCAGATGGGAAGGGGCCCACAGACCCACAAAGGGCAGGACTGCAGGAGGGTTTTGGACATGGGTCAAAAGCCAGGAGGACTGAGGGTCATCCCACTGCAGGGTGCGGTCAAATCCCTGCTCAACCACTCCCTAGCTGTGTGACCTGGTCCAAGTTTTTTGACTGCCCCATGCCTGACTTTCCTCCTCTGTCACATCAAGGTAATGATGATTTTACTACAATGCAGCACTGGGGAGATTGCATGCAATAGTGCATGTAAAACACTTGGCCCCATGCCTGGTGCATACTAACCCAGCAGGAAATGTTAGCTGTTAGTATATTGTTACTATGTTTGGTTTTTGGAAAAAGTGAAGGCAGGGAGGGACCTTGCCAAGTAACATTGTCCAGAAGCTCATGAGTGGGACACAATGATGAAATCGTAAATCTGCTGATTAGTACCAGGATAGAAACCACTCCACTTACTGGCTCCCTGGAGCCCTGAGCTGGGAGGGATTCTGAGGCTGGGCCTGAGTTTGACGAGAAAGATTATCATGATTGATTAGTGATGTCTGCCATGGGCATGGGTAAGGGGTGTGGATACGTGTGCTGTGGATTTTCTGTCCTTGAGCTAGAGCTTTCTGCTGAGGATAGAACAGTGGCTCTTAACCAGGAGGATGCATCAGAATCTTCTAGTGTGGTTTTTATAAACGCACATTTCTTGGCCTTGCTCTGAATCAGAATTGCCAGGAGTGAGGCTTGGATAACTTTCAGAACTCTGCAGGCAATTCTTCTTGTGAAATTTACCTATCAATAAAAAGAGGCCCCAACCCTGAGCCCAGGCTATTCAGTGGGGCCCTCCAAAAACAACCGGGTCCTTTCTCCCAAATGGTTTCCATAGCGGAAGCTGGGGAAAGAACATGGCCTTGCTTTGTGTGGCTCAGACAGGCTGCATCATTATCCGAGTCTTGGTTTTCTTACCTGGAAAATGGGTGCTCTTATAACCAACTGGCGAGGCGACTTTCAGGGATACCTCTTCCACTGGGAGCACGCCCAGGTCTCGGGGAGCCCCATTCTGCCCATCATGGGCTATTTTCGTAAGCAGGAACGGGTGAAGAGAATGTTGCTGTCCTGGGCTTGGGGAGGGGCTGGGAGTCAGAAGGCAGGGCTTTCTGGGTGCTAAGTTCCTGCACAGGGCGATGTCTGTGTGGCTGCCAGAGCGAGTCTGTGGGTGTCTGAGTGTGAATCTGCGCCAGTGCCCCTGAGCTGGGCTTGCAGATAAAATGCAGGGCACCCAGATACTGCACGGGATGTACTTACACTGAAGAATCATTTGTCAGAGTCAGCCAAGGGGCTTATGTCTTTATTTGCTAGATCTGGCAACCCACCCTGGGTGTCAGCGGGACAGTCTGTCTCAGTGACTGTGAGTGGGTGTGAGTGTGGGCTGTGTGTGCTCAGGGGAGCATGTGTCTCTGGGTGTGAGTTGGTCTCATGCGTGAGCATCTGTCTGAAGGTGTCTGTATGTGTGTGTAAGAGACAGTGCGTCTCTGCCTGGAGTGTGTTTCCAAAGATGTGTATCACTCTGCGTGTGTGTCTGTAACGGAGTGTGATTGTGAACCTATATGTGTGAATGTGAGGGGGTGTGTGTGGGTGTGTCTGTGTGAGTTTGTACCATTCTGCAAGTGTCTATGAGGGTATGTGATTGTAACAGTTGTGTATAAGGGTGTGTGTGAGTTTGGGCACGCCCAGGCTGCCTCACCCTTTCCTTCTCCATCAGGCATGCTGGAGGACTGCCTGGAGGAGGAGGCAGCAGCCAGTTGTCCCATGGTTCTCAGGGACCTATTTCACTGGAGCTGGGCTGTTTCAGGCCAAGGCTGTGGCACTGTCACCTGCCTGTGGAAGGGGATACAGGACCTCCCCAGCACCTCGGAGAGTCCAATGCACCCTCTGGGAACCCCCCGCCCTTGGCCCCCAGGCCTGGACATGAATGTTCTGGAGCTCAGCGACACACAGGAGACCCCATGCCTCCCAGAGGCAGGCCCCAGGGGCGGTGTGGGCGGCACCACGCTGGGGTAGTGCTGAGGTGGCGCTGGGGTGGCGCTGGGATGGCGCTGGGATGGTGCTGGGAGGGCCTGTCTCTTTCCTGGTGGGGTTTGGGCTGCTCCCATTTGCTTTAATGTTCTGCAAAGAGTTTACAACCATCAAACACCTAGAGAGAGGGCCAGGGAAAGACAGCCAGCCGGTACGCGAGGCAGAGGGGAGATTGCCCGGCAGCCAGGGCCAGTGTGGTGGGAGCTGCCAGACATCAGGGAACACCCAGTGGGCACCAGGCACAGCCCAACCTGCAGCCTCCCAAGGAGGTCACCATGCCAACACTTGCACAGCGCTTGGTACAGGGGGGTCACCACAGCCAACACTTGCACAGCACTTGGTACCTGCTGAGCAGTTTGCACAGCTCGCTGTCCAAAGCCCAGAACCAAACAGATTTGTACGCATTTTGGGCACAAACCCTTGCTATATGTGATCAAAACCACAGGAATCAAATAGATTGGAAATCATGGAAGGTCCCTAATCCCCACCGTGGGCAGGTGACAGTGCCTTGGCTTTGTTTGGCCCAGCCAAACACAATATATTCCTGGGAACCACAGGAAAACTGGCTACTGCCACCACCTCCAGGCAGCCTTCCAGCCTGCCCAGAAGAGAGGAGATGGGATGGCCTGGGCGTGCCCAAACTCACATGCACCTTCCCAGACACTAGCAGATTTGCACTCACATAGACACAGCCAGATGCACCCCACAGGCCTGGAGAGCAGGGGCCCCAACATGAACCATGGAGAGGCAAGCTCTGTTATTAATCCCATTTTATGCAAAGAGAAACTGAGACCACAGAGGTTATCTGACTTACCTGGGGCCACACACCCGGGAAGTGGCAGTGCCGGGATTCACTCAGGAGGCTGGCGCCAGTCCGAACCGTGGCCCCACGTGATGCTTATGGCCGTGCGTGCATCCCTCCAAAGGTCACGGCGAGGCAGGGGCAGCTTGGGCGCCCTGTGCTGATGGCAGCTTTTAAAAAATTCTGCCTTTTTCCTTTTTCTTTTTTTTACTCAGCTGTGAGTCTCAGCAAAGGCAGCACTAACTCAGCATCGCTTCGCGGCATCAAGTCAGCCTTGCGAGGCTGGGATTGTTCCAACTGAGCTTTCAGGTGGAAGGGAGACAAAGGGGGGGCCAAATGGCTCATCCTGAGCCCCCCTTCCAGGAAGCCTCTCTGGAACCTTGGGTCCCCAAAATTGTGCAATGCTGAATCTGCACAACCTCCCAGGCCAGCCCTGCTGCAGGCATCCTGTGGAACTCAGCATCCTGGGTAGAGAGAGGCTCTTCTCGGAATAACATCTGTCACTTAGACAGACTGGGGGCTCCCCGCAAATGGCCCTTCGGGGTGTTTTCCTGCAGCTGCCTGGGCACAGAGCTGTGCTCCTCACGCCTCAGTTGTCTCGGCTGCCAGCCTCAACTTCCCAGCCTCGAGGACCTTCCTCAATTCCCCCATCCCTGCCTCACAGCGCCTGCAACAGCTGTTCCAGGCACACAGGAGGGAAACTGAGGTTTGTAGAGAGGTTGAGCTGGTAAGAGGGGAGTGGGGACTCCATGCGGGGCCCTGGGTAGCTGGCTGTGACCTTATGTTGTCAGGGTCTGGGCCCCTCTGCTAGATTTAGCTTGGGGCCCCCTGTCTGGGGTCTTCCCCTCCATCCTCCGGGACCCCAGTCCTATCCCTCTGCCCACCCTGTCCTTCTCACCCACTCTACAACCGAGTTTCAGGACTGAAGGACCAGGGACCTTCCCACCCCCAGGGGCTCCCTCAAGAAGAGAAAATTCGTCTCCCAGAGCCTCTGAGGCTAGCCTCCCAGGCAGGCCCTTACACACCCCCCATGCACCTACGCCCCTTATCTGCCTGTGCCCATATCTGCCTTAAACCTCGTCAGAGTTCAAGAACGCAGGTGGTGAAATGTCCAGTTCAGTAGGGGATTGGGTTGTGACCCAGCCAGAAGGACCTGCCAGGAAGCCACGTGGGTGTCTGGGGGAAATGCTCTCGTGGTGGGCACAGCTGGTGCAACGGTCCTGGGGTGGGAATAGCTCGGAGCCCAGTGTGGCTGGACCTGGGTCGGGAGGAAGCTGGGGAGAGAGATGGGGTCTGAGAAGTGGACAGGGGCTGCTCACATAGGACTCTGCGGGCTGGGGGTGGGTGTGGGGCTTGATTGTATTCTCGGTGTGAAGAGCACGCGTGAAAAGCCTAGCCAAGCCCTTGGCGTTCAGGATCACGTTCACCCTCACAGCAGTGCTGGGACTCAGGTGCTCTCAACATCCCCAATTCCCAGATGAGCAAACCGAGGCACAGAGAGGTAAAGCGCTTGCCCAGGTGGCCTGACACACCCTTGTCCCTGCAGATGTTCTGAGGTCGCCCCAGGGCTGGCATTTCCTTCCCTCTGTGGGAGGTGCTCCGCTGCGCCCCAGGTGGGCCCCAGCGGCGCTTTCCTTTGAAGTCCCAGCCAGCTGACTGGGCCAACCTGTTCCCCGCGCCTTCCTCCTGGACCCTGGCCAAGCCTCAGGGCTGCCGAGGGGAGGGGCAGAGGCCGCAGAACAGGAAGCACGTTTTGTTTTATTTTAAAATGTACACACACAGTTCAGTCTCGTATACGTGTAGTTAAATAACTTTTTCAATCGGTACCAACGGGGCACACATTGCAAAGCATGCATCTCTCCGACTTTGTCTTCAGGGGCCCGCGTGCCCGCCCCAGAAGCATCTTCAGTTCCCAGTGTCTGTGTGTCCTTCCAGGGAGTAGCTTAGGAACACACAAGCAGAAATGCACAGATAGAAATACATATTCCTCAAAAGATCAGCGGGAGGGGCCTTCATGGGTCTCCTGCACCCACTTGGCTTGAAAAATTCTCTCAAACCGTCACCCCAGTCTCATCATGAGAAAAACATCAGACCAATCCCAATGCAGGCGCATCCTGCAGCTCCGTGACCAGCAAGCCTCGAAACTGTCAAGGTCACCTGCCTCGAAACTGTCAAGGTCATCAAATCAAAACCAAGGTGAGTCTGAGAAACTATCCAGCCCAGAGGCTCGGAGGAGCCTCGAGAAGGCCAAAGACAGATGCCACCTGGGGCCCTGGGGAAGAAGTGAGATTGAAACAGGCAGATGTCAGTTGATACTAATGTATCCACACTGGTTCCTTAATTGTGAAAAATGGGCCGGGGCAGTGACTCACGCCTGTAATACCAGCACTTTGGGAGGGCGAGGCTGGAGGATCCCTTGAGCCCAGGAGTTCCAGACCATTTTAGGCAACAGAACGAAACCCTATCTCTAACAACAACAAAAAGAATTAGCGAGGCATGGTGGCGTGCACATGCAGTCCCAGTTATTTGGGAGGCTGAAGCAGGAGTGTTGCTTGAGCCTGGGAGGTTGAGGCTGCAGTGAGCCATGTTTGCACCACTGCACTCCAGCTTGGGTAACAGAGCAAGACACTGTCTCCTCCCCCACAAAATTCTAAACAATGTATCATACTAATGTCAGATGCTAACAGTAGGGTAAACTGGGCGTGGAGTATGGGGTGACTGTTCGGTCTTCACAATCTTTTTATGAGTCTAAAGCTGTTCTGAAAAATAAAGTTTGCTTTTTAAAAGGGTCAATTTTTTCAAAATCTGTCAAGCTAGACACCAAAGACAAATGACCTCACGACCTTTACTACGCATACATTTGTCCCCGGGTTTAAAAATACACGGCAGAAACGCCACATGAAACGTAGATCTGGGAGGTCACTCTGCGCCCTGGCCACGGGATGGCTTCATCCTTTGTCACGGCTGCATAGCCACATGCCCAGTGCCTTCGCGATGGACACGGAGCTTGGCTTTCGGCTTTTGCTGCAGTAGTGACCCTACCAGGCACATCCTGGCCTGTCCGTGCCTCTGCGCCCCAGGCCAGCACCTCTGTAGAATCGTTTCCTAGAAATGGAACAGCTGCTTCAAAGAGAGCCCGTGAGAAGGGTGTGGGTTGTAAGGCAACTCTGCCACGGACAAGATCATCTTCCAAAGCGGGCAGAGGGAGATGATGTGGGGTGGGCGAGGAAGGTGATGTGTGGCGATTTCATTACAGGTGATCAGAGAAGGTTTCTTTGAGGGTGACATTTGAGCAAAGACGTGAATAAAGAGACAGTTGGAGCCATGTGGAGATGTGAGGAGGAGGGTTCCAGGCCAGGGGACCCGTACGTGCCAAGGCCCTGAGGTGGGACTGTTTTTGGTGTGTTTGAGAAGCAGTAGGCTAGAGCGACGTGGTGGTAGGAGAGAGATCACAGGGGCTGGAAGGGGCCAGGTCATGGGGGCCTTCTTCAAAGGAATTGGGGTTTTATTGGAATTGGAGCAGGATAGGATACCTTTAGGAGCATGGGGACTGGCCTGATGTAGGTTTTGAAAGGACCCCTCTGGCTGCTGGGGGGAAGAGGGGGCATAGTGAGTTGGGAGAACTGTGGGGGTCGGCGGGGGCACCTGCAACCGTCCAGGCAAGGGAGGGCAGGGGCTCTGACCAGGGTGTTCCCTGGAAGAGTAGAGGAGGGCAGATTTGGTTTTGTTTCACCATGTTTTTTTGAGACAGAGTCTTGCTGTGTTGCCCAGACTGAAGTGCAGTGGCACGATTTCGGCTCATTCCAACCTCTGCCTCCCAGTTTCAAGCGATTCTCCTGCCCCAGCCTCCTGAGTAGCTGGGATTGCAGGCGCCCGCCACGACATCGGCTAATTTTTGTATTTTTAGTAGAGACAGGGTTTCACCATGTTGCCCAGGCTGGTCTCAAACACCCAACCTCAAGTGATCTGCCCGCCTCGGCCTCCCAAAGCTCTGGGATTACAGGCGTGAGCCGCCGCACCTGGCCTGAGAAGGGCAGATTTGGGAAGTACTCTGTTTTGAAGGTGAAGTGAACAGCACTTGCTGAAGTCCACAGTGACTAGGCCTGGGCACAACAGGGATATATTCCTGTCCTTAGGCTGCTGTAACTGGGCGTCACAAACTGGGTGGCTTCAAAAAACAGACGTTTTATTCCCTCACCGTTCTGGAGGCCAGAAGTCCAAGATCAAGTTCTGGGCAGGGCCATGCACCCTCTGAACTCCGGTGGGCTCTTTCCTCGCCCCCCTCCCAGCCTCTCGCAGCAGCCAGCAATCCCTGGCATGCCTTGGCTTGTGGCTGCATCTCCCAGCACCGCCGTCATCACGTGACCTTCCCATGTGTCTCTGTCCTCTTTTTATAAGGGCACCGGTCATACTGGATTTAGGGCCTGCTCTACTCTAGCAAGACCTCATCTTAACCAATTACATCTGCCATGACCCTGTTTCCAAATCAGGTCACATTCTAAGGTTTGGGAGTTAAGATTTCCACATATCTTTTTGCAGAGCACACAATTTAACCCAGGACAGCAGGGAGACAGCACCCCAGGCCGAGTGAAGGGGAGGACCGCACAGGCAAACGGTGAGCACCCAGGCAGGGGACGGCTGTGGCTCTTGGGCCCTTTCTTCCTGCAAACCTTCCTCGTGAAGAAAAGAATGAAGCCGAGTTCTGTAGGACATGGGGAGAAAGAGGCCCTGATCCGCCCCAGTCCAGCTGAAAGCCTTCTCCCTGCAAATTGCCAACTCTCCCCACGACCTCCGTCCCCACCTCACTTCCCTCGCTCCCTCCTTGCGGTTCAGGCAGCCAGACCCTCTTATCACTCACACACACAGCTTCCTTTTTAGCCCAAAGGTCGTTATTTTAACACCTGTTGGGAAAACAAGCAGGTTACTCCCAGGGGGTAGGGAAGAGGAGGGAAGAGGGGAGATGCTATTTGTAGGGCTGACACCTGCCCCCTGCCCCTCAAAGCAAGGCAGGAGCAGAAGCAGGGGCCAGGCACGCCTCTCCCCTGTTTCCTGACCTCTGGAGCCACTCTAACTCCAGCTGCCTTCACTGCTTAACAAACCAGCCCCAAACTTAGCCACTTAAAACAACAGCCGCCACTTATCTGCTCAGAATTCTGCAATTTGGGCAGGATCAGGCATCGTGGTGGTCCCCACCCCACGTGTGTTATCTGGGGGGCTCAGCTGGGGCTGGATGGCCCAGCACGGCATCACCCACATTGTTTAGCACTGGAGCTGGGTACACTCTTCTCTCTCCCCTTGTAACTCATCTCCCAGGCTTCACTCTGTCCCTGCGGTCTCTCCCTCTTCTAGAACCTGGCCTGAGCTACTTTGCGGGCCAGCTGGATTCCAAGAGAGAGAAAATAGAAGTCGCCAGGTCTCTTAAGGCTTAATCCAGAACTGCAGGGAGTCACCTCCACAGCATCCCGGGGGTCAAAGGATTCACAGAGCCTGCCCACTTTCAAGGGGTGGGGACACAGACTCCACCTCCCATGGGAGAGGTTGCAGGCCCCTGCAGGGAGGGGGAGCACTGCTGGCAGCCATCTTTGCAGGCAACCCTCACACTCTTCCATTTGGCCTCCAGCTGGCCTGGCGAGGCACCAGAGGCTGTAGAGGAAAGCGCCTCCCACCTGTGAGATGCCAACAAGATACCCAGGGTCTGAAGAGTCTTAAAAGAAAAGCAAGGAGCGGGGGTATGATATCCGACCAAAGAGCAAACGCCCGAGCCACTTGGCACTGCACTCTAACTGGGAGGCTGAGCACACAAATTAGATGTTTGTAAGAATAAACAGTCATTAGAACTCGAGAACTAGAGGAGAAATAAACATCATTTCAAGATATTTGACTAATTTGGCTCTGAGCTCTGCCTGCCTGTGAATGTGCTGGTTTCTGGCTTGCGGGGATGCCTGTGTATCTGTGCATGCTTCTTGTTAGCCCTCTTGGTTACGTGTCCTTACTGAGTGCCAAAGTCTCCTCTGTAAAATGGGGATAACAGCAACACCCAACTCAAGGGTGTTGGGAGAGTGGAACAAGGAAATACACACAAATTGATTAAAACAGAGCCTGGCACCTATAGTAAGTGCTCAAGAAATGTGAGCAATACTCTACATTTGCTCACATATTCATTCGTTCAGCAAATATGCAGAGGGTCCCAGCCAGGGGAGGCCCTGTTCCTAGTGTTAGGGATCAAAAGACAGTGAGATTCCTCGTGCCAGCTGATGCCAGGCACACGGTGGGCGCCCAGGAACAGATTTTTGAAGAATGAATGTATGGGGCATGGACTTTGCCTTCAAGAGCTGTGGCCTGGGGAGGAGACAGACTTGTAAATAAATCACTGCAAACACTGTCATGATAAATGCAAAGCAGTTCCAGCTATAAATTTCACCTAAAGTACAGTAAAAGGACCGGCCCTGATGGTGGAATTTCAGAGACAGAGGCCAAGGCAGGGAACAGTGCTGCGGGAATGAGGCCCTCTTAGATGCTTTGAAATTGTACCAGGAAGACCACAGCCCCTGAACCCAGTTCAGAGTGGAGACAGCAGGGCAGGGAAGCCCTCACACCGTGGATGATGACAGGTACACACTTTGGAGGACTCAGGCCACTGGGCTGGATGACCCTGGCCATCCCCCTGCCTCAGGGCCCATGGCCCCCAAACCAGGGGCTCCTAGTTTCCAGCAGGAACTGCAGGTGGCACAGAAGGGCCTGCAGGATGGGCTGCCGTGGCGGGCGGGTTTTAGAGCGAGTGGCTTCTGAGTCTGTCTGTGCAAGTTAATGAGCGGCTCTGGACATTTAATCAAAACCAGACATCTCCTCACGGCTGTCTGCTGCGAGCAGCGCCGGTGTGTGCAGAGGTTCTTCCTCAGGCCGCAGAGGGGCCCTGACTGTTTTCAGGGCCTCTGGCCAAGACTGGGATGGTCTGCAGGCCGCAGCACCTGGGACTTGAGTGGAGGCCCCATTTCCAGTCCCCACCAGCTGCCAGAGCCCCTGAGTGTGCATCTAGAATGGAGCCCCCGCCCAAGGCCCCTAGGTAATTTGCAGGGCCTGGTGCAGAATGGAAACACAGGGTCCCATGCTCAAAAATGATGAGGAATTTCCAGATGAGAACAGGAGAGCTTCGAACCAAACGTGGTTTCCGACTGTGGGGCCCTCGGTGTGGCAGGCTCAGGAAACTGAGCTGAAAAAAATACAAGACGATTGTTGGGGGGATCTTCACTTTGGCCTCAGCAAGCAGTGTTGAGTGCCTGGCTGGCTGTGGTGTCAAGCTGCGGTCAGTGCCTTGCATCCAAGAGGTGCTGAATAAATGCTCATTCCCAGAATTGAGTTGCGTTGTGCAGATGGCACTGGGAAGACACGCCCTCATCCTCTGGGGCCTGCTGCAGTCCCTCCCTGCCCTGGCTGCTCATCAGTGGAGACAGAAGGGTAAGAGGCAGACGGAGAAGGGGAAGCATTAACACTTCCCTCCTGGAGGCCCTGAGAATGCTGGAGGGGCACATGGGACCCAGCTGTGGACAGAGGTCCCAGATGTAGAATGATGAGCAGTTACCTCCCACCGAGCCCAAAGGGACCACACCAGATCCATGGGAATAAATAAAACCCACCTCCCTCTCCGGCCTCCCAGGCCCTCTGAGACCTGGCCACCGCCACTGTCCCCATCTCCCAGTGTGGTCTGGCCTCACGAGCCTCCTTGTCGTTTCCTGGACGTTGCAAGCTTGTTCTGACCTCGGAACCTCCGTACGTGCAGTTCCTGCTACCAAGTCTTCTCTCCCCCAAGACACTCACAGGCTCAGCTCCTCTCCTTATTCTGGTCTCTGTCCGAATATTGCAAATGTCCCCATGTTGCAGCCCCTCCCTGGTGCTCCTTCATCCTCTTCCTTCGGCTCCATCTTTCCTTGTGGCCCTCAGCATCATATTTTGTATTCACTGTCTCTCTCCCTCTAACGTCAGCTTCCTGGAGGCAGAGACCTCTTCTGTCTTGCTTATCTTTGTGCTGCCAAAACTGTGAGGTATCCCCAAATGTTAGTCAGCTCCCTCATTTCACCAATGGGAAGGGACCTCCCTCAATGTTTTTGGTAAACTTACATATAAACTTTGGGTGGGGGCGTATGCATAGTCCAAAGTTCACTTGCACATTTATATTAGTGGTAGAGTTACACATGCCTGTTTATGCCTATTTAAAGTCATATGTTGGCTGGGCGCAGTGGTTCATGCAGGTAGTCCCAGCACTTTGGGAGGCTGAGGTGGGAGGATCGCTTGAGGCCAGGAGTACAAAATTGGGCAACATAGGGAGCCTCCTATCTCTACCAAAAAAAAAAAAAAAAAAAAGCAGGCGTAGTGACAGTGTGCACCTGTGGTTTCAGATACCAGAGAGGCTAAGGTGGGAAGGTTGCCTGAGCACAGGAGGTTGAGGTTTCACAGAGCTAAGATCTTCACTGCACTCCAGCTTGGGCAACAGAGCCAGACCCTGTCTGTAAAAAACAATGAATTAAAAAGTCACATGTAGCTGGGCGCAGTGGCTCATGCCTGTAATCCCAGCACTTTCGGAGGCTGAGGCTGGCAGATTGCTTGAGGTCAGGTGTTTGAGACCAGCCTGGCCAACATGGCGAAACCCCATGTCTACTGAAAATACAAAAATTAGCTGGGCGTGGTGGTGCGTGCCTGTCATCCCAGCTACTCGGGAGGCTGAGGCACGAGGATCACTTGAACCCGGGAGGGAGAGGTTGCAGTGAACCAAGATTGAGATCATGCCACTGCACTCCAGCCTGGGCAACAGAGCAAGACTCCGTCTCAAAAAAAGAAAAAAAAAAAGAAAGTCACATATGACATAAGTAACACAGCACATTAAGATACATTTCTTTGTGTTCCATTCTTACATTCATAAAATCATGTTCTCCCAACTCGCCGCCTGTGTCTTTGACACGGTGTCTTTGAGTCATCAAACAGCATTTGGTGGGCCCCATCTGTTCCCCTCATGTCTAGAACTTTGGAGACATGACATTTTTTGAATCTGCCTATGACGCAGCTACTGGAAATTTTATCCCAGGCCGCAAATATCCTTTTGCATAAATTAGGACATTGGTTGTTTCATTTGTTTTGTGGGTGTATATTATTGATGAGTTCCAGCAAGTAACCACGTACTGTGTTACTTTTTAAAGCGATCTTTAAAAGGGTTGTTTAGAGTGATATCCAATACTTCATACCCCTGGAATAATGGCTAAATCTGATGACATTTCTTGACTGTCTCTGTATAAATGATTCCGAGGCCGGGCGCGGTGGCTCACGCCTGTAATCCTAACACTTTGGGAGGCCAAGGCGGGCAGATCATGAGGTCAGGAGATTGAGACCGTCCTGGCAAACATGGTGAAACCCCGTCTCTACTAAAAATACAAAAATTAGCCAGGTGTGGTGGCACATGCCTGTAATCCCAGCTACTTAGGAGGCTGAGGCAGGAGAATCGCTTGAACCCGGGAGGTGGAGGTTGCAGTGAGCCGAGATCACACCACTGCACTCCAGCCTGGCAACAGAGCGAAACTCTGTCTCAAAAAAAAAAAGAAAAAAAAAAAAGATTCCGAGATGAGACTTATAGGAATCTTAGGCCGCGTAGTTTGAGATTGTTTCGGGATAAGGCTGGCATTCTCACCTGAGCGTATTTAGAATCACCTGGGGGAGATTTTAACATACATAGATGGTTCTAGGTTTCACCCCTAAATCAGCAGACTCAAAAATCTTAGAGGGGGACATCTGTATTTCTAAAAATCATCTAGGCAGGCTGAGACCCATGAGGCTTAATTTTGATATGACAAACCAGTTGTTCCCAAAGTGTGGTCCCTGAGTTAGCAACATCAACCGTGCCTGGGAACTTGCTAGAAATGAGATTTTCAGCCCCACCCCAAACCTGCTGAATCGGACACTCGGGAGAGGGGCCCAGCAGTGTCCCTTTTCATAAGCCCTCCAAGGGATTCGATGCTTGTTTAAGTTGTTCTAAACCAGGCTTTGATGTTTTTTTTAAATAAAAATAGGGCCCAGGTGTGGTGGCTCACACCTGTAATCCCAGCACTTTGGGAGGCTGAGGTGGGCGGATGTCTTGAGGTCAGGTGTTTGAGACCAGCCTGGACAACATGGTGAAACCCTGTCTCTACAAAAAATACAAAAATTAGCCAGGGGTTGTGGCATGCACTTGGAGTCCCAACCACTCAGGAGGCTGAGGGAGAGGACTGCTTGAGCCCAGGTGGATAAGGCTGCACTTAGCCAGGCTCGTGCCACTGCACTCCAGCCTGGGCAAAAAAGTGAGACCCTGTCCCCCAACCCCCAAAATAATAATAATAATAATAATAAATAAGTTAATGAGAAAGAATCAAGAGAAAAGAAGCTTCGTAAGGACTGAAATATCAGGTTACTCCTGTTTTTCTGAGGGAAACTTTCAGGGGTTCAGAGAGCTCACCGTATATTCAGAGAGGTATGCTGCTATCTGTTGAGGGAGTGGAATTCATGTGGCTTCCATGTCTTGAGCACTCTCTCAGCACCACACAGCAGGGTAGATGCTTTGCACCACGTCCCAGTGAGATGGGTTCTATTATTATCCCTAGTCTACAGATGAGGAAACTGAGGTCAGAGAGAAAGTTCTTTGCCCAAAGTCCCATGCTTGGGAATGGCAGTGGGTACTCCATCCTAGGGCTGGTCCCCAAGCACAAGCTACTTACTATGACACCTCTCCACTGCAGGGGATGGGGTTCCTGGGTCAGTGCAAGACCCCAGCCTCTGGCCTCCTCCATCTTACCGCTGTCGGGGGTATACTGGCCCAGGCCCCAGCTGCCAGGAGGGACTCCCCTCTGGCCTCAGGGGGCTTGCTGAGCAGGAAGGCTTTGTCATCCCAAGCCCAGGGTGGGCTGAAGTCTCCCTCTGAGGCTTGCATTAAAGAGATTCAGCTGAGAAGCCTGATGAGGCAGGGAGCTTGTCACCCCTAAAATCCAGGCATGTCAATCTCATTATCCCTCAAGGAAAATAAAAGCACAGCGAGAAGGCACAACACACCAATGAGAGAGGCTGGCGTTAGAAAGGCTGGTAATACTAAGCACTGGTGAGGATGAAGGGCAACTGCAAATCCCACACACTGCTGGTGGGATGCAAAATGACAAAGCCAGCCTAGAAAGCTGTTTGGTAGTTTCTTATAATGTTAAACAAACACTTATAACGTGACCCGGCTATTCACCTCCCAGGTCTATATCCAAGAGAAAGGGAAACATATCCTCACACAGAGACTTAGATGCAAAAGTTCATAGCAGCGTTACTCATGAGTGCCCAAACTGGAAACAGCCCACATTCCCATCAATGGTGAATGAATAACCACACTGTGGCAAATACCACAGAATACTGCTCAGCAATCAGAAGTAATGAACTACTGATATGTGCAACACATATCAGTAGTTTATTGTGATGAACTAGTGATTCATTATGTTTTTGATGCATCTCAAAAACATCATGCTGGGTGAAATAAGCCAGATCTAAAGCAATGCATACTACCTAACAGTCCAATGGTGGTTCCAATTCTGTGACGTTCTAAGACAAACAAATCTAAGCTATCAAGAGAGAAATCAGATGAGAAATCAGTCACTGGGAGTTGTGGCAAGGGCAGGGTAGACCACACGGGGCAGGAGGGAGCCTCCTGGGGTGCTAGAAATGGCTCACATCATGACTACGGTGGGGATTACACAACTCTAACAATTCATCAAGCCACACATATACTAGGGACTCGTGTGTTTTTCTTTATACAGGCTAGACGATTTTTCTTTTTCTTTCCAACTTTTATTTTAGGTTCAAGGGGTACATGTGCAGGTTTGTTACATGGGTAAATTGTGTGTCTCAGGGTTTGGTGTACAGATAATTTTGTGACCCAGGTAATAAGCCCAGAACCCGATAGGTAGTTTTTTGATCCTCACCCTCCTCCTGCCCTACATCCTCAAGTAGGCCACGGTGTCAGTTGTTCCTGTCTTTGTATCCATGTGTATGTACTCAATGTTAGTCCCTACTTACAGGTGAGAACATGCAGTATTTGGTTTTCTGTTCCTACATTAATTCGCTTAGCATAATGGCCTCCAGCTCCATCCATGTTGCTGCAAAGGACATGATTTTGTTCTTTTTTATGGCTGCGTGGTATTCCATGGTGTATATGTGCCACATTTTCTTTACCCAGTCTACCACTGATGGGCATGTAGGTTGATTCCATGTCTGTGATTGTGAATGGTGCTGTGACGAGCATACACAGGCACGTGTCTGTACAGTAGAACAATTTATATTCCTTTGGGTATATACCCAGTAATGGGATTGCTGGGTTGAATGGTAGTTCTATTTTAAATTCTTTGAGAAATCACACTGCTTTCCACAGTAGCTGAAATAATTTACATTCCCACCAGCAGTGTATAAGTGTTCCCTTTTCTCTGTATCCTTGCCAACATCTGTTATTTTTTTACTTTTTAATAATAGCCATTCTGCAAAACCTAAACCTATAAAAACCCTAGAAGGAAGGAAACCCAGGAAATACCACTGTGGACATCGGCCTTGGCAAAGACTTCATGACAAAGACTTCAAAAGTCTTTTTTTTTTTTTTTTTTTTTGAGACAGAGCCTTGCTCTGTCACACAGGCTAGAGTGCAGTGGTGCAATCTCAGCTCGCTGCAAACTCCACCTCCTGGATTCAAGTGATTCTCATGCCTCAGCCTCCCAAGTAGCTGGGATTACAGGCATGCACCACCACACCCAGCTAATTTTTGTATTTTCAGTAGAGACTGGGTTTCGCCATGTTGGCCAGGCTGGTCTCAAACTCCTGGCCCCAAGTGATCTGCTGGCCTCGGCCTCCCAAAGTGCTGGGATTACAGGTGTGGGCCACCGCACCTGGCCTCAAAAGTCTTTGATGAAGACTCAAATCGCAACACAAACAATAATTGGCAAGTAGGACCTAATTAAACTAAAGAGTTTCTGCACAGCAAAAGAAACCATCAACAGAGTAAGCAGACAACCTACAGAATGAGAGAAAATATTCACAAAGTATGCATCTGACAAAGATCTAATATCCAGAATCTATAAATTTGTTTAAGGGGCTTAAACAAATCAGCAAGCAAAAAACCAAACAACCCCACTAAAAAATGGGCAAAGGACATGAACAGACCCTTCTCAAAAAAAAAGATACACATGCAGCCAACAAGTGTATGAAAAAAAGCTCAATCATTAGGGAAATGCAAATCAAAACCCAATTTTAAAAAAAGACTCCGAAAAATGCCTGTGTACTACTCATTTCTGCTTCACAAAACAGCCCTCCATCCAAAGCTCCTTGAATATGGCCCCATCCTATAAAGTGCGGTCCAGCTCCCAGGCCCTGAGGGTCTGGCTGGGGTTGGCACAGGTTAGTAGTTTCTCCAGAGGAGGGCAAAGCATAGGCTCTTTCTGGCCATTGGCACCAACACTGTGCTCTCCACTGGGCTCTAGGAAACTCTCCTGGACCCTGAGTTTGTAGCCCCCAGAAGCAGCTCCTCAACTCTGCCTCGTGAGCCTGGACTTAGGATATGTGAGGAACATGGGGACCACAGTCCAGCAATTGCATGCTGCACTGAACTTTGCCCTCAGCGGGGGCATTTTGTGAATGTGTGGGATGCTTTTAGTTTTTGCAATCACCAGAGGCACTGAGGGCTTATAGTGGCTGAAGGCTAGGGCTGCTAAACTTCCCTTAAAATAAAACATGGTCTTATCCCTTATGCCATTTTTCAAATCTCCACTCATCATTTTTTGGTGAAGACACTGTAGTAAGCCAGATCTACAACCTAACTCAGTTGCATAAATAAACTGAAAATATTTTTTGACAAGGTATTTGTTGAGCGCTGGGTTTTCCAGGAATAGAATGAATGTGTAAATTGAGGGAGGAATGTACTCAGTTTTGCTCAGAGCTATGCCAAGAGCTGGGCACCATTTGGGCAAATCATATCACCAATGAACCGCCAACAACACTCACCTGTGCCAGTCTGCACATTACCTGTGCCACTCATGGTAATTCTATTCAGAGGTGCAAACATCTGATGACTACTCGTTATCCAGAATAGTTGCATTTGAGCATATACTTACAGAAATATATATTATAATTTTGAGACAGGTTCTTGCTCTGTCACCCAGGCTGGAGTATAGTGGCGTGATCATGGCTTACTACAGCCTTGACCTCCCATGCTCAAGTAATCCACCCACCTCAGCCTCCCAAGTAGCTGGGACTGCAAGTGTGCACGACCCCACCCAGCTAATTTTTAAATTTTTTTGTAAAGATGAGTCTCACTATACTGGCCAGGCTGGTCTCCAACTCCTGGTCTCAAGTGATCCTCCCTCCTGGGCCTCCCAAAGTGCTGGGAGGATGCAGCCAGCATCCTGGCTGGCTGCATCATGTGCCCAGCCAATACATATTATTATATTATTTTGTTACAAATGACTTTCTTTAACATTACAGATGATCATAGTGTGTGTGTTTGGGTGTGTGAGTGTGTGTGTGTGTGGTGTGTATTTTTTGGCAGTACAATGTATAAGTAACTCCTATCAGTCACGAATCACATTTCAGGATAGTAGAGGAGATATTTCAAACATTTGTTAGGAAAAGGAACATTGAGTTCAAGAGAATTCTCCAGCAAGTGCCTAAAGAGGCGTGCATAAGAGTTTTCATTGCAGCCTTGCTCGTGATTGGGAAAAATTGAGCACGATCCACATGCCCATCAATAGGTGGGTGAATAAATGAACTGTGGCTTGCTCAGCTAATGGAATATAATGCAGCAGTGGAGATGAATGAACTTGATCCATGCTTATCAATGTGACGTGCTGCAAAAACAACAGAAAAGTAACAGACAGAAAATTCCAATTACAAAATAATTCATGCAATAGTATACCATTTAGGTCAGGTTTTAAAACATGTGAAATGATGCTATAGATTGTGAATGGATGCATTCAAATGGAGCAAAACCTCACCCACTGGAAGGAAATTTACACTGGAATCTCAGGATGGTGGTCACGTCTGTGGAGGGAAGGGGTGCATTAGAGGCGGGGGCCATCAGTAATGTGTGGTTGCTTTAAACATGTATCCAAGGCTGTTCTGGCAGAGTAGACCTTTGGTAAACCTTGGAGGCAGGTGCATGAAGTGATCAGGATGCAATCCTTGGTTCCTTGGGGGATGCTTAAAATATGATAGTAATAAGCAAAACCATCCAGCAGGAGTTGCTCAGCCCTTGTGAAAGCTGACAAGACCAAGAGGAGCCATGTCAGACCCGAGGGCTTCTCTCCCGGGGTCATGGAGGAGTGGAAGCCATGGCCAGCCCTCCCTCCCTCCCTCTCTCCCTTTCTTCTTTCCTCCCACCTTACCCTCCTGAGTAGCTGGGATTACAGGTGTGCACCACCATACCCAGCAAAGTTTTAAAATTGTTTATAGAGATGGGGGTCTCGCTATGTTACCCAGGCTCAAGCAATCCTCCCACCTCAGCCTCCCAATGGAGGCCTGCGATGATGGGTGCTGCTGACCTGTGCACAGCCCTTGACAGCTTGCAGAGCACCTCCAGCTGTGGCTTCTTGTTTGACATACCTGCTCAGTAGGTACCACTGGTCTATTTCACTCAAGAGGAAGCTGTCTCACAGAGAGGCAAAGCCACTTGCTCAAGGTCACACAGTGAGCAATGCAAGCCCTTCTGACTCTGGGCCTGGAGCTCGTCCCATACCATCTCCCTGCCTCCTTCCCAGCCCCTCCTCCGAGCCCTCCATCCTACTCTGTGCGCTTGTCTCTTATGCAAGGCCAGAAGCTCCCCAGAGGCAGGGCTTGCAGTTGAGAATCTGGCATCTGGGGTCAGCCACTCACAAGCTGTGTGACCCTGGGCAAGTGACTTACCCTCTCTGGGCCTTCGTCTCCACAGCTATTAAGGGGGTCATTTCATCCAACCTTACAGGGCTGTTGTAAAGATGAACAGCAATGAATATGAAGTGCTCGATAGCGGCTGCCACATAGCAAGCTCTAAAGAGGTGAAAAATTCCCATTCATCTTTGTGTTTCCCCCAAGGGTCCAGAGGGGCACCCAGCACCTCCCTCACTTATCAGCTAAAATGCCTTGGTTGGGAGTCATGGAAAACCCGAATCGAATAGGCTTTGTTGATAGGCAGATCATTGGCACACACGACAAGAAGCCCGGGCCCAGCGGGTCCCGGACATGGTGGCCGGGCTCTGCCTCCATCTGTGCAAAGGCTGAGTGGTGGCATTCTCCTTGGGGAGGCGGCCGTCACACACCCAGGGTTGGATCTGTACAGAACAAAGACGTTTTCGCCAGGAGGCCTCAGGAGATGTCTTTCACATGTCGTTGGCCAGAATGAGGGTGAACATCTGCTCCAAATCAAATTCGGCCAGGAGGAAGGGGCCAGGCCTGAGAGGCTGGTCAAACGCCACCATGCCTTGCAGGGAAGGGAGGTTCCACAGTAAGACACAACTTTCTGATCAGAAGGTTCCAAAGAAGGATTCATTGTAATCTTACAAAGGGCCAGGCATATGGCTCGTGCCTGTAACCCCAGCACTTTGGGAGGCCAAGGTGGGAGCATCACTTGAGCCCACATTTGAGACCAGTCTGGGCAATATAGCAAGACCCCATCTCTATCAAAATTAGCCCAGTGTGGTGGCACATGCCACCTGTGGTCTCAGCTCTCAGGAGGCTGAGGTAGGAGGATCACTTGAGACCAAGAGGTTTAGGCTGCCGTGAGTTATGATTGCATTGCTACCCTCCTGCCTGGGCAACAGAGTGAGACCCTGTCTCAATCGTCATCATCATCATCGTCATCATCATCACCATCATCTCACACAGACAAAGGTCTGTGCATAGGCAGCTGCAGGATTGGCTGCTTGATGCCGTCAGCAAAGACCAAGACCCTTCCCTCTGGTGTCATTGGCCATGTTCCCTCCTCATCCAAAATGGCCACTGGGGCCAGCTGCTTCATCTGATTGTTTTTGAGGCTGGAAAAAGAAGTGGGAAAACCTTCCCTGCATGCCTCACTCTTCAATCAGGGAGAGAAAAACCTTCCCCAGACTCCTGTTAGGTCCCATGGAACAAAAAGAGGTCCTGGGGGGTCTCTCCACACAGAGAATGCGTGTGGTCAGGCTCCTCATAGGCAGAGCCTGAGGCAAGGATTTCTGTACAAGCCATTTATTAGGAAGGTAGCAGTCTGGGACAGGCGGGAAGAGAGTGGGGAAACAGGACGGGGACGACGGGAAGAAGCCAGGCAAAGGATCCCTCGGGAGCTCTGGGGCATCAGTGACAGCCCAGACAGTCCCACCTTGAGGCGAGGGCCAGGCTTTCAGGCCCCGCACCAGCCAGTCCTTGCCAGGCGGCCGGCCTAGGTGGGTAAACTCCAGGCAAGGAAGGAGGAGGCTTAAGGGTCCAGAGTCAACCCTCAAAGGAAGTCAAGGGTGCAAGACAGAGCAGCAGAGTGGCCCAGGCCCCGGGGGTGCAGGCTCAGCTGGGTTACGAGGGTGTCCAGGCAACCACTGCAGGGCAGAATTGGGGCTTCCTGCCGGGGAGAGCAAGGAGCTGGAATGTTCAACCTCGGGGCGAGAGGCAGGCTCTCCTTCGGAAACAAGGAGAGGGAAAGGCGGGTGGGTGGAGAAACAGCAGGATCTGCCGCAAGCCCGGTACGCCAGATGAACCCACCTCTGAACACGGTTGTCCTGGTCAGGACAAGAGGAAAAGGAGGTCATACCGGGTCACAGCAAGCCCTGTGGCCCTGTCCCCCGCCACTTCCCATCCTCTGAGGGGCTTCCTGGGGCCCCTTCTGCCCACTCAGCGCCCTCGGCTTCTTCCGGCCTGAGAGCCAGCAGAACTGAGACCGTGCCCTTCAAAAAGGGAAGCTCTGTCAGCCACCACATCGTGACACTTGTCTCGGAAGAGTGAGAGTGATGAGGGATGGGGGTGAGAATTCTCTTGACTTACATCTTCGCTGGGTTCCCTGAAAAAAAATAAATACTCAAGGTTACAAATGGATGACGGGCTGTGGTCTATGCGTTTTCTTGAATGTCTTTTGCAGTAATAAAGGGGAAGGTTGTTAGCACAAGGTGGGTGGTAAGAAGCTAATTATGGCGCTGGAGGATCAGCGGTGTGAGGAGAGGCCAAGTTGGAGCCCCAAGTGGCGTCTGAGTGAGGAACTGTGAATTATTATGGGTGTGGTAGGGCTGGTGCCGGCTTGCTCTGCGGCAGAGCTGAGTTGCCTGGTCACTTTGCCCTGGCACAAATGCCCAGACAGATACCTTTGAACTCCTGGCCGCTGTGTGCTTTCTTCCATCCCGAAATGTGTGACAGACGCAGGAGGAACTGCAGAAAATTGAGGCGCCCGAGGAGATGGGAGGTGGAGTTTTTCTCCATTTTTTTGACTCAGTAGCTTTGGTGGTTTGGCCTGGATGCAAGTTCTCTTTGCTGACGGCAGGGCCTTTGGCGGGGGCTGCTGGTTCTGGTGCCCTGCTGGGGCCGTGTGGAAGGAGAGGGGAGACTGGGGGCAGAGGTTGTGCAGGTCAGAGTGTGGGGAGGGAACAGGAGGCCAAGGTGGGAAGTTCAAGTCCCACCAAAGTCCTTGGGCTGGGACTTTTGCCAACAGAGGAAGGCCGGATGGCAGAAATGACTCAGGGTGAGCCATCCCCAACACAAAAGCTAGGCCTTCCAGACCATGGTGACCAACTCATCCTGATTGCCTGGGACTTCCCGGGATTTAGCATTGAGGTTCTGTATCCTGGGAAGACCCTCAGTCCTGGGCAAAGTGGGAATGATGGGTCACCCGAATGCAGACACCCCAAATTCCCAAGCAAGAGAGCGGGGTCCAGAGGCAGAGGACACGGCCTCGGAGTCGGGCCAAGCCAGAAGCCAGGGCTGAATCCTGCCACCCCCACCAGCCCTGAGAAACTTTGGCCAAGGGACTGCTCCCTGAAAGACGGGAAGAAAAGTTACCTCGAAGAATCATTTGGGGAAGTGAATGGAATAAAGCAGGAAGCCTAAGTGCCTGGAAGAGAGTGAGGGCCCAGAAATGTCAGGGATGGGCTGGGTGCGGTGGCTCATACTGTAATCCCAGCACTTTGGGAGGCTGAGGCGGTGGATCACTTGAGGCCAGGAGTTCGAGACCAGCGTGGCCAACATGGGTATGGCAGGGCTGGTGCTGGCTTGCTCTGCGGCACAGCTGAGTTGCTCTGAGATTTTTCAGGGCACCGTCTCTACTAAAAATACAAAAATTAGCTGGGTGTGGCAGTGGATGCCTGTAATCCCAGCTACTCAGGAGGCTGAGGCAGGAGAATCACTTGAACCTGGGAGGTGGAGGCTGCAGTGAGTGAGATCACCCCACTGTACTCCAGCCTGGGCGACAGAGCAAGACTCAGTCAAGAAAAGAAAGAGAGAAAGACAGAAAGAGAGAGAGAGAGAAAGAAAGAAAGAGAAAGAAAGAAAGAAAGAAAGAAAGAAAGAAAGAAAGAAAGAAAGAAAGAGAGAGAGAAAGAAAGAAAGAGAAGGAAAGGAAGGAAAGGAAGAGAGATAAAGAAATGTCAGGGATGTTTGTTGTGTGGGGTGGTGGCCGTGTTCTTATCGCCAACCACGGAGACTGAGATGAAGGCCTCTGGCAGATGGAAATTATCAAAGAGGGGACTGCCCTTGACTTTTGGAAAGAAATGCAGATCAGCAGAATGTGCACAAAGACAGAGATAGTTACTACAGCATTGAGAGGGACGAGAAGACGGGTGCACGCTGCATCACCATCAGTCCGGGGCTGGCTGGTGAGTTAGGGTCTATCCATCCAGGGGACTACAATGGTCTCAAAAAAAAAATGTGGATTCTACATAAACTGATGTAGAACGAGCTCCAATACTGATTGCTTAGTGAATATTCAAGAGGTAAAATAGGGTGTATAGTAGGTTGCGTTTGTGTAAAAAAGGTAGATATCATTTGTTGTCAGGAAAAGGCAAATCGAACTACAATGAGATACCACTTCATACCCATTAGGAAGGATGGTTATAATAATAATTTGAAAAAACAAAAAATAACAAGTGTTGGTGAGGATGCGGAGAAATTGCAACCTTCGTGCATTGCTGGTAGGAATATAAATGGTGCAGCCACTGTGGAAAACAGCATGGTGGCTCCTCAAAATGTTAACACAGAATGACCCCACGACCTAGCAATTCCGCTCCTAGGGCTATACCCAGAAGAATTGAACACAGGTACTCAAACAAATACTTGCACATAAATGTTCACAGCAACACTGTTCACAATAGCCAAAAGGTGGGAACAACCCAAATGTCCATCAACAGATGAATGGGTCAACAAAGTGTGGTCTATCCATACGATGGGATATTTTTTAGCCATAACAAGGAATGAAGCCCCGATGCAAGCTACAACACAGATGAACCTTGAAAATATTATGCTAAACGAAGGAAGCCACATATAGAAAAACAAATATTCTATGAATCCATTTATACAAAATGTACAGAATAGACAAATCCATAGAGACAGAAAGTAGACTGGTGATTGCTGGGGGCTGGAGAGGGGCTGAGGGAGACATGGAGATGCTGCGTAACGGGTACAGGTTTCCTTCTTGAGTAATGAAAATGTTTTAGGCCGGGGTGCAGTGGCTTATGCCTGTAATCCCAGCACTTTGGGAGGCCGAGGCAGGTGGATGGCTTGAGGTCAGGAGATCGAGACTAGGCTAGACAACATGGTGAAACCCCGTCTCTACAAAAAATACAAAAATTAGCCTGGTGCGCTGGCATTCGCCTGTAGTCCTAGCTGCTCGGGAGACTGAGGCACGAAAATCACTTGAACTCGGAAGGTGGAGGTTGCAGTGAGCCAAGATCACACCACTGCACTCCAGCCCGGGCAACAGAGCGAGACTGTCTCAAAAAAAAAAGTTCTAAAACTAGATATGGCAATGGTTGTGAATGTACTAGATGTCACTAATGATAAATTTTATGTTATGTGTATTATACCACACATGTACACACAAAAAGGCAGTACATGTATGCATACAAACACATATATGTACATACATGTATGCATACAAACACATATATGTACATACATGTATCCCGTTATATGCACAAAATATCTCTGGAAGGAAAAATTGATGACTATGGCTGTCCTTGGTGATGGGAACTGGGAGCTGGAGATCAGGAAGGGAGACTTTGTTTATTGTATATTGTTTGGGTCTCTTGGGGCTGATTTTATCATATGCATGTATTACCTTAAAAATGGAATAAGGGCCAGGTGCAGTGGCTCACAGTTGTAATCCCAGCACTTTGGGAGGCCAGGATGGGAGGTTCACTTGAGCCCAAGGATTGCAGACCAGCCTGGGCATCATAGTGAGACCCTGTCTCTACAAAAAAAAATTTAAAATGAGCCAGGTATGGTAGCAGGTGCTGTGGTCCCAGTTATTTGGGAGGCTGAGGTGGGAGGATCACTCGAAACCCAGAAGGTCAAGGCTGCAGTGAGCTAGGATGGCACCACTGCACTGCACACCAGCCTGGGTGACTGAGAGAGCCACTGTCTCAAAAAAAAAAAAAAAAAAAGGAGTAAGTTCCCCAGGTGAATTTTAAAAGAATAACATAAGAAATTCAGGGGAAATCATGACATGTTCAAGACACGTCCCCTTTGCGGGCATGTGGATCATGTGGCCAGACAGCAGGAAAAGCACTGAGTCACTCGTCTTTGATGAAGCCCTGCCTTTGCCGCTGAGGACAAATGTTCTTTCCAATCCCACGGGAGGAAGAGACGTTCTAAAGAGAGAATTGAATTCATGGTTGGCCAGGAGACAGTGAAAGAGGACCCAGGAGAAATTGCTGGAAAGTAAGTAAAGCCTGAAGATGGGCAAGGGCCCCAATTTTCCAAAAGGGAAAATGATATGGATCCTGGAAACCCCAGATGGGGTATGTCTGACAGCAAGAGATCTTCGCAGAATTCTGGAACAGAGCATTACACAGATGGCTTGTGGCTGTTTAGAAGAAAATATGCTTATCACGAGAAGCTAACACAGGTTCACTAAACTACCCCATGCCGACTAATGTCAATTTCCTGTTTTCATGGGGAGACCACCCTGGTAGACCAGATGGCCACTTAGGACCCTGCCCTCCTGAAAGAGAAGTAGGATTGTGGTTTCAGTATCTTTAGAGTGGGAACTGTGATCAATTCTTCAATTATTTGCCTTGTGTTGCTAGCATCTGCATTATCCAGCAATATTACTCCTATCCCACATGTCTTAGGTAATTTCCCCTAATAATTGTTTGCCTATTTGTAGGCTGCTCAGACTTATCTTAATAACTTGTATTAACCAAGCATCTTTTGGTGGCAGGGGAAATGAATCCAATTCAAATAGTCTTAAGTAGAAATGTCTGGCAGTTTATGGTTTCAGGCATGGCTGGATCCAGGCGCTTAAATGACATCATTGGGAACCTGTATCCTGTTGTACGTTGGATCTGCTTTTCCTGGTGTTGGCTTCATTCTAGGGCTGGATTTCCTCAAATGGAGGAAAGATGGTCCCAACAGCTCTTAGATGACCTCTTATCACTTTGGTAACAGCAGAAAGGGGTCACCTCATGACTGATAGCTCAGTTGTCCGGGCCAACTCTGATCAGCCCAGCTGGATCTTATGGCCACCCTTGAGCCAGTCACTATGTTTCTGCTGGGTTGGGTCATATCCTCCATACAAGTCATGTCAGATATGATTTCATTTAGTGTGTGGGAGAGGAAATGTTCCCCATGGAAAACTGAGATGCTATTATCCGGAAAAGAAGGAATGGACACTGGCCAGGCCAAAACAAGCCTAATTTAATTTGATGAGATAGGCACACATTGTGCATGGGGGAGAGTCCCAAATGGCACCCCAAAGCCACAATGAATCTGCACCAAAATGTGCTGCACCCCCGATTAACACAGAAATGAGAGTTAACTCATGGATAGTACTAGGATCCATGATGACGAGATGGTGATTTTGGGAGATGTGTTTGTACATGAGGTCACACCTGGGCCACACAGGTGGGTCCTGGTGAGGCCTTTCTGTCTAGAAGTGAGGGCTGTGTTCTTGAGACTTTGGTATTACCGAGGGGAGAAAGAGGAAGAGCTGGAGGTCAGAGAACGTAGCTGCAGGCTAGGCAGATGCGACCAAGGTCAGAGAGATGGTGTCCAGGAAGCATGCAGCAGTGTGAGCTGCAGTCTCAGACAGGAGGTGTCCCCCTCTTCTCAGCTGGACATGAGGAGTCTCCTAGGTGTGCCTTTGGCAGAGGTGGAACCCGTGGCTCAGCACCCTCCCAATGAAGGCAGGGGAAGACATCTAGGTCTGGAATGTAAAGCAAGTGTCATCAATTACTAGCTGCTTCTGGGTGTGGCGGCTCACACCTGTAATCCCAGCACCTGGGGAGGCTGAGGAGGGAGGATTGCTTGAGTCCAAGAGTTCAAAACCAGCCTGGGCAACATAGCAAAACCCTGTCTCTACTAAAAACATAAAAATTAGCCAGCGGTGGTGGCACATGCCCGTAGTCTCAGTTACTTGGGAGGCTGAGGCAGGAGAATTGCTTGAGCCCAGGAGGCAGAGGTTGCAGTGAGCTGAGATGGTGCCACTGTACTCCAGCCTGGACAACAGAGTGAGACCCTGTCTCAGAAAAAAACAAAACAAAACCGTAATAGCTTCAACCTTTGGCATCTATTGCCTTCGACACTCTGTTGCAAAGAATTAAAGGCTTTATCTGGAATCAGTGGACAAGAGTGATGGGATGGATTACCAATGCCTGCTCCTGGGGTGGAGAGTGGCAGGATAGACACGCCTCATATTTGCTGAGACGGGGTGGGGTCTTCTCCAGGCTGTTGCGAAGAGCGGGGGTGTCAAGAGGCCACCCCAGCAACTGAGGACAGATTTCTTTCCATCCAGCGCTCTATGAAATCATCTCTAAGCAAACAGTGCTCTCTCTGCTGCACCTGCTCTCCATGCCTCTCCTGCAAAATCAACAACAGGTGTTTGCTGCTCATGCGATTCCAACCACCAAAAATAGGCATGACAAGAATGACGGGATAGGCAGCGTCCCGATTCCAGTCATTCCTGAAGCCCCTTCGCATGTCCACACACCTGTGCACTGCCGGGTCTGTTGCTTGGCTAGCATTTTTCTTAAAATCACTTCACTTTAAAACAGTTTTTATTAAAGTATGGTATGCATACAGAAAAGTATGGCTGAAGTGTATGGCTTAAAGGATTTTCATGAAACGATCACACCTGTGTGACCAGGACTCAATTCAAGAAACACAACATTCCCAGATGTCCCCTTAAGATCCCCTAACCCAGACCCCTTTTTAGTCACTAACCCTGAAGGGTCAGTACTAGCCTGACTTCATTTGTTTTTTTTTTGAGACTGGATCTTGCTCTGTCACCCAGGGTGGAGTGCAGTGGTGGGATCCCCGCTTACTGCAACCTCCGCCGCCTCCCAGGTTCAAGCAATTCTCCCTGCCTCAGCCTTCTGAGTAGCTGGGACTACAGGTGCCCACTACCACACCTGGCTAATTTTTATGTTTTTAGTAGAGACGAGGTTTCGCCATGTTGGCCAGGCTGGTCTCAAACTCCTGACCTCAGGTGATCTGCTGGCTTCGGCCTCAAAAAGTGCTGGGATTACAGGTGTGAGCCACCGTGCCCAGCTAACCTGCCCAGCAAGACTTCTAACTGCAGATCAGTTTTGCCTGCTTTGGGATTTAGATCCATGGGTTCTTACAGTTTAGACTCTTGTGGCTGCTTCATCCATGTTGTTATAGCAGAGGTTGTTTGTTCTTTTTCATTGCTGAATGGGATTCCACGGTGTAAAGAACCACAATTTATTTATCCATCTATTTTATTTATTTTTATTTATTTATTTATTTATTTTTGAGATGGAGTCTCGCTCCGTCACCCAGGCTGGAGTGCAGTGGTGCTATCTCAACCTCCGCCTCCAGGGTTCAAGTGATTCTCCTGCCTCAGCCTCCCCACTGTGTAGCTGAGATTACACGTGCGCGCCACCACGCCCGGCTAATTTTTGTATTTTTAGTAGAGACAGGGTTTCTCCATGTTGGCCAGGCTGGTCTCCAACTCCTGAGCTCAAGTGATACGCCCACCTCAGCCTCCCAAAGCGCTGGGATTACAGGCGTGAGCCACCGAATCCAGCCTCTCCATCTATGTTGATGGGCATCTGGGGAGTCTGTATTCTGGAGTGTTCTGAGTAACCCTGTGCCCACCCCGTTGCCCATGGTTTTTGTTGTTGTTGTTGTTGTTTGTTTGTTTTTAGACAAAGTCTTGCTCTGTCATCCAGGCTGGATTGCAAGTGGCACGATCATGGCTCACTGCGGCCTCAACCTCCTGGCTCAACTGATCCTCTCACCTCAGCCTCCTGAGTAGCTAGGACTACAGGTGCCCAGCTAATTTTTTGTATTTTTTGTAGGGACGGGGTTCTGCCATGTTGTTTAGACTGTTTTCGAGCTCTTGGACTCAAGCAATGTGCCCACCTCGGCCTTCCAAAGTGCTAGCATTATGGGATTGAAATTGGCGGGTCATCAAGTGGGCATATGTTCAGATATAGTAGATACAGTTTTCCGAAGTGGTTCGACCATTTCACACTCCCAAGTGAGTGAGTGAGGATTTATCTTTGTTTGCCCTAAACTTATTTTTAAAAGGAAATTATATAGCTATCATTAAAGATAAATTAGGCTGAGCACAGTGGCTCATGCCTATAATCTTAACACTTGGGGAGGCCGAGGCAGGAGGATCACTTGAGCCCAGGAGTTCAAGAATAGCCTGGGCAACACTATCTCTACAAAAAAATTTTTTTTAATCAGCCGGGCCTGCAGGCATGCGTCTGTAGTCACAGCTACTCAGGAGGCTGAGGCAGGAGGATGACGGGACCAGCAGATTGAGGTTGCAGGGAGCTATGGTGGCGCCACAGCACTCCAGCCTGGGTGACAGAATGAAACCCTGGAAAGAAAGAAAGAAAGAAAGAAAGAAAGAGAGAGAGAGAGAGAGAGGGAGGGAGGGAGGGAGGGAGGGAGGGAGAGAGAGAGAGAGAAAGAAAGAAAGAAAGGAAAGGAAGGAAGGAAGAAAGAGAGAGAGAAAAAGGAAAATCAGTATCACTTGCCACAAATAAAAGATTATAATATTAAGATTGGTGCAAAAGTAATTGCGGTTTTTGCCATTAAAAGTAATTGCGGCCGGGCACGGTGGCTCACGCCTGTAATCCCAGCATTTTGGGAGGTTGAGGCAGGCAGATTACCTGAAGTCAGGGGTTCAAGACCAGCCTGGCCAACATAGTGAAACCCCGTCTCTACAAAAATACAAAACTTAGCCAGGCGTGGTGGCAGGCACCTGTAATTCCAGTTACTCGGGAGGCTAAGGTGGGAGGCTGAGGCGGGAGAATCACTTGAACCCAGGAGTTGGAGGTTGCAGTGAGCCAAGATCTCGCCATTGCACTCCAGCTTGGGTAACAGAGTGAGATTCGGTCTCAAAAAAAAAAAAAAAAAAAAAAGGAATTGCAAAAGCTGCCATTACTTTTGCACCAACAGAATAACTATGATAAAAACTAATGACTATTAAAAGGATTCATCCAAAACCTATGAAAAAGTTCGTCACTGACAATCACCTCAGGTTGCACTTCTGGAAAGACTGGGGGAGGGGATAATCAGGAGAGACCCTGATTTTGTTGGGTTTCGGCCTCTCTCACCCTGCTGGGAGCCTCCCTGAGCTACCACGGACTCCAGGGAGGACCCTGATTGGTCTGAGAGTGAGCCATTCTCCCTGTGCTGGGATTGGTTCAGGCGTGGGCATGTGACTCGATTCAGGCCAATAAGATGTGGGGAAAATCTTCTGGGCGGGACATCTGAATAAATTTTTCTCGTGGGGACACCCATGGTCCGGGAGGGTCTCTGTTATTTCATGGATGCACTATCTGAAGGTGACTCCGGAAAATGCTCCTCCCTCTTGCTCCCCGGCCTACAGGTGGGGTCAGCACTGAAGATGGCAGATCAAAGAGGAGGAAAGAACCTGGGTCCTTGATGGTGTCACTGAGCTGCTGGGTCCGCCAGCCTGGAGCCCCCTGCCCCTGATATTCCTGATGGGGAGCCGCTAGGTCTCATTGCTAAAGCCATGTGGGCTGGGTTTTCCTGTCACCTACAGCCCAAAGCACCTTCACTGATGCTCCTGGTGTCTCGGGTTTTACGGACAAATGTGGGTTCTAATCCCAACTGGATTACTTTTGAGCTTCGTGATCCCAGAAAAAGTCCCTTTGCCTTTCTTTTTCTTTTTTTTTTTTTTTTTTTTTGAGACGAAGTCTCGCTCTGTCGCCCAGCCTGGAGTGCAGTGGCGCGATCTCTGCTCACTGCAAGCTCCGCCTCCCGGGTTCACGCCATTCTCCTGCCTCAGCCTCCCGAGTAGCTGGGACTACAGGCGCCCGCCACCACGCCTGGCTAATTTTTTGTATTTTTAGTAGAAACGGGGTTTCACCGTGTTAGCCAGGATGGTCTCGATCTCCTGACCTCGTGATCCGCCCCCTTCGGCCTCCCAAAGTGCTGGGATTACAGGCATGAGCCACCGCGCCCGGCAAGTCCCTTTGTCTTTCTGACCCTGAGTTCCCTCATTTCCGAAACAGAATCAACAACATCCACCATACAGAAGAAATAGGGAAATTGGACCGCATCAAAATTAAAAACTCATGTGTATCCAAGAAAGTGAGAAGATGGCTTACAGAGGCCTCATGGCGCGGCCTGGAGCCTGGCGAGGACTCTCCTGCCCTGTCCCTGCGTCCCCTGATGCGCCAATGGCCTGGCCTTCTCTAGCCCCTCTCAGGGCCCACCACTGGCCCATGTCCTCCCTGGAGTGACCGAAGCCCCCTCCCCAGACCCCCACCCCCACCCTGGCTCCAGGTTCTGGGCCTGATTGTCAGGAAGGATGGAGCTGCCCTCCCCTGAGACAGGGAAGGCCGTGAGGGGGCAGAGGTGGTTTGGGTCATGGTGAGTTCACATCACCTGTTGACCAGACAAGGCAAGTGGGCCTGTCCGTGGTTGGATCTGGAGTCTGGAGTTCCCGAGAGGAGCCCGGGCTGCAACTGGGGTTCTAAAGTCATCCATCCCCTTGACTTAAGCTCCAGGATGGATGCAGACATGGACGGACGCCTGTGCACAGACAGGAGTCTGGAAGAGCACCTGAGCCCTGGGGGTGCCACCTTTCGAGGGTGGGAAGATGCCCAAGAAGCAGGCAGAGAGGCTGAGAGGGAGCCCAGGGAGATGGGAGGGAAATCTGAGTTCATGCCTCCAGCTCCAGCTGTGCATTCATCCAAGCTGGGCGCAGCAGGATCCCCAGGCCCCCACAGCAGCTCCCCAGGGCAGGATCCACATCAGGCCTCGGTCACCCCTCCCCATTTAGCCTTCGGGGCAGTCTCTCTCCCCTGTCCCTGAGGGAGACTCACTTGGCTTCCTGTCTGTCCTCTGGCACCTTCTACACGCCTCTTCCACTTCCTGCAAAATCCTGAAAGGACGGAAGGAGGTCATGGGCCCTGGCAGGGTGAGGAAGGGAGCTGTACCCAGGGCCTGGGGCCCAGACTTAGGGACAAGGGATGGCAGCCACAGCAGCAGCAGCACCAGCCTGGAACTTCCCTCTTTACCCTGTGGGCAGGGCCAGGCCAGAGGGCTTGGGATGGGGAGGGCAGAGCGCGATGTTCCCTCCTGCTATGTCGGCTGCCCAGTCTCCTGCCACCTTTGGAAACGCCAGAAGCTTACTGGGGCCAGGAATGCTGGACAGGGGCCGCTGTGATCAGCGAAAGACCCAGCGTGGCCAGATCCTGATTTCTGCAAAAGAAGCCTCCTTCCTTCCTCCCTCCCTCCCTCCTACCTCCTTCTACTTTCCCTTCCTTTCCCTTCTCCTTCCTTCCTTCCCTTCCCTTCTCCTTCCTTCCTTCCTTCTTCCCTCCCTCCTTCCTCCCTCCCTCTTTCCCTCCCTCCTACCTCCTTCTCCTGCCTGCCTGCCTTCCTTCCTTCCTTCCTTCCTTTTAAATTGTGGTAAATATACATAATATAAAATCAGCCATTTTACCATTTTAAAGTATTCTGTTCGCTGACGTTAGGTACCTTCACGATGCCACGCAAACACCACCGCTATCTAGTTCCAGAACACTGTCACTTCCCCAAAATCCCCTCATGCCCATGAACAGTCACTCCCTCATCCCCAGCCGCTGGTAGCCGTGAATCTCCTTTCTGTCTCTATGGGTTCACCTATTCTGCACATTTCATGTACATGGAATCATGCGGGGTGTGGCCTTTGTGTTTGGCTGGACTCCAATTTGTGTATCCATTCATTCTTCCATGGACATTTCCCGTCCGCCATGGTGAATAATGCTGCCATGATCCTTGAGGTATGAGTAATTGTTTGAGGCCCTGCTATCAGTTCTCTTGGATATATACCCCGGAGGAGTGGAGTTCCTGGATATGATGATTCTATGTTTCAATTTTCAAAGAGCAGCCACACTTATTCCCACAGTGGCTGTACCATTTTACAATCCCACCAGAAATGCACAAAGGTTCCAGTTTCTCCACATCTTCACCAACACTTGTTATTTTCCCTTTTTAAAAAGAATTAAGCTGGGTGCGGTGGCTCACGCCTGTAACCCCAGCACTTTGGGAAGCTAAGGGTGGGCAGATCACAAGGTCAAGAGATTGAGACCATCCTGGCCAACATGGTGAAACCCCGTCTCTACTGAAAATACAAAAATTAGCTGGGCATGGTGGCGCATGCCTGTAGTCCCAGCTACTCGGGAGGCTGAGGCAGAAGACTCTCTTGAACCTGGGAGGCAGAGGTTGCAGTGAGCCGAGATCACACCATTGCACTCCAACCTGGCGACAGATCGAGACTCCTTCTCAAATAAATAAATAAATAAAAAGAATTAAAGCCTTCCTAGTGGGCATGAGGTGCTATCTCATCGGGGTTTTGATTCGCATTTCTCTAATAACTAATGCAGCTGGACATCTTTTTGTGTGCTTCTTGGCCATCAGTATGTGGGAGAGGCCATATATGTTCACCTACTATAGCCTGATGTTTAAATCCTCATGTGGGGCGCATGAACCCATCCATGAGCTGAACCTTGGGGCCCACCAGACCTGGGTTCAGATCCTATTTGCTTCCTCCACTCCTGCTCTGGGTAACTCAGGCCACGCTGCTCTATTTTCCTGAGTCTCTGTTTCCTCACTGTTGATGGCGGCTGACAGGACAGGGCTGAGAGAGCTTCCTTGTGTCAAGCACTTAGCCCAGCACCAACTCATAGTGAGCACTTCCAAACTATTGTTGTTCTTGGCACATCCTTCCTGGGCCACCTATGGGAACTCCCCATTGACACTGAGCAGAGGGCTCACTTGAGTCTTCCCCCAACCAGCCTTTAGGACGGAGTTCTTGGAATGAGGTCATTGTGAGCAGATTTTCCTTTTGGTGTGGAGGGAAACTACCGAAAGTCTTCTACAGTCCAGGCAATGGAAGGAGAATTCATACTGTGGGCCCTGCCCTCGGAGAAAGATCCTAGGAAAGATAATGACAGCTGAGCTTTGTTGACAGCTCGGCTTTGCACACACTGGGCTTTGCACACATTGACTCATTTTATTCTCACCACAACCCCATGAACCAGGTCCTGCTACTATACCCATTTTACAGATAAGGAAACTGAAGCCCAGAGAGCTACTCATAGGGAATATGGCAGAGCTAGGATTTGAACCCAGGCCATTTACTGCCCAAGTGATTATTCCCTTCTTTCTTGCTGTGGGAACCCTGATTTCAGTGAGAGACCTGTGCCTCTCCAGGGGACTCAGGAAATCGGGACACATCTTTAGCTCTAGGGGACTATCCAGATTGGTCCCAGGCCAGTGATTCTGTTTCCTTTGCCAGAGACTAATCAAGCTGTGGGCATGGGACCCAATCCTGGCCAATGAGATATGAGTAAAGGGCTGCAGTGGGCTTTGGGGAAAGGGCTCTTGTTCTTCCTGCACTGAATGTTGTGCCTGGATATATTAGCTGGAGCAGTGGCAGCTATTTTGTGGTCATGAGGAAATTTGGGATGAGAACCAATCTGAGGGGAGGAAACCAGAAAGATGGAAAGAACCGGGAGATCCCTGACAATGGCACTCAATCTAACCAAACCCAGAACCACCCTTCCTCCTAATTTCTTGCTATGTGAAATGATAAATGACCTCATTGCTTACGTTGATTTGAGCTGAGGTTTCTGTGACTTGCCTCATAATGGATGTGATTGAGTGACTATGAGCGTTGTGCAGACAGGGAAGTTCTCCTGGCTTGGTGACCACTGTATCCCTGGTGCCTGGAACATTACCTGGTACATAATAGGTGCTCAATTAAGATGAACTGATGAGGCAGTGGCTGGAGCCCCCAAATGCAGGTTCAGACAATACGCATGGGAAAAGCGGGAATCCTGAAATGACGGCAACTGCAGGCTTTGAAGTTGGACAGACTGGGTTCGAAGCCAACGCTCCCCTCTTGAGTCAGGTGATCTCAAGCTTTCCCTCTGGCTTCTCACCTTTGTTTTTCTTATGCATGAGACGGATCTGCTGGGTGGAATAATAGCTCCAGAGATGTCCCCATCCTAATTTCTAGAATCTGTGAATCTGCTACCTTACATGGCAAAGGGGCTTTGCAGAGGTGATTAAGTAAAGGATTTTGAGATGGGAGATGATCCTGGATTATCCGGGTGGGCCCAGTGTAATCACAAGCTTCCTTGTGAGAGGGAGTCAGGAGGTCAGAGTTGGGGAGGAGATGCAGCGATGGAAGAAGAGATTGGAGTGAGGCGAGGCCACCAGCCTCTGGCAGCTGGAAAAGGTGAGGAAATAGATTCTCCCTCAGATCCTCCAAGAGGAACACAGCCCTGCTGGCACCTTGATTCCATCTCTCCAGGAGCCACTTCAGACTGCTGACTTCCAGAACTGTAAGGTAATGAATCTGTACTGTTTTCAGCCACCACGTTTGGCTTAATTCATTACAGCAGCGACAGGAGAGTAATACCATGGGGCTGATAATCGTGTCTCCTTCCAAAGGTTCTTGCAGATTCCAGAAGTCTGAGCATGAACTGGGCAGGTTGGAATAGCCCAGGCAGCCTTTGCAGTGATTAGCCAGTCTCAGCACCAGTTCTGCCTTTGCCAGGAAGTCTTCCCGGGTTTCTCCTGGCCCACGCCCACACCTCCCCTTGTGGCTGACATCTATATGGCCTGGCACTGTGCTAAGGCTTTACACCCAGGATCCCATTTAATTCTAACGGCCACCCCGTGAGGAAGGGGCTCACAGGACACCCATATAACAGAAAGGAAACTGAGGTATGGGGAAGGTAGGAAAGATCATGGGATGGGTGGCTTTGGAGAGGCCGCGCTGGAGCCTCCCAGGCCTGATCCACCCACATCGCACACCCTTCATCGGCTTGACTTGGCCCCCAGAGGCCCTAAGAGCAGGATGCACTCCAAGACTGCAGTGTGTGCCTTTCCACGAAGAGCTTCGAAGGGCTCGCGGGGACATGCGTGGAATTTTTCTTCCACAGCGCTGCCAGAGCAAATTGGTTTCCAGGCACAGACGGGCTCCCTTCCCTTCTCCCTGCCCAGGCTACAGGCACAGACGGGCTCCCTTCCCTTCTCCCTGCCCAGGCTTGTCTCGGCCCCGCCCCTGCAGGCCTCTCCTCCTGAGGCCTGGGGCACTGGATTCCCTACATCTCACCTGCTGACCCTCCACAGCGCCCATTTCCTCCACCCCCTGCACTGCCCCTGTCTTGGCACTCGTTATTTCTCATTGCCATGAGACCTCCCACCCGGCCTCCCTGCCTCTCAGGGATCCCCATTCTAAACACGCCCAGACCTGACCACAGTCCTGCTGAAACCCATCAGGGTCTCCCATTGCTTGTAGGGGAAGGGTGGGCTCCGTGTTGTGGCTTGCGAGGACATGCGTGTTTGCCGAGCTCGTGCATCCTACCTGAGGGCCTTTGCACTTGCCACGCCCCCTGCCCCAAATGTCCTTTCTGTGGACATCCTCGTGGCTGGCACTGTCTTTCATTCATGTCTGTGCCCCATTGTCACCTCCCCCAAGAGGCCTTCCCCAGCCACCCTGTGCTTTACTCTCCTCTCAACACCACCTGAAACAACAGCATGCCATTACATATTAATTTGATTTCTTGTGCTTTCAGCCAGGGAGGGAGTCCAGCCCCATTTTACAGATGAGGAAAACTGAGGCTCAAAGAGATCAAGTGACTTGCCCCTCCTCACGCTCCAGCCACACCGGTGTTCTATCCATTCTTCAGACACATCGAGTCACTTCCCATGGTGTGGCCTTTGCATCTGCTGTTTCTCCCACCTAGAATGCTGTTCCCTCACCCCCGGCCGCCGCCGTCTTAAATGTCACCTCCTCAGGGAGACCCTCCAGGATCACCTAATCTCAAACCTGTCCTCCCCGTGCTCTGCAGCACTCCTGGCCCCTATCCTTTTGGGCCCCCTTCACCAGCCTTGATGATGCTTCCTTCCTTTGCTTGTGTGATTCGTGACTCCCTCAATCTTGCAGGGAAGAGGATCTGCCCTGGGTGTTTGGAGGGCTTCCCGCAGGGTGCTACAGGGCCTGAGCAGTTGAGGTGGAGCCTCCTGGCAGGATGCTCAGCGATGTCACAGGCCTGGGCTACCAGGGAGCTGCTGCCCCAGCCCAGGTGGGAAGCCACCTTCCAAATGAGACTCTGTCCCCATAGTGTCTGACCCCCTGCTGCAGTCCACTCGGCCCAGTGGCTGCTGCAGACCCTCTCTCCACCCGATGGACTTGGTCCTGAATTTGAGTGTGATAAATGGGTTGCTGGACCCAGAATCCATACAGAGCCCTAGCTGCAAGGGATCCTGGAAACATGGTCGTTGGCTTCTGCTGTTCAGGAAGACGGACCAGGAAGAGTGGGAGACACATGCAGCAGGCCCAGCCAGGTGTCTCCCACTCTGCCCTCCAGAGAGCTGCCTCCGTGTTGAGTCTTGTTCACTGTGGGACCCCAGGACCAACAGAAAACGTGTTTGTTGAGTGATTCAATGAGATAGCCGAGTTTGGAGGTGAACCCAGATCTGTCGGATTCGAATCTGTGGATCCTTTCCACTTTAACTTGCTAGAGGGACCTTCCCCCTGGGATTTTAGAGCCCTGTCAACTTTTCACGTGCAATGCTGGGCTTACAATAATTCTGGCAGGCACCAGAGAGGCCTGGAGGACCCTTCTGAGCCAGGGGGACCAGCAGCATTCATTTTTAAAATGAGAGATCCAGTATGACTGGCTCGGACAGGCAGAAGCCAGAGGGAACCCAGGAGGGACAAACAAGCTCAGTTCTAAGACCGCAGGTCGCACCCACTCTGGACAGGCCTTTGGGGTCTGATCTCCCCTTGGTCCAGGTCTGAGCGGGGCGGTTTGGGCCAGGGCTGCTTTAGAGTTGGATGCAGCAACAGTCACCACTGCAGTGCAGGCTCTTTCACCATCTGTGTGTGTGTCTGTGCGTGTCTGTGCCCTGGGAAGAAGGGAAGGGGCAGGGGTTGGCTTTCCAGGCCCAAGCAGAGGGTGAGGCCACCCAGGGGCTAATTCCTAACATTCTCAGGGAGGCTGAGAAGGAGAAAATGTGGGGCAAAGATGCTGGAAAGGAGACCTCCTTGAATCTCGAAAGACTCCAGAAGTGCACGCAGGGATGTCCAAAACCAGATATCCAAGCTGAAAAACAAAGCAAGAAAGCATTTTCCATCTGTAAACATTTCACACAGACATGGTCAGAGCAAGTGACCCTCTGCCTCAACCCCCATTTCCCAGGGCGTCCCCTGCACCTGCCCTTGTCACATCCTCCCCCAGCCCCCACCCAGAGGCAACCTCTGCTGTCAATTTGTCCTGTGTCCTCCCCAACCTCTCCCTGGCTCCTGCCATATGTCCCTCCCTGAACTGCCCACTCCATCCACTGTTCTCACACGGGGCTCTTTGCTGTTCCAGGAATACACCAGGCACATTCCCACCCCAGGGCCTTTGCACTGGTGGTTCCCTCTGCCTGTTGTGCTTTCTCCCAGATACTTCCCTGACCTCCCACACCTGTGCACACTACCTTCCTTTCCTGATTTATTCATTATCTTTTTGAGACTGAGTCTCGCTCTGTCACCCAGGCTGGAGTGCAGTGATGCGATCGTGGCTCACTGCAACCTCTGCCTCCCGGGTTCAAGCGATTCACCTTCCTCAGCCTCCCAAGTAGCTGGGATTTCAGGCACCTACTACCATGCCCAGCTAATTTTTGTATTTTTGGTAGAGAGGTGGTTTCACCATGTTGGCCGGGCTGGTCTCGAACTCCTGACCTCAGGTGATCCACCCACCTTGGCCTCCCAAGGTGCTGGGATTCCAGGAGTGAGTCACAGTGCCTGGCCTTCCTTTCTGGATTTATTTCTTGCAGAGCACTTACCACCTTCTCATCCAGGGAATGATATATTTATTGAGTTTTAATTATGCATCCCTCTCTTTAGAATGTCAGCTCCACGGAGGCAGAGACTGCCTATCTCATTCACTGCTATATCTCACACACCTAGTGTGGTGCCTCGCACACAGTGGGCACGCCTGAATTAATCTCCTTGCAGAAGTCTTCATGCATATAAGATATGGAATCAATCTAAGTGTCCATCAATGAAGGATTGAATAAAGAAAGTGTGGTACCTATACACCATGGATCACTATTTAGTTATAAGAAAGAATGAAATCCTGTCTTTTGCAGCAATGTGGATAGAACTGGAGTCCATTATCCTAAGCGAAACGACTCAGACACAGAAAGACAAATACTGGCCGGGCGCAGTGGGCCATGCCTGGAATCCCAGGCACTTTCGGAGGCCAAGGCGGGCAGATTGGTTGAGGCCAGGAGTTCGAGACCAGCCTGGCCAACATGGTGAAACCCGTCTCTACTAAAAATACAAAAATTAGCTGGGCATGGTGGTGTCCCAGCTACTTGGGAGGCTGAGGCGGGAGAATCACTTGAACCTGGGAGGTGGAGGTTGCAGTGAGCCAAGATCACGCCACTGAACTTCCAGCCTGAGTGACAGAGCGAGATTCTGTCTCAAAAAAAAAAAAAAAAAAAAAAAAGCAAATACTGCATGTTTTCACTTACAAGTGGGAGCTAAATAATGTGTACACATGGAAGCAGAGTGTGGAATGATGGAATTGGAGACCGAGAGGCGTGGGGACATGGGAGGGGGTTAGATGGCGGGAGGTTGCTTGGTGGACATAAGGCGCATGGCTCCCATGATGGGTGCATCCTAACACTTTGCCTTCACCACAGTGCAATATAACAATGTAGCAACATTGCACTTGTACCCCATTAATATATGCCAAAAAGTATCATGCATAGCCCGGCAGCCTAAGCACACTTACCCCTCCCCGCTTTTCTGCACAAAAGGTACCACACTGCACACCCAGCACTGCACGTGCTTTTGCGCTAAACAATGTATCTGGGAGGTCTGCCCCCACGGGAACAGAAGGTACAGCTTATTCTCAGGCTTGTTCACAGCTGCGGGCTGTCCCATTGGAGAGATGGCAGGATCCACCTAGCCAGCCCCACCACCGCCATTCAGGAGAGCAAGACTGCAGGGACCATGTCATCCTCGCTGGATCGCTCCCCTTGATGGGGCCCTCCTGTGCTCCCACCCATGGTGCCTGAGAGCAAAGACTCAAGCAGATGCCCTGGTGGGACAACACCCCAGAAATGAGGGGGAACCCCTGGGAGAAAGCGAGCTGTTGATCTTCAGAGATCATCGGGCCTATCAGAGGGGGGCCTGAGTTTGTTCCCAGCTCCATTCTTTCTGAAATGTAAACAGTGTCTTAACTGAAGGAGCAGAGGAAGCCGGGGGTGACATTGCAGTTTCTTGCAGCAAGGGTAAGTGGGGGCTGGCTGGGGACTCTGAGCGACATCCTCAGTGAGGTTTCTGCAGGACTGTGAGATCAGAAGGGCCTCTGTGCAGAAAGGATGAGGGCCAAGAGACCCTGTCCCCCGCCAATCCCCCATGTTCTGAACGTTCACTTTGCTTTGAATGCCAGGGTGTTTTTCTTGTTTTCTTAGCCTTTAAAGGGCTGACTTCAAGGCCCGATTCCTTATGTCCAGGGAGGGTCCTTGCTTAGCACATGAGGTTGATGATAACTTACTTTTTCGAGTGCCAACTACCTGTGGCTACAAAGGGTGGTCTCCTTCACTGCTTAATCCCACCATGCCCAGCAACAGTAGGTGCTTAATAACTACATATTGAATAAAACTGTGGGCCAGACACTGTGGCTCATGCCTGTAATCTCAGCACTTTGGGAAGCCGAGGTGGGTGGATCACCTGAGGTCAGGAGTTTGAGACCAGCCTGGCCAACATAGTGAAACCCCATCTCTACTAAAAATACAAAAATTAGCCAGGTGTGGTGGCACGGGCCTGTAGTCCCAGCTACCGGGGAGGCTGAGGCAGAGGAATCGCTTGAACCCGGGAGGCAGAGGTTGCAGTGAGCCGAGATTGTGCCACTGCACTCCAGCCTGGGTGACAGAGTGAGACTCCATTTCAAAAACAAAAAACAAAAAGCAAAAAAACAAAAAACTGTGATGCCGTCACTGAAACCAGGCTTCTCCTCCTCCTGCATAGCTTGGCCCCAGGCACGCTCTTCATCTGGGTGTCTTTTGGGTTGTCGCTGACAGTGTAACACAGGCCCCTTGCCTGTGCTCTGTGACAGCCAGCCCAGGGCTCTTGAGGTGGCAGCGTCAACAATGTGCAATTTTGCTCCATTGATGTATTGCATTGTGGTGAAGTCAGGGCCTTCAGTGCACCTTGCTGCCTACATTTTTGGAAGAGGGTCCCTTTACCATTGAGGAAGGTTCTGACTCCCCACCCCTACTGATCCTTCCATGTTGGGTGGGAATCACCCACAGCTGAGTGGAAAACTGGTTTGGGGAACTAACGCTTTGCAGGGGTCACAAACAGGCCTGCTCCAAGTGATCGTCCACCCTCTTCCCTGCAGAGGCATTTAGTATTTGGTTTGGTAGCTCTTGTGTTGTTTTTTTTTTTTTTTTTGAGATGGAGTCTCGCTCTGTCGCCCAGGCTGGAGTGCAGTGGCGCGATCTCAGCTAACTGCAAGCTCCACCTCCCGGGTTCACGCCATTCTCCTGCCTCAGCCTCCTGAGTAGCTGGGACTACAGGCACCCGCCACCACGCCCGGCTAATTTTTTGTATTTTTAGTAGAGACGGGGTTTCACCATGTTAGCCAGGATGGTCTCGATCTCCTGACCTCGTGATCCGCCCGCCTCGGCCTCCCAAAGTGCTGGGATTACAGGCGTGAGCCACTGTGCCCGGCCGTGGCTCTTGTGTTTTAAAGAAGGGTGGCAGAGCCTAATCCCAACACTTTGGGAGGCCAAGGCAGGAGGATCACTTGAGCCCAGGAGCTCAAGGTTGCAGTGAACTGTGATCACACCGTTGCACTCCAGCCTGGGTGACAGAGCGAGACCCTATCTCTAAAAAATAATATAAAAACGCCTTGGGACAGGTGCAGGGTGTGCCGAGGGCCCTGCCCGGGCATATCTCACCCTCTCCTCCAGTTCTGGGCTGGCTGTTCTGCCAGGCCCTGTGGGCTTTTCTTTTTTTCTTTTTTTGAGATGGAGTCTCACTCTGTCGCCCAGGCTGGAGTGCAGTAGCATGATCTCGGCTCACCACAAGCTCCGCCTCCTGGGTTCAAGCCATTCTCCTGCCTTAGCCTCCTGAGTAGCTGGAATTCAGGCATGCACCACCATGCCCGGGTAATTTTTGTATTTTCAGTAGAGGCAAGTTTTCACCATGTTGGCCAGGCTGGGCTCGAACTCCTGACCTCAGGTGATCCGCCTAGTTTGCAACTTCTGCTTCAAAGCACATCAAAAGTAAGAAAAACATAGATAAGCTTTTTCTACACAGACACAGTTCTAGGTGTGCGTGTGAGGCTTGGCTCCAGGGATGCTCACTTGGGTGTCTATTGGGTTGTTACTGATAGATAGTGTGACATAGGCCCCTTGGGTGCGATCCAGTGGCTAGTCCAGGGCTCCTGGGGTAGCCAGGGTCAAAGCTGCTCAGGGCACCATGTCCCCCAGCATGAGTCCTCACCCTATAGATGCCTTGTTCCTCCAGGCCCACCTTGAAGGTGGGGAATTTTTTCCAGGAGTGGCTGGAATTTGATCTGATACCATGGTTGACCATGTGAACTTGATTAGCCTGAATGGGCATCACTTGGGTGTCAGGCTAACAAATAAAACTTTTTTTTTTTTGTTTTTTTTGATGGAGTCTCACTCTGTTGCCCAGGCTGGAGTGCAGAGGCATGATCTTGGCTCACCGCAACCTCCGCCTCCAGGGTTCAAGCAATTCTCCTGCCTCAGCCTCCGGAGTAGCTGGGATTACAGGCATGCATCACCACACCCGGCTAATTTTTGTATTTTTAGTAGAGATGGGGTTTTACCATGTTGGCCAGGCTGGTCTCCAACTCCTGACCTCAGGTGATTTGCCCGCCTTGGCCTCCCAAAGTGCTGGGATTACACCATGAGCCACTGCGCCTGGCCCAAATAAAACATATTTTAGAGACAGGGTCTTGCTCTGTCATCCAGGCTGGAGTGCAATGGTGTGATCACAGCTCACTGCAACCTCAAGCTCCTGGGAGTCCCATCTACCCAGAGGTTGGGACCAGTGGAAAGGTAAAGGCTTCATCCTAAAATATGCCCAAGGAGCAAGTGCTGGAAAACACAGATACAGGATCAGCCATTCCCACTTGTTTCTAGATTTTTCCAGGGTCAACACCTGCCTCCTTCCCCCTCTGTTGGTGCATTCATTCATTCATGTGTTAATTCAGTCGCAACACATTTGAATTGAGTGCCCACTATGTGCTGAGGATACAGCAGTGAGCTGGCCAGAAAGGTCTTTGCTCTCATGGAACTGACATTCTGGTGACCAAAGACAATATATATCAGTGACAAATGCCCAGGATAGTTTCAGGTGGTGATAAATGGTGACAAAAATGAATAGGATGTTGAGTTAGTGAGGGCCTTGGCGGTTTCTTCAGATACAGGGTCAGTGAGGGACTCTCTCTCTTTATTTATTTATTTTTTGAGACAGAGTTTCGCTCTTTTTGCCCAGGCTGGAGTGCAATGGCATGATCTCAGCTCACTGCAACCTCTGCCTCCTGGGTTCAAGCGATTCTCCTGCCTCAGCCTCCCGAGTAGCTGGGATTACAGGCATGTGCCACCACACCTGGCTGATTTTGTATTTTTGGTAGAGACAGGGTTTCTCCATTTTGGTCAAGCTGGTCTCGAACTCCCGACCTCAGGTGATCCACCCACCTCGGCCTCCCAAAGTGCTGAGATTACAGGCATGAGCCACTGCACCCTGCTGCAAGGGACTCTCTAAGGAGCTGGGACCTGAAGATAGAAGATGACAGTCTCAGGCAGACGGAACAGCAAGTGCAAAGGTGTTGAGGCGGGGATGAGCTGGACTATTTTGCCAAGTACTTAGAAAGGAATGGTTGAAGGATTGGAGGGAGTCTTTAGGAAGGAATGGTTGAAGGATTGGGCCGGAGATGGTAGAGACAAAGCCCAAGGGGCAGAAATTGGCGCCAACTGGACGGGAGCCCCCTGGATATATATACAGCATGCTCCAGCCAGCTGCAGCCTGGCCTGGGACACATACAACATGCTTCCCAGTGTCCCTGGTGACTTCCCAACTGAGTCTCCCTCTCCCTTCCTGTAAAATGGGTATGTTGAAAGTCTTTCCCTCACAAAGGCAATTGAGATGTTTGGGAAGCTCTTAGCTGTTACTGTTACTAACTCACAGTCCAGGGGGCCCCCCCGGGAAGGCTGTTTGTGTGCAGTGTTCTTTGGCCGCTTTTTAAAGGTACTGTTCCCATTAGTTGCTCATGGACTGTCACTCAGAGCCCAGTAGAAACAAAGTAGCAAACTAGGGTGCCGGTCTGCGATTGGGGGAAGGGGCGGGCTCAGCTGAGACCTCCCCAGAGTCCAGATTTCCAGCACTCATTTGGAATCACGGGCTGCTGCTGGAGGCTGGCAAGTCGGGTTCTTCATCTCTCCAGGCCTGTTTCCCTACTTGGGACCAGGCCCCTTGCTTCCCCCAGGGTAAGTGCTCACTCAGTGCTGGTGTTACTCCCCGCCGTCTGTGAGGGTGAGATTAATAACCCAATTCAGCCAGGAAACAGGAGCAGACGGGAAAGGGCCAATCCCTTTCGGGATAAACGCTGCCCTTCTCCTGGCCTCAGTCTTGCCATCTGTGACATGGTCGGGCCAGAGGCCATTGGCGCTTGAGTTGATAAGGCTTCCAGTGAGGGATTTCTAGGTGACGCTTGGGACATTACAAAGCTGACAGACCCCCTGCTTTCCCCGCTCCTAAGCCTGCAGGGAGCCCTCGAGGGCAGAAGCTGGGAGACCCCTGAAGACACCCCAAATGTCCCTCCTCCAGCTTCAAATAGAGCTGAATCTCATGGAAATGCAAATTCCCAGAGGGTTTTCAGGTGACAGAGGAGGGCTGCCAGGCGGCCTGGGGCTGGCAGAGGAGCTCCCCCGCCCCCGCTTCCCTCTCCAAGACCCTTGGTGGGGGAGGTGGGGGATCAGGCCTTCCTTCTGCGGCTCCAGCTTTTTGCCTGTGGATTCGGACCGACTGGCTGGGCAGAACTGGAGCTGGTCGGGCCAAAACAAGGAGGTGGGGGGGGGGCACTGACCTATGACCCCTCCTGTTTCAGTCTGCAAACTGCTCCCCTCCACACCCACTTCCCTTTTGCCAGACATTGTCAGCCCCAGAGGCTCCCGCCAGCCCCCCAAAAGCTCATAATTAAAAGCCCGAGGGGGCAGAGAAGGACCTGGCTGCAGGGGAGCCCGGCAAACCCAGCATCCTGGCGGAGGCGGGAGGCCCGCCGGCCTCTGGAAACCACGCGGCTGCCTCCCCACCGCAGCCATTCCCCGCTCTCCCTGGGGGTTCTCAGATGTTGCCAGATGGCAGAACTGAATCTGCTGAGACGTCACTCCAAAAAAGGAAAGTTGAACTGAAAAAAAAAAAAAAAATTCAAACTCTCCAACATCTTAGGAGAAAGCAGAAGAGGAGGGAGGGAGGGAGGCTCCAGGCCCAGGGCTCCCAGTGCCCTCTGCTGTTCAAAGAGATCTGCCCTGGTTGGAGAGGGCAAACCTGGAGGGGGTGGGAGGAGGGGGTAAATGAGGACACTGGGTTGTCAGGGCGGCCAGGGGGGCCAGGTTCCTGCTGGAGCGGAGAGTGTCTGCCTGTGCGTGGGGGAGCGAGCACATGTGTGCCGTCTGTGACTGCGTGCTTGTGCAGGCCGGGCGTGTGTGGCTCCCAGGGTCACGCTTTGGGATGTGTGTGTCTGTGTGTGTGTGTGGGGGGGGCGGGGGGGACACAGGCTCGTTGCATTGTCTCCGCATTTGTGTCCCTGAATGTCCCCAAGTGGGACTTCACTCAACACATTCGTGAGTCCCTACTGCGATAGGGCAGTGAACAAAATAGAAATCTCTGCCCTCAGGAAACTGGCATTCTAGCGTCTGTGTCCTCCGGGGTGCTGTGAACTCGCGTGGGTGTCCCAGTATTTGTCTGTGTGAGATCTGACATCTCCGGTCCGTGGTGGGTGGTGAGTCTGCAGTGTGTTCGCCCGGGCTGGGTCTCGGGTCTGGGGAGGCCCAGCGTGTTCCTGCCTGGAGAGGGCTCTGCGCTACTGTCTGCTCCCGTCCCCAAGTGCCCCACTGGGCGTGCTCCTAAAAGGCCCTGTGTAGGGCCCTCCCTGCGCGCCCCCTCCCCATCCAGCGGCCACTCCAGAGTTATAATTTAATAGCTGAAACGCGATTCCAGTGAGGTACTGGGGCTGGAGAGGAGGAGGAGGGCCCCCGGGCCCGCAGGAGAAGAGGGAGGGGAAGGCTGGGAGGCGCTTCCCCCCTCCTTCCTCCTCGGGGAGCTGCCAAAAAGAAACTCGGCGTCGCGCCCAAGTGTGTGCGTGCGTGTCTGTGTGTGTGGCGGCGTGCGCGCGCGAGTGGGGACGCGCAGGGCCTGGAGAGAAGGCGCGGGCCCTTTAAGGAGCCAGAGGGGGCCGGGCCGGGGCGCGTCGCTGCGGGCGGGGAGCCGGGAGCAGGGAGGCCGAGCCACCGCCTCCCGGGCTCGCGCCCCGCCCCCTCCTCCCCCTCCCGCCGCCGCCGCCGCCGCCGCCGCCGCCACCGCCGCCGCGGCCGCCGGGGAGCGCGGAGCCGCGGGCAGGCCGGGCCGCACCGGAGCCCCGCGTCCGCCGGCGCCCCGCCCGAGCCCTGCGCCCGCGCCCTGCGCTCCGCGATGCGCGCCAACTTGCGGGCCGGGGACCCAGGGCCGGCGCCCTAGGAGGCGGCGGCGGGAGGATCGCGTCCCGACCCGAGGCCGGGCCTGCTGCGCGCCCCCAGCCCGATCGGCACCGCCACTTGCCTGAGCGCCCCGGCGGCCCGAGCGCGCCCCAAGCCCGGGCGCCACCGCTGCCACCTCCGCGAGGTGAGTTGGGGCCGAGGGTCCCCGCGAAGGGCGGGGGGAGGCGCGGAGCGCGCTTCCGGGGGATCCGGGGAGGATCGGGCGGCGCACGCGGCGGAGTTGGCGGGGCCCCTGCACTCCCGAGTTGGCGCTCTCGGGGGGTGGCCTGCTGGGGAGCAAGGCGCCCCGCCGACACTGCGGCCCGCGTGCTCGGGGGCGCCGGGGAACTTAGGGGAACTCCAGCTCCCTAGCGAGGGGGCGGGAAGGAGGGAAGTGGCGTTGGGGTGGGCGGGGGGCGCGCTGGAAATGCACAGAGCGGCCCCCCACAGTGTGCGCCGGCTCTGGGGACTTGGCCGCCAGGCGTCCCTTGTACCCGGTGTAGCCCCGGACCTGGCGGGGCGACACTGCGCCTTATTTTCCATCGGGCAGCGCGGGTTTGAAAGCCCTTGGAGATGGTACCCCTAGCTCCCTGGCCTGGCTGTTGTGGAGGGGCGCATGAGGGTCTCTCACCAGCCGAGGGGGAGAGCCAGCCTTGTCCCTCCTAGGCGTGGGGCCACGGGGCGCTGGGCGGGGTCCCTCGGGAGAGTCGCCCCTGGTCCCCCTCCCCCGCGGGCCGGTGTTCCTGGTGTCTGGGCCTGCCTCCCGTGGCTGGTGACGCCTCATTGGGCCGCCTCCTAGTCCCTCCCCCGGGCTGTGCGGATACTTGGGATGCCACTACTTTGCGAAGTTGGAATTCAGAGCTGATCCCACTTGGGCACGACTGGGAAGACCCAGACCCTTGTCTAGAGGGCAGCTTCCTCAGAGGCCTGCGGGGAGTGAGGGCACCCGTGGGGTACGCCCTCCCCGCCCCAGACACTTGCAGGAGGAGCAAGCCGAGGGCGGGAGGGCACGGCGGGCGGGAGGGAGAGACAGGCTGTACCTGGGAGCTGCTGTCGCCCGGGCCCAATTAGCGTGGGGCGCCCGGCGTTATTTTTACATTGTAGGTTTATTTTTTTGGAAGCGAGTGTCCTCCCGCCGCCTGTCGCGCGCTCCGGCTCTCCGAGGGTCTGGTGCAGGCAGCGGGGGCGGATCTGTTCTGTCGGCTCAGCCTCCTCCCTTCCTCCCCCTCCTCCTCTCCCCCGTTGGTGAGAACTGGTTTTATTGTGATTATTATTATTTTTCCCTTTTTGCAGATTTGGAGGAAGGATGTGTGAGGGAGGGAAGAGGGGAGGAGGGGATAAGGGGAGGACCCTGTGGGCGGGGTGGGGGAGTTCTGGGCGCGTTGGGATGTGTTACCGGTGGCCTTGACTTTGCCCCTTTTCAGCCAGATCTGGGTCCTTGCGGCAGCTTTGATATAAGGGGCTCTCCGGGCCAGACTGCGCCGGGAGGGCGACCCGGGGCAGGCTGTGTACCTCGTGGGTGGCCTCTTTGGGGGTGCTGAGGAGGGGCCGAGAAATGGCAAGCAGCAGTGAGGTGGGATGGCCCACTCTGCACCTCAGCTCCTGGGGTTTGACTCTGACCTTTGCCACTTTCCTGGCAGTGTGACCCTGGACAGATGCTTAACTTCTCTGTGCCTGTCAGGTTTCCCATCTGCAAAATGAGGGTCAAAATGGTACTGAGTTCACAGAGTGGTTGTGAGAGCTGACCGTCCGGCCATAAGAATCCCTTGGTACTTGTATGTGTTACTATGACTACTGTGTCGGTATTATTATTCCTGGGTTCTAAGATTGGGCCTTTAATCCAACGTGGTCTGGAAGCCCTGTGAAAAGGGGCCACCTTACCTTTGGCTGGGGGTGGACAGTGGGGGGATCTGGGGGAGGGAGGGGGCCTTTTCCCACTCCCCTCTGCTTGTCCGGAGAGGATGGAGAAGGGCAGGTGCCCCCGCCCATTGAACAGATGCAAAGACTGAGTCAGGCCCAGCAGAGCAATGAAGGGGGGGTGGAGCCAGCGGTGACTGGCGAGTCGGCAGCGCGGCTGCCAGGGCATCCCGGGCTCTGTCTGGCTTCCCTGAGCCGCCTGCCGTGTCCCTGCTTGGAAATTCACTGCTGCCACCGCCAGCGGGTGCCGGGGGAGTCTGTGGTGCCGGTGCCCAGACATGGGGGCGGGAGCGCAGCAGGCCCCAGCCCTGGCCTCTTCCCACTGAGCTATTTACGCTGCTGGGGATCAATACTATTGATAAATCCATGTAAATGGTAATGTGGCTGTCAGGCCCTGGTGAGGGATGGAGACCCCTCCTGGGGCTGCGCTCTCCCCCTCCCCCTCTCGGAGAGGGTTTGGTTATGTGGGAAGGATTTATTTGGCATAATCTGTTCTTTTTCCCCAATTAATAATACTCATGCCACCTCCTAAAGATTTCCCAGAGCTCTGCAAACACGAATTTACTGCATGGAAGCCCTGGGCTGGGGACGGCTTGATTGTTCTCGGGGCCTGGGGGTGGGGGGCAGGGGGCGCTGGCAGCGCAGACACCCACCGAGGGAGTTGGAAGCTAGCCCCAGGAGTCCTGGCCCCCAGCGTCTGCCATTCATGCTGGATGTGGAGGCTGCCTGGCCCCGTTTCCCCCTGGCTGAGAGGGGGCGCATTCATAGTTCTGTGTTCCCAACCCCCATCTGAGAGTGTGGGTGGAGAAGTTGGTGCTTCACTCGGAGATGGGAGGCGGGGGTGGTACCTACGCAGAACCCAGCCGGAGGGTTCTCCTGGGGTCCTGTCTGTGGGAAGGGAGATTTTAAGGCAGAGGAGACAGGCTCTCAGCCCCTCCTCCTGCCGCTGTCTGAACTGAAAAGCCCCACAAATGCTGCCTCTGACCGTGGGCCGGGGGTGGGGGTGGGGGTGGGGTGGCGGGGGTTGAGAGCTTTTATTTGTGTGTGTGTGTTTTCCCTTCCCTGTTTCCTCTTCACATCTCAAACGCTAAACAGCAGCCTCCCCAGGTGACACTTTTGAGACTGGGGAACTGCCGGTGGGAGCTGGTAACTCCTGCCTGAGGTGCCCAGGGGAGGGGCAAGGAGGGCCCCAAGCTTGAGCTGCTGCCTGGGGAGAGCCAGGTTTTTTAGGCCCAGGCCAAGGGTGACAGAAGGTCTGTGTCCCTAGGTGGGTGCGTGTGGTCCCCAGGGAAGTGATGCTTGGGAAAGGCCAGCTGGGCATCTTTTGAGGGAGCTTGGAGCCAGGGAACTGACTTTACAACCCATCCGGCGAACTCTCAGCCTCCATGTTGGAAAAGGCTGTGGATCATACGCTAGTAATAAGAACCAACACCTACTGTGTGCCAGGAACCGTGCTCTACGCAAATCTGCTTGTTTACTCTTCATAACTCCTCTATGAGTTGGTGCTTTTATTATCTTATTTTATAGATGGTGAACTTGAGGCACAGAGAGGTTAAGTAACTTGCCCAAGGTCACACAGCTTGGATGTGGAACTACGAATTAAGACCTGGGATTATTCACGGTCGTGTTAGTGCAGCAGGAATTTACTGCAGACCTGCTTTGCAAAGCTGCCGTAGAGGATATGAAGAAAGAAATGATGTTTCTTCTTTGAGCAGCACCTACGGATCTTTGCCCCAGGTGGGGCAGGAGACTGAGAACTCGTTCTCCCCAGGGTTTGGGGAGAAGGATAGGGCCTGGCATTTCTTTGAGGTCTCATTTTATCTGAAACATTCATGCAAATTTGGCATTCGCCTTGGCGACACTGCTGTGTTTGTTTTGAAATGAAAACATGGTTTTGAATTATTTAGCATGGTGCTCCAGAAAGCTGCAGCGGCAGAGTTCTGTGGCCTGGAGTGCCCATAGGCTGGGCGCGTTGCCCTCGGGTACTGTGTAGCCGGAGGGCTTCTGCTCAGTGAGGCCCTGGGGCAGATGGCGGCTTCATTCCCATTTTACAGATGAGGGCACAGGTCCAGGCTCGCCTGAGGTTGCACAGCGGAGGGACCTGTGCTTATGATGAATGAACTTAGCATCATTGTTATTATCATGTCTATTTTGGAGCAGAGTGAGGCTTCTGAGCCTGGACACTTCCACACTGCCCTGCCCACTTGGCTCCAGCTAGCCTTGAGGAAGGAGCTTTTGGTTTATAAATCTAGAAAGAATTGTCCTAACCAGATATTAGAGGACAATCTCGGAGTGTTTCATCTGCCATCCCCAAGAGAGCCGCTGATTTAGCATTGGAAGTTCCAGCTTGGCCATTTACAAGCAGTGGGCCCAGGTGAGTGCCCCTTGCTCTCAGGGTTTGGGTGCCCTCATCTGCAAAATGGGCACATTGCCGGCCACCTGTGCCATATTGGAGAGCCTTTAGGGGCAAAGGGCATGAATATTGGGTTTGCTGTTCAGCTCTGCAGCTTCAAGCTGTGAATGAGTTACTTACCTATTGTGAGCCTCAGTTTGCTCATCTCTAAAATGGGGGTGCTGCTGCTGCTTCTGACTTTATGGTTGTGAGATATAATGAGCTCCTGTGTGTCGCAGGACACACAGGAGCTGCAGTTTCCATTTTGGCTTATCCTGTTGGAGAGCAAAGACTTCACTATAGAATTCCTTGTGTAAACCCGGGTCCTCACCTACAGGCTGCTCGGATATCAACCATTCCTCCCTCTTAAAAGCTGCTGGGAAAGATCCTCTGATGGACCTGTCTCTTTTCCAGAGCCCCAGGCTTCGGCTTGTTGCCCTTTGGAGACGGTGGGCTCCTTTCCCGTTGGTCGTTGGTGTTTCACAAATGTGCTCAGCTCCCTGCCTCTGCCCTTGACGGTTGAGGTTTTCCATTAGTCTTTAATCACTTAGTGTCTGTCAGGCACTTGGAGTGCTTGGAGGTCATGGGCAGCCCGGAGAGTGGGCGAAGGCTGTGGGGAGGACGGGGTGGGGGAGGCCCCCTGGGGGAGGGCTGAGCTTCCCCTCTGCTCCTGGTCTCTGAAAAAAGGAGCAGGGTTTGAATCGTGCTTCCATTTGTTAAGAACTTGAGTGAAGCCTCTGACCTTCTGGCCTTGGTTTCTTGATTCTTAAAAGGGAGGGAAAGAAAATAATGCCCGCCTTAGAGGGTAGCCTGAGACGGGCTGTCTGGGAACTCCTGCGGTGATGGGAGATGATACGGCTGCGCTGTCCCGTGCTTTAGCCACTAGGTGCCTGTCACTCGGGAGCACTTGAAAAGTGGGTCCCTGCCACTGAGCAGCTGAACTGGTCATTTTATTTAATTTTAATTTACTTAAATTTAAACAGCCACCTGTGGCTGTGGCTAATGGCTACTTAACCCGAGGGCACAGGGTTGGGTGATGAAGTCATATTCTGTGTTTCGGAGCAGGGCCTGGGCTCTTGGTATCTGATTCCTTCCCCAATGCCCCACCTGCACCCCAACTTTTTTTCTGAGGTAGGGTCTTGCTCTGTCACCAAGGCTGGAGTGCAGTGGTACCATCACAGCTCATTACAGCCATGAACTCCTGGGCTCAAATTAACCTCCCGCCTCAGCCTCCCAAATAGCTGAGACGACAGGTGTACACCACCATGACTGGCTAATTTTAAAATTTTTTGTAGAGATGGAGTCTCTCTATGTTGCCCAGGCTGCTCTTGAACTCCTGGGCTCAAGTGATCCTCCCGCCTCAGCCTCCCAAAGCACTGTGATTCTAGGCGTGAGCCACTGCGTCTGGCCTGATTTTTTTCCCTTTTCATGCGTGTTTTCTCTGCGTGGTGCCATCCTGGAGGGTCTTCCCCTTTCAGTGGTCCTTTTTCCCAAACCTAGCCTGGTGTGCCCTCTGGGCTGGTCCGTTCTCCCTGCCGTCTGTCTCCCTCCTCTTCCCACATCTCACTCTTTCTTCCCCCACTTCCTCTCCCACCGGCCTCTGGGGTAGCGCTGTCCAATAGAACTTTCTGCATTGGTGAGAATGTTCTAGATATGCCAGTACCATAACTAACAGCCACGTGGGGCATTGGGTATTAAAACTGCCCAAAGCTGTTGGGGGAGTCTCCTTCCATTCTGGCCCTCCTGGTTTCTGTTCCCCAAGGCAGTCACGGCTTGAAGTGAGGCCAGTGCCACAACCGGGGGATGAAATTTTAGTTTTTACTTTTAATAAATTTGAGTAGCCACTTGTGGCTGGTGGCCACTGACCCTACGGGGCAGTGCAGCCATAGTGACTCCTACTATACGGAGCCGTCTTCCCACATCCTTCCTTAGCTGTCACTTCTCCTGGAGCAGGAGACAGCTCCAGGTCCCTGCGAAGTGTGGGCAGTTCTTACCTCCTGGGGCTGAGCTCATGTGGAAAAACCTTTGTGCAGGTTCATGGGGGCTGACCCAGCCGGACCCGGAGGAATCCTAGGTTAGCACCCTTGCTGGTATCTGTCTGCACAAGCAGATACCTGCAAAAGACACCTATCTGCTTTCTCTAAGTGGGATCATACTTATTTTGTTATGATATGACTTAATACATCATGGACTTCTTTGATGAACATTTTTGGGGATAATGTTGCTTTTTATACTTCTTGGGGAGAATGTAGAAAAACAAAAAGTAATGCATTCAAAACTCTGCCAGTTGCTTTGGGCTTTATAAAAGCTTATTTTTTAAATGAAAGAAAATGCATTGACTTGTAAAAAAGAAAATTAACACATTGCGTAAAAGTCTCCCTCGGTTCCTGGCCTCCCAGTTTCTGTTCCCCGAGGCAGTCACAGCTTCCCGCGCCTGAGTTTCCTCCGAGATGCTCTTGGCATATGTCGGCCTTAAATGGACTGTATGTGTGCGTTCCCTTTAAAAACAAACATGCAAGTGGTATCACGCCATATATTCAGGTTTGATTTTCGCCGTCATAGTCACATCCTACGTGATAATATGTTTCGGAGCCGATTGTGGAACGTAGAAAGCAAGAGTTGGCAAACTATGGCCCTTGGGCCAAATCCGGCCAGCCCACCACCTGTTTCTGTATGGTGCACAAGCTGAGAATGGTTTCTCCATTTTTTAATGGTTGAAAAAAATCGAAAGAAGAATAATATTTTATGACATGTGAAATCATATGAAATGCAAATTTCGGTGTCCATAAATAAAGTTTTGTTGGAATGCAGCCACGCTCACTCATTTACATGTTGTCTGTGGCTGCTTTTGGGTACAGCGTTTGCAAAGTTGAGTAGTTGTGACAGAGGCTGGAAGGCCTACAGAACCTAAAATATTTACTCTCTGGCCCTTTGCAGAAGATATTTGCCGATCCCTAATATACTACCTCACTGTTTTGAACCTCAGTGTAGCCTTGCACGGTTTCCCTGTTGAGGAAACTGTGGCCCAGAGAGGGGTGTGAGTTTGAAGGTCATTCCAGGTAGGCCCTAAAACCCCTCCTTCTAGCCTGGGCTCCTGTTCTTGCTGAGTTACGCTGATGCTCATGGTTATAATTTGCTGTTGTAGAATGCAGTAGGAAAGAGGGGATGGTTAAGGCAGCAAGCACTTGGCCTGATTTTTGGCACAATTTTTTGGCCTCTTAATTGGTGACTTTAGAGTGGTATATAGTTGCTGTAGCACCTACTCTGTGGCACTGCGTCGTTTTCACAATTTTCCAAAGCCGTAATCCATCTTGTTTCCCTCTTTGCTTTGGCTACTAGGAAGCTCAGAGCCAAATTTTGCAGCCTGCTTTCTGCAATCACTGGTTTATGTTTTGGCTTTATCTACTTCATCCTGATTTTGGATTTGTTTGTCTCTCATTTTTTTTCCCTTTGCCCTGAGCTTGCTCTCTGATTTTTATCTTACCTTACACATTCCTGAGAGTTGTCTCAGTTCTTGAGGGGCAGAATGGATCAGGCAGGAGCCGAGCAAAGGAAAACACTTGTTGCAAGATGCTTTCATGCACCATCCCCTGCACCAGCATTCCATAGGAGGAAACCAGAGGCTGGCCCTGTGGAGTGTCTTAACCAAGGTCAGACCCTGGGTGAGAACTGAGCACGGTTTTGGGGTCCGACTTGGGAAGATGACGGTGAGTGACTTGGATGGTGAAAGATGTCCCATTTGAGAACCGGATGGGGCCCTCGAGAACTGCTTGGCCTGAGGGAATGCCCTGGAGGTGGGGGGCTCAGCACTGTGGTACCCGGAGACCTCGGGATTGTTTTGGAGGCAATATTGCAAGTGCGTCTGAAGCCAAGGGACCTCTGGGCCATCTGGTTCCAACCTGGACTTGTGGCTGATGCTTCAGGTCCCCTGCTTCTCCTGCTGGCCTTTCTTTGCATCTGGAAAGGAAGTGGGGGGAAAGGTAAGTCAAAGGGTGGGCTGTTGGAGGTGGAATTGGACCAGACCCGGGTGACCAGTCACCACTGGCCTGCATGTGTCTGTGCGTATGTGCCTGCAGGCCGGGTGGCTCCTGGGGGTCAGTCTTTTCTGGGGTCCGGAGGCCCTCTCCGCCTCTTGTCTCCCAGGGTTCACTTGGTTTTCCGTGGCCTATATTTGCATTTTAGGGCTGATGAGTGGATCTGGGGGGACCCACAGGTCTGAGTGACATGGCCTTGGGCAATAATAAAGGCTCCACGCGGAGTTCCTCAGTTTCCCTGGCGGTGAAATGGGGTGATGAGTGACACGTGGCTCACAGGCTGTGAAGTGAAGGGCATTCAGGGGCCCGTTGGGGTGCAATTGTCCCTGCAGACCGTGTCGTAGCCCCTCTCCCTCCTGACTGTGACTCGTGGGCCCACGGCACTGACCCCAGGGTCAGGGAGGTGGACCCAGCAGTCTCCTTGCCATTGCTCAGGGATGTCCCAAAGGGACCTCGGATCCCACCTATGCAAAAGTGGATCATTGACCCCCGCATCCCCCAGGCCCCTGTTCTGGGCGTCCTTCTGGAGTGAGAGACGTGGTCCCAGCCACCTCTCGATGGCCCACCTGGGACTGCAGCCGCCTCCTGCCTGCTCTCTGGCTGTCATCCTGTACCCACAGTCCCCTCTCTGCAGGCAGCCCAGTGGAGCCACAGCAGCTAGAGTGACTTGACCTCATCAGCCTGCAGGGCTTCCCACCATTTCTTGAACAAAAATCAGAATCCTTCTTACAGCCAAGGAGGCCTGCACGCCCCCCATCTGCCCACCTGTGGCCTCCCCTTGGCTCGCTCCCCACAATTCTGTGGTGGGGCTGGGGAGACCTTGGGCCAGGTCTGGAGGGGGGGTGGGTGGGAGAGTTGATTTTTCTTTGTGACCCAGGGGATCTGTCTGGGGATGCTCTGAAGTCGTTAGTCCCAGAGGCCCAGACCCACAGGGGAGGGCCTCGAAGGACTCTGTTTGTCCTCACATTGAACTCTGCGGTACCTGCTGAGACCATCAGGGAGCATGGGCCCCAGTGTGGCTATAGTGTCTCGGTGACCATGGGAACCTGCCTGGTGCCAGCCCTGCTCCTGAAGCTAAAGAGGAGAGCCTGCCGGGTGGGGTTGGGGCCGGATGCAGCTCCAGGCCCTGGCCTGGGCTTTTCCCTAGGCTGGGCCAGGCCTGTCAGCATGGGGGCCTGCAGGGGATGTCGCCCTCTGGAGCCTGGCAGGAGTCAGGGGGCCTTTCCTGGGTCCTGGGGGCTTGGCCAGGTCCACAGGGTCAGGATTTGGGAGGAATTCTGTGTGGCGGTGGCTCCTGGGTGATGCCCACTGCTGGGTAAACCAGGGGAGGAAGGCAAGCGGGAGAAGTTGGGAGACACCTGCTTTAACCTGCCATCCCGCCCACCCACGCCATCTGCCACCCTCCTGGATATTTTTATTTTCGCATCGTCTGCCACTATCATCCCCTGGCCTAGGCTGCTGCATGTTGTTGGACAGTGCCTGTGCCACCTTCCCACCCATTCACGTCCCTCCTGGAACCTCAGGCTGTGACCTTATTTGGAAACAAGGTCTTTGTGGATGCGTTTAATTAAGAAGAGGTCATCCTGGAGCAGGGTGGGCCCTAAATCCAGTGGCCCGTGTCCTTATAAGAGGACAAAAAGACACAGAGGAGAAGGCCGTGCGATAATGGAGGCAGAGGCTGGAGCGATGTGGCTGGAAGCCAAGAAGTGCCAGGGACTGCTGGGAGGAAGGCTCAGGACAGACTCCCCCGCAGAGCCTCCAGAAGGAACCACCCCTGCCAACACCTTGATTTTGAACCTCTGGCCTCCCGAACTGTGACAAAGTAACAGTGGGTTGTTTTAAGTCCCCGGCGTGTGGAGCTTTGTTTACAGCAGTTCTAGGAAGGGAACACAGCTCCCATCACAGCTGGCTCTTCACTGGTCACCCTGAGACCCATCCCCCACGTGGCAGCCAGGGGGAGGCCTGTAAAACCCAGGGCAGGAAAACCCAGGGCAGGACAGTCCCGCTGCTGCTCTGAAAGCTGATTCCCTACCTGGGCCGTGAGGCTCTACCCTCTGCCCCGGCGTGGGCCGTCCTCTGCGACCTGCTCCCCTTGCCCGCTCTGTCTCAGCCACACCGGCCTCGCTGTTTCTCCTGAAATGCACCAGGCAGCTTCCGCCACGGGGCCTTTGCACTCACCCTGCCGGAGCACTCTTTCCTGGTATCCGCAGGCCTCGTCTCATTCCTTTGCCATTTTTCTCGGATTTTTTTTTTTTTTTTGAGACAAAGAGTCTTGCTCTGTTGCCCAGGCTGGAAGTACAGTGGCATGATCTCCATGCACCGCAACCTCTGCCTCCTGAGTTGAAGCGATTCTCCTGCCTCAGCCACCTGAGTAACGGATTATAGGCGCACATGGCTAATTTTTGTATTTTTAGTAGAGATGGGGTTTTGCCATGTTGGCCAGGCTGGTCTCAAACTCCTGACCTCAGGTGATCCACCTGCCTCGGCCTCCCAAAGTGCTGGGATTACAGGCGTGAGCCACCACGCCTGGCCTGATATTTTCATATTGAAAATTGCACCCTCTCCCCTCCCTCCCTCGGTTGTTTCCCAGTGTGCCACCTTCTGATAGATGATGGTTTCACACGTTTGTCATCTTGCTGTTGTCTGTCATCCCTGCGAGAATGGACGTTCCACAAGGGTGGAGACGTCTGTCTGTGTCCCAGGTTCTAGAGCAGTGCTGGGCACACTGTGGGTGCCTCGTAGATGTGTTGAGTGTTGGGCTCTGGCTGGGCATGGCCTTGCCTCGTGCCCTGGTGCCCGTTGGGAGTCCCAGGTTGTCCATCCATCCCTGTGACTGACACCTGTACCCTCCCTCACCTGTGGCCCCCTCCTGCTCCCGCAGAGCCTCCAGGTCACTGAGCCTGTGGCCATTCCCTCTCTGTCCCTCCCTTGGTGGCCGTGACCACCCCTTGCTAGCACTGAGCTTGGCCTCTGAGCTCCACGGGTGAACATAAGCCCACAGAGAGGCCCAGAGTGGCCAGGGTGTGGGAGAACCACGTTTTGCCTAATTCAGCCTTCACGCCTCCATTTCGCCATCTATAAAATGGGCATAATCAGATTCCTCGTCTCTCGAGGTTGTCTTGAGCGTTATGGGAGGTCCTACATGAAGGTGCTTATTGCCTGACGCTGGGAGCACAGAGAAGCCTTCCATGTGGGCTGGGCCAGTGCTTACTGTTTTCAGTTTGCCGTGTGGGTGTTCCCTTTGCCAATTTTTGGAGGAAGTTGGGGCATCACAACCAGGCGACCCCAGGGACCGGGGAGGGACTTTAAACCCGAGTTCCCATGGATGGGTGGCCCGAGACGGATCCTTCCTGGCCCTTGCTCCTCTCCCCAAGGAACCAAGTTCTGGGGGGTCCAAACCCACTGCAGCTTTCTGGGCGGATTCCCGGGGCCAGCAAGACTTGTCTGCTGTTTGGCAAGATAGGAGACCCTGGTGAACTCTGGGAATGGTGGGGGGCCCCTCTGCGTTTCTTCAGCAGAGTTCTTTCTGTCACTTTGTGCTCGTTTCCGCATCTGTAGAATGGGGGTAACTGCAGTCCCTGGTGCGTAGGGGAGTGGACGCTTGGGGGGACTGCTGTGGCGATGACACCCGAGCATGTATACATCCTGCGGACGTTGTCACAGCTGTCTGTGCCCTGGGGCTGGGTCGGGATGCCCCCGTGCCTGCCACTTGCTCGGGCTCCCTGGGCTTTGTGAGCTGTGCACACACTGGAGGGTATAGTAGGGAGAGCTGCTTCTGCAGGTGTCCTGGTGCAGGGGTGCCCCCTGCCCCAGCGTTGCTGTCTGGTGTCTGAGCAGGGAGGGGCAGAGGTGAGGGTGCTCCAGAGAGGGCCCTGAGCTGGTAGGATGCAGGCAAGCTCGCTTGGCACCACATGGGTTAGCTCATCTAAGCTTCACAATAACCCGGTGTGGCCAGAACTATTAGTTTCCCTGTTTACAGATGGGGACACTGAGGCACAGAGTGGTGATATCATTGGCTCAGGACACACAGCTCCTAAGCTCCTTGCTTGGTGGGCAGCTGTCATGGGCAGGGCCCATTGTGTGCTTTCATCCCTTTCCCCTGGACTGTGGTCCTCAGGAGTGACCAGGGACAGTCCTGGGTCCACCACGTGCCCAATCCTGGACATCAAAGCCCACGTCTCTGCCCTGACCCAACCCATTCCCCTCCGGGTCACCCTCGAAGGCTCCCAGGCTGCGGCCAGCTCTGCTGTGCAGGAAGCTGACCCTGTCTGTCTTGGCTTCTCCCTGCTCAGCTATAAATAGCAGCTGTAGCGGCGGGCAGGAAGCTGCATCTCCCGGCACCTGGGCCCTGGGCGCTGCCCCCTTGCCGCAGCGGCACCTCCCGGAACTGTGCGGCCCTCAGTGGGAACGTGGAAGGTGGAAGCGTGCTGCGCATCGGGTGTGTGCTCTCTGGTTTGCTGTGTGACCTTCAGGCTCTCGCTGCCCTCTCTGTGTCACAGCCCCCGTCCGTGGGTCCAGGCCGCCTCTGTGCTCGCGGTGCTGTAAGGAGTGCCTGGGGGTGCTTGGAGGTGCGGAGGGCACAGCATGAGGTTTGACATTGAGAAGGGGGCGCCTGGCTTTTGCCTTGGAGAGAGGGGAGTTGAGTGGGAGGGGGCACCGAGGGAACCTGGGGAGGGGAGCTTCCCAGAGGAGATATTCCCTGTCTGGATGCCCAGCTGGGTGGTGGGAGGCTGGAGGGCCATGACGATGTGGAACTGCCTGGAGGGCCCCAGACTGGGAGGTGGGCCATGGGGAGGGCACGGAGCCTTGGACACCCATCCCCACTGCCAGATTGCTGTGTGATTTTTTGCACAGCGTCTCTGGGACCTGTGAAATGGGAGTGATGCCACCTCGCGGCACCTCTGGCAGGAAAGAGACGCAAAAGGGCTTTGAAGCAAGGAAGGCGTTTTGTCGTGCCCTCGGTCATCTTTAAGCATCAGGAGGGTTCACGCTGCTCACGCCATTATGTGCTTATGGGGCAGGGCTCACCCTGTTCCTTTTTGGCCTGCCCCGGGGCCCTGGCTCCTGAGTGGGGGTTTGTGAGAGCGTAGTCACCAGGAGCTGCAGGGGAGGGTGCTGACCATGCCAAGGACATCCTGAGCAGCTTTGGGTGGCCTCTGGTTCCCCAGCTCCCCCACTCCCCATTTTGAGGGACACCAGCTGCGGAGTGGGGGCGCATGCAGCTCGGGCTCTTGGACGTCTCCTCCCGTGGGTGCCCCACAGCAGCTCAGCTCTACCCTGCAAAGCCTTCTGCAACCTGGCATGCAGGGACGTGAGGAAGCGTAGGTTTCAGCAGTGGGGGGATTTCTTATGGATCTTACTAGAGCATGGGCTGTACAATCGGGCCATTTGTGACTGGTCAGAAAAAAAACGTTGCTCAAAAGTATTGATAAGTTCTTTGTTGTTAATCTAGAGAGGGAAGTCTCTAGTGTTAGGCCACAGGGCTCTGTCTGATCACGTTTTCATCAGATGCTGGACTCTGCACTGCTGGGGACGTGTATTCACGTACAGGTGCTGGCACTGGTCATGCTCACCCATGCTGTGTAGCAGTGGAGAGACTGAGGCACGTGGACCCTGGGGAATCGCCTGTTGGGAGTTCAGAATCTGTGGGGTGGGGCCTTGGGAGTTCCCTAGAGGCCTAAAGATTTTTGTTTTTGAAGCCTGTGTTAAGCTGAGTAATGGTCCCCCGAACGATGTCCTAATTCTCAGAAGCTGTGAATATATTATTTTATGCTGCAAAGGGGATTTAAGGTGGCAGATGGAATTAAGGCTGCTAACCAGCTGACCTTGAGATGGGAGATTATCCTAGATTATCTGCCCGGGCTGGAGGTAATCACAGTGGTCTTTATAAGAAGGAGGCAGGAGGTCAGAGAGATTTGAAGATGCTGCGTTGCTGGCTTTGAGGATGGAGAAGGGGCCATTAGCCAAGGAGTGCAGGCAGCCGCTAGAAGCCATAAAGGGTGATGGACAGGTTCTCCCCTAGAGTCTCCAGACTGGATGCAGCCTACCGACACCTTGAATTTAGCTCTGTTAGATCCATTTCAGACCTTGGATCTCCAAAACTGTAAGGTAATAAACTTATGCTGGCTGGGCACGGTGGCTCACGCCTGTAATCCCCAGCACTTTGTGAGGCTGAGGTGGGAGGATCGCTTGAGGCCAGGAGTTCAAGACCAGCCTGGGGAACACAGTGGGACCCCCTGTCTCTATAAAAAACATAGAAAACTAGCTGGGCATGGTACCTGTGGTCCCAGCTAATCAGGGGACTGAGATGGGAGGGTCACTTGAGCTCTGGAGTTGGAGGCTGCAGTGAGCTGTGATCATGCCACTGCACTCCAGCCCGGGTGACCAAGTGAGACCCTGTCTCAAAAAACCAAAAAACCTCCTAACCCCCCCGAAAAAACTTGTGCTGTTTTAAGTCACCGAGTTTGTGGTCATTGTTACAGAGGATGCTTGCTGCCCCCACAGAGCCTGTGATTTCCCTGTGAACCAGCAACCGGGAACAGGGCCGTGGGTGATGTGGTCATGGAGACAATGGCTGCGTTCCTACCATTGGTGACCTTGGAATTAAGTGACCCCTCAGTTTCTTGACCTTGACCTGGGGGCTGTGGCTGAAGAGCACAGAGTGAAGAGAGAAACCTGCAAACGGTAAAGGGCTGTGCTAGTGAAAAGCAAAATGTAAAAGAAACACACAGAGGCAGAGAGACATTTGTGCTTTCTTTATTCTTTTCTCTTCTTTAGTGGTTTTTTTTTTTGAGACAGGGTCTTGCTCTGTTGCCCAAGCTGGAGTCCAGCTCCATTCGCAGCTCACTGCAGCCTCGACCTCCCAGGCTCAAGCAATCCTCCCATCTCAGCCTCCTGAGTAGCTGGGACTACAGGCACATGTCACCATGCTCTGCCAGTTGTTTTGATTTTTAGTAGAGATGAGGTGTCATTATGTTGCCCGGGCTGGTCTTGAACTCCTGAGCTCAGGAGATCCTCCTGCCTTGGCCTCCCAGAGTGCTGTGGTTACAGGTGTGAGCCACTGCACCCAGCCCCTTTTTACTTTTTCTTTTTTTTTAATCCCTTAAGTCCAGCTGGAGTACCTGGTCCCAATGGTTGACCAGAAAATAAATAAGTCCCCAGCATGTCTCATGACAAGCCACAGTTGATTTCTCCCGGCTGGGTCTCCCATGTGGGCTCTTGGAGCCGCGGCCTTTCCCAAGGGGCGGGTGTTCCGGATTCTCAGAACAGCAGGGCACATGCTGCTGCCTTCCAGCTTATTAAAAAGAGGAAGAAAACGGCCCGCGCCTCCTTCCCCCAGGCCTCTGGGCCTGCATGCAGAAACCTGAAGCCTGCAATTAAGTGAAACTCGATCCTTAGTGGGGAGAGGTTCTCCTGGGCTGCTGGAAGAGACTCCAGGTCCCAGACCCCGAGGAGGACCACTGGCTTGTCACAGACTATGTGGGGTCTTGGGGGCAAAGAGGCGGCCAGGGGAGAGAGGAGAGAGGGAGACCAGGCCGGCCGAGCCTTAGCCCAGGACACCAGACTCGGGGCTGTAAGCTAAGGTGGCTTTTGTTAAAAGAGAAAAAAATGACAGGTGACTTTCAAGTCACGGGAGCCCCCTTCCTGGAGGCCACCGCCTCTCACTGGGGCCTGGGCTTTTCCACGAGCCTCTGTGTATCGCTGCACGGCCTGGGAACCTGCCTTGTCTGTGGACACGTGGATCTGTGCGCGCTGCTCTCCTGTTTGCTACTGGGGGAGCCGTATGACTGCTAGTTTTGTAGGTCAAAAGTGGTCGAGTATTGACAGCTTTGTATATAATTCAGTGCAGTCGTTTTCTCGGCTAGACAAGCGGCAGACCTGAGTGGTTCCAGACACTTTGTTCTCATGCACCTTATCACATGACTCTGCCTCAGTTTCCTAATATGTAAAATGAGGACCTAAGCAGTCCTCACCTTCTAGGGTTGTTTTGAGAATTAGAAGGGTAATAGACACAGCATCCAGAACCGTGGCATTAGCTATCATTATTTTTATCTGTATGATTACAGGTTTTCACCATGTGCTGGTGCAAACCAGCTTTGATCCAGTTGGCTAATTTTAACTTCTTGTAGTATTTTGTCATGGGGATGTGACGTGAGCTTGGTGTGTTTCCTGGAGAAAGCTACTTGGTGCTTGCCATGGGAAGGGGCTGCCGGGGACTTTCTAGAGAGCACCTCTGGGTGCCTGGGTGCCGTGGCCAGTGGATTTGCCAGCTCTGGGCTTCTCCTGGTGATGCCAGGGGTGCTCCACGGGGGCTTTGCTGGGTCAGCCCTCTCTCCATTGAGGTGTGGGCCCCCCTGCCAGGTCCTAGTGGAGCCACCCAGGGCCAGGCTGGGCATGTGGTTTGGCAGCTGCTTTACATAAAAGACTGTTTTTGGTTTTTGGAAGCAGAACAAATGTGTTCTCTATAAGCTGGAAAATCAGGAAGGAAAAGCTTGCACATAAAAAATACAACCACGTTCCTACCCCCCAGAGAGAGACTGCCAGCCTCCTGGCCAATGTAGTTTCTGATGAAAAGGAACAGAGCTGTCCTCCCCCCCGTTCACCATCCTCCCCCTGCCAGTGGCTGCTGGGGGAAGGAGCTATGAGATATACAGATTGTGGAGCCCCCACTCTAGACCCAGTAGGTTAGACTCCTGAAGGATGGGGCAGGTATTTGGCAGCTGGGGTGGGGCTGTGAGTCAGTGGGACCTGGGTTCAGGTCCCGCCTCTGCCTTCCTTCCATTAGGTGGGGCAGGAAGCCTTGCCTCTCTGAGCCCTGTGACCTCGTCTTCTTGAATGTGTCCTGCAGGGAGGCCCTGCACACAGTGGGTGCCCAACTGACACTCTCATGCATTTGGTAAGAACGGCAGGGTTCTCAGCCTGGGCACTGTTCGGGTTTTGGGGGTTGGGTCACTCTCTGTTGCAGGGGCTGCTCTGGGCAACACCCCTGCTTCCATCCACCAGACCCCAGTAGCACCTCAGCCCCCTTTGCTGCCGCCAGAAATGCCTCCAGACATTGCCTGCGGTCCTCTGGGGGTCACAGTCACTCCCGCCAGACCCCTGCGATACAGGATCTTAGAGAGGGACCTCAGGAGGGGAGAAAGGTCCTGCGAAGGAGTTTTCCTCGGAGCTTGCGCCCAGCATGTAGATTTTGTTCATTCACATACTTGCCATAAGTACCTAGCGTGTACTTCCCCTAGGCAGGCGTGACACTCTGCCCATCCACCCCTGCCTTCCCAGTGGGATAGGGTGGTGACTCAAGGCCCCGTTCCTGCCGCCCTCTCTCCCTCCGTGAAACGTGATAAGGTTATCTTGAGGGGTTGCTGGTGATACGGCGAGGCGCTCTGTCACCTTCAGGCGGGCTGTTTTCTTTCTGGGCCTCGGTTTCCCCATCTGGAGAAGGGTGTTCGTAATAGCATTTACCTCCTGGGTTGCAGTGGGGAGTCAGGAGTCACTGTGGCTGTGATGATGAGCCCATGATGTGTGACCGCTTCTGTCCTGGGGCTCCCTCAGCCCGCTGTGCCCCGGCGCTGGGGCAGAAGCCCTTGGTACCTTCTCTGTGCCTGGCCTCGCGGGTGGGGGTTTCTACTGCAGGGGGCTCAGTTGCCTTCCTCCCCAGGCCCCCAAGGAGCCAGCTCAGCAGAGATCCCTAGGGGGATTAAGTGGGTTCATTTGATCCCGAACGTGAACCTGAGCAGGCGGCTTATCTCCTCGAAAGCCAGACGGGCAGTGGGCCACCCGGCCAAGCGGGGAGTGTGGGATTTTATCCTCCAGCCGCGGCCCTGCCCCTCCCACCGCCAGCCCCTCAGCTGCGTGCCTGCCTGTCTCAGTGCGGCACATGCCACGTGAATTCATCTGATCCTCTCGGTGATCTCGTGACCCAGCAACCATCATCATTGCCAGGCAAGCAGCGAAGGCTCAGAGAGGTTAGCTCCCTGGCTCAGCGCCACACTGCATCCCAACCACCCTGACAATATTTACCCCATAGACTTGGGAAATCCCCTCTACTCCTGGGCAATGAAATTCCTCCTTAATACAGACTAGACTCGACACAGAATTAACAACAACAGCAAAAATCTGTGCGGTGCCCCAACCGTCGGGTAAGGGGAAGCGGGGAAACGAGAGGGAGGAGTGGCTGGCTCCCACTCAGAATGAGTAAGCGTGGATTCGCGAGAAAGCAGATCAGAGCCCTGCAGTGCTGGGGGGAGAGGAGAGTGACATTTAAGAAACAGCTAGTATTTGGACTGGTTCTGGCAGGTTTTTTTGAATGGCCAGGTCATTTGAAAACTGTGTAGGGAGGGTGACTTTTATGGAGTAGGACTGTCCCAAAGGCCATGAGCCAGTCATGGGGCAGCCAAAAACATCCCTGGGGTGGGGACCCTGCCATGGAGATCCCCCGCCCCGCCCTAACAGCACAGAAAAAAATAACAGGAACAGTAAAGATAATATGCTGTTATTGTGAGATGGAATAATAATAAACAGTAACTATGTTTGGGGGGGAACAGCATTGCCATCGAGACCCTCTGTTTTCATATCAATAATAATGACAAAAAGAAAAGAATGGCAGACCAGGCACCATGATGGACCCCCACTCTGTCGCCGTCTGGCTTGGACGACTGCAGTAGCCTCTTCGGGGTCCCCAGTCCACTCTGGTCACACCTGTCTGGTCTCTGAGTTGCAGCCAGAGGGATCCCATCAGAAGGTCCATGAGACTCTGGCCCCACACTCTCCATTCTCTTCCCACTGCTCTGAGAATAAATTCAGAGGCCACCCGGGAGCTCCTCAGCCCTCACCGACCGCATCTGCCTCTGGGCCTTCGCGTTTGTTGTTCCCCCCACCTGGAATGCTGTTCCCTGCATATTGACACAGCTGGCTCCTTGCTGCCATTCAGGTCCCAGCTCAGTGCACGTTTAGGAGGCCTGATGTGATGTGGAGGAGAGTTAGAGTGGAGGAGAGGTCCCATAGGAGGGGACCTGCCCGGCCTGGGGCACCCCAGGCCCCTCTCTCCCACCAGCTGGCTCCTTCACCAGATTCCACATCATCATAGTTCTTATGGTTATTTTATAACCTTACAAGTTTTAGAATTATATCTCATTCTGTATGTGTATTTATATATATGTTGTTATATATATGAATATGTATTCTTTATAACACACTTTTCTCATATAAAAATATATGATTGGTCTCTCCATACAATGGAATATTATTCAGCCATGAAAAGGAATGAAGTACGGATGCATGCTACACTGCGGGTGAACCTTGAAACCATGATGCTGAGTGAAAGAAGCCAGACACACAAGGCCACATAGTGTACGATTCCACTTTCATGAAATGCCCAGAACAGGCAAACCCATGGAGACAGAAAGCAGATTGGTGGTTGCCAGAGGCTGGAAGGAGGGGACCTGGGGAGAACCTACTCCATGTTGATGGGGTCTCCTTTTAGAGTGATGAAAATGTTTTGGAATTAGATAGAGGTGATGGTCGCACAGCACTGGGAATGTCCTAAATGTCAGAGCTGCCTACTTTATAGTGGTTAATTTTATGTAATGTGAATTTCTTCTCCATTTGAAAAATGTGGGAACTAAAAAAATGGAGTAGTCCCCCCTTAATCTTGGGGGATATATTCTAAGACCCCCAGTGGATGCCTGAAGCTGCAGACAGTATGGAACCCTATATACACTCCATCTTTTCCTACACATACAGACCTATGACAAGGTTTTCTTTACAAATTAGGCACAGTGAGAGATTAACAACCATAACTAATAATAAAATAGGACAGGCCAGGTGTGGTGGCTCATGCCTGTAACCCCAGCACTTCGGGAAGCCAAGGTGGGTGGATCTCTTGAGGCCAGGAGTTCGAGACCAGCCTGGCCAACATGGTGAAACCCCGTCTCTACTAAAAATACAACAAAATGTAGCCAGTCGTGGTGGCGAGTGCCTGTAATCCCAGTTACTCAGGAGGGTGAGGCAGGAGAATCACTTGAACTTGGGAGGTCGAGGTTGCAGTGAGCCGAGATTGCACCATTGCACTCCAGCCTGGGCGACAGAGCGAGACTCCATCTCAAAAAAAATAAAAATAAATAAAATATTATAAAAAGACAATGTTAACGGTATGCTAGCATCACTACTCTTGTGCTTTGGGGCCATTGTTCAGTCAGATAAGGGCTACTTGAATACAGGCACTGCTCTACCATCACAGTTGATCTGATTCCCGGGATGGACACTCACAGGCAGGACCGTCTGCAGAGTGGGTCCTCCCGGGCAGAGGGAGGGGTCATGTCCTGGGCTGGACAGGACGCGACGGTGCAAGATCTCATCATGCTACTTAGAACAGCGTGCAATTTAAAACTTAGGAATTGGCTGGGCGCGGTGGCTCATGCCTGTAACCCCAGCACTTTGAAAGGCCAAGGTGGGTGGATCTCGAGGCCAGGAGTTTGAGACCAGCCTGGCCAACATGGTGAAACCCTGACTATACTAAAAATACAAAAATTAGCTGAGCGTGATGGCAGACGCCTGTAATCCCAGATACTCAGGAGGCTGAGGCAGGATAATCACTTGAACCCAGGAGGTGGAGGCGGAGGCTGCAGTGAGCTGAGGTCACACCACTGCACTCCAGCCTGTATAACAGAGTGAGAAAAACAAAACAAAACAAAAACCCAAAACCCAAAAACTTACGAATTGTTTATTTGTGGAATTTTCCGTTTGTTTTCAGACCACCATACTGAAACTGTGGAAAGCTGCCGTGGCTAAGCAGGAACTGCTGTACATATTTATTAAGCCCTTACTGTATGCTGGGCATTCACTCTTACTGTAGGCAGGCATTCGCTCACTGAGCCTCTGAGTCAGCCCTGTGAGCTGAGTTTCTATTTTACGGCGAGGAAACAGGCAGGCTCGGAAGGGTTAAGCCACGTGCCCAGGGTCACAGAGCTAGAAAGCAGTGCAGCTAGGTTTTGAACCCGGGTCTCAGACCCTATCCTGAGATCACGAGACCTGTGCTCTGTGGCCTTGCTGCAGGCTGAGCCCTGCAGGGAGCAGAAACAGCCTGTGCCTGGGATGGGTCTCTCCTGCCTGTCTATGCTTCACCTATGCATACCCCTGAACTGCTGCCCCAGGTAATGTGTGGCTTTGCATGTGTCCTGGGTGACACGGAGACTCTGAGGTGGGGCCAGTTCACAGCTCTGCCTGTGTGCATGGAACTTTGCTCATCTGCCGGGCCCAGAGAGGGTCCCCAGGCTGAAAGGCTGTTCCACGCCACTCGTCCCCCACCCCCACCCTCACCCTGACCACAGAAGCAAGAACTTCCCAGCACGGGGCGGCGCAGGGAAGCAGCGTGGCTCACTCTGTGGAGTATGTGGGGCCACTGGGCTGTTTCAGTTTCTGCTGCGTTTCTTGCTCTGACTCAGGGCCCTGACCCCAGCCGGGCCACTTGGGCTTCTGAACGCCTGCTGGGCTGAGCTGAGCTCACCGGTACATGAGAAAGATCCCGGGCTGAGCTGCCCTTGCCTGGCGTCTTTGGGCCTTGGTTTTCCCATCTGTGTGGTGGGGGCTTCGAGGGTCCCCGTGTGTCGGTGGGTTGGTGTGGAGGGATTGGGTGTGGACACCAGGGGCTGAAAGCTGATGGGGACCCATGGGGAAACCTGTGCCTCGGACCCCTCCAGACCAGAGGCTCCTGCAGAGCCCTGCCCATGGAAGATCTGGGTCAGGGGCTGCCTTGTCTCTGGGTGCTTCTGTTGTCACTGGCCTCTGGCCCCAGCCTGGTGGTCACCAAAGCCTATGTTTCCCCTGGGCCTGCTGCGGAGGTGGGAGGCAGGGAAGGTGGGCTCTTATCCAGTCCTCTCATCGTGGCCCTCCGAGACTCTGCTCCCTCCCCCTGGGCCCCGCTTCTGGGTGTTCGAGGTGCTGGGGACATTGGTGTCTCAGTAGGGTTGCAGGCTGGCAAGGGGCCCTGGGGAGGTGGCCTGGTGAACCCCGATGGTGAGCTTCAACTGAGCACTGCTGGGTGCCAGGTTGTAAATTTCTCTTCAGAGTAGCCCCTGGCATCATCCCCGTTTTACAGATGGGCACACTGAGGTTCCGAGAAGCAAGGCACCTTCCTCAGGCTTTAAAAAATGACAGCACTAGGGCTGGAGCGGGAGCCAGCCTGATTTTAGCCACCTAATATAATTGCCTCCGTTTCACCGAGAGGAAACTGCCTCTGCGAAGTTGAGCAGCACACACAGGGGTCGCAGTCTCCTGCCAAGATGAGATGGCTCAGGGATTTGATCTGGGTCTCAGGCCCATTTGGGGCCCACCGGGGACTCTGTATGTCAGCCCCACTTGTGCCTGGCTGTCCCCTCCTGTGTGTGGGCACCGGCTGAATGGTGGAAGCAGGTCCCTCCTGGGAGCAGGTCACGGGTGCTGGGGCTGCATCCCTGACCTACCCTGGGCCCGGGCGGGTGTGGAGGCAGAGGAGGATGTCCTGGGGGTTTGAGTGGGGGCGGAGCCTGCTTGTGAGGTGGAAGGTGGGGCAACTGAATCAGTGTGGGCCACCCTCCCACCCTGAATATCCCCAGGCCCTCGTGACAAATCTCTTTCACCATCTCTTGACCCAGCAATTAATTGCTTCTGGCGGATGGTGCCCCCGCCCTCCAGGGAGCTTCTAAAGGCCAGACCCTGCTCCTGGGCGGGCAGCCCGGGGCAGAGGCTGGGGAGAGTCTGCAGTGGTTTTTCTGTTCAGCTGCAGATTCAGGGGTCCCCAGGCCAGGCAGCCTCTCTGGGAGAAGCCAGCAGCTGACATTTTGGGGTACTTGCTCTGCCTATCTGTGGGGCTAAACCTGAGTTCATCTACAGCATACTGTGAGGCAGGTGTTGTGATGTTCCTCTTTTACAGACAGGGTCACTGCGGGGCATAGAGAGGTTTCCCGAAGCTTCCATCTCATCCAGCAGTCTCCAGTGCACCCTTTCCATTCATCTCCCTCCCCGCTGGGGCTCCCCGGGCAGGGGGTGCCGGGCAGAGGCGGCGTCGCTGGTGCTGACTGACGCTGAGTGTGGATCCCAGTCCTGGGAACTCTCTGGGAGGGCTTTCTTGCCTCACTGCCTCCATCTGCACAGGGGGAGGATGTGGGGCGGTTGTTAAGAATTAAACGAGTTAATCATCGTAAGGGGCTTAGCATTGTGCGGAGGCAGCGAAACCCTGAGCTTCAGGCACCGAGGGGCTGTCGGTGCCTGTGAGGGTGAGGGGGCTGGACAGACAGGTGGACGGACAGCTGGCCTTTCCGTGCTGCCGCGTGGGGCCTCCGCGGCCTCCCGGCCTGGGCTGCGCTCCCTGCCCTGTCGTGGCCCGTGCTTGGCCATGAGCCAGGCTGCTGCCACCCCGACAGAGCCCGCGTCCCCCTTCCCTCCCAAAAGCGGTCGATACCCCGGCTCCTTCCTGGCCTCTAATTGCTCCTGCCGGCTGCTGTCTCTGATGGCGGCCCCACACCCCGCAGCGAGGAGAGGGGCGGCGAGGTTTCTGGGAAGCCTAGTCCCTGCTAAATCCACGGCGCTGTCGGGGTGGAGAATGGAGTGGCCGAGGGCAGAGGGTCAGATGCTCGGGGTCCCGTCTCCCCGCCCCTCACTGGCTGTGTGACCTGGGGCAGGTAACCCCGTGTGGGTCTGTTTCCCCACCCCTGAAACAGGGTCCGGACAGTGGAGATGCACGTGGCCTGGCAGGAAGTGAGGGCTGTTATTATTGTGATGATCGTTGTCATGGTTTTTTGCAGCGGCTCCTCCCCAGTCGCTATGCCCGGTGTCAGTGCAGCCTTCCTTGTTGGGAGCAGACAGGTGGCCCTGGGGCTGGGGCGCGTTCCTGGGCAGGGCACGGGGTTGCTCCTCAGTCCCCCTCTGGACGGGGCTGCGGCCCATCCCCACCTCCCTACTGATCCCATTGCAGGCCCTGATCACTCACATCCATGCTGCCAGCCCCCTTGGCCTTGGTCTGGTGGCCCTTGCCCTAGCTGGTGGAGGAGGGATGGGAGGGAGAGAGGCTGTGACCCCCATCTTCGCCCACCCACCCGCCCTTGGCTGTTGCAGTCCAGTGGGGACTGAGACCTTGGTGAACTCTGGGTGGCTGCCTCTGCAGATTCCAGGAGGGCTGGCACGGGGCAGGCTGCCTCAGCTGTCCCTGGAGAAGGAAAACATATCCCGGCGGCTTCTCAATGGAAGGGCTGCGGAGCCTGCCTCCCTCCCGCTCTGGCTGTCTGGACTGCTGGCTACCACAGGGACGGGGACCAGGTGACACCACTGCAGGAGACAGGGGAGGCTCCTTGTTCACCCCGTGTGGGAAGATGTATCCGGTGGACCCCGGCCGGCCCTGGGAGGGCGGTGAGCCGCCTCCATGTCTCACGGCACCTAGGTTGTGCTGTGCTGGAAGTCCCCAAACTCCAGCCTGCAGGGAAGGCTTCTGGGAGTCATGCCTGCCCCTTGGGGGCCAGGGTCTGATCTGTGGGTCTGCGGGGTCCAGTTTAGAGCTTCTGCGGAGCACGCCCCGAGGCTGGCTCATGCTGGCCTGGCAGGTTCCTAGGGCCTGGGACGGGCGCTGAGGGTCTTGGCCTCGGTGCCCAGGGCAGAGGTGGCCTGGAGTGGAGCCTGGGCTGCTGTCGCCCACCTCGCCCATCTCTGTGGGCCCTGTGGGTGCTCAATCAACACCCGTCCTTCTCCCTTCTGGAAGATGTCCCTCATGTGGCCCTGCCAAGGGTGTGGCTGTTGTGGCCGGTGTGGCCGCTGGTCAGGGGAGGCTGGGCTGAGAGGGAGGATTTATACTGAGCCCTGGGCTTGAGTAATCATGGGTCCTGGAGGCACAGGAGCCCCGAGGCAATGGCCCGCCCTGTTCCTGTGGCTGCTGCAGGTCTGGTGGGAAAGGCTCCAGAGTCCAGACACCAAGCCCTTGCCCAGCATTGAGGCTGGAGCCCCACAGTTCTGATCCTCCATGCAGGAAGAGGCTGAGGCTGGGTCTGGGAGGGCAAGAGGTCGATGCCTCCATGGAGCCCTCAGGGATTGACCCAAAGGTGTCCTCGCTGGCCCTGCCCCACACTGTTCCTACTCAGTTATGTGTTCCACTGGAGCACGTGGCTCCCCTCCTGTGGCCAGGAACACAGCCCCCATCCCCTTCCAGCTCTCCACTCCCCATCCCCCTCCAACTCTCCACCCCCTCCCCCTCCAGCTCTCCACTCCCCACCCCCTCCATCTCCACTCCCCACCCCCTCCATCTCCACTCCCCATCCCCCTCCATCTCCACTCCCCATCCCCCTCCATATCCACCCCCATCCCCCTCCATATCCACCCCCATCCCCCTCCATCTCCACTCCCCATCTCCCTCCAGTTCCACTCCCCATCCCCCTCCAGCTCTCCACTCCCCACCCCCTCCATCTCTACTCTCCATCCCCTTCCATCCTCACCCCCATCCCCCTCCAGCTCCATCCCCACCCCCCCACCATCTCCACTCCCCACCTGCTCCATCTCCACTTCCCATCCCCTTCAATCTCCACTCCTCATACCCCTCCATCACCACTCCCCTTCCCTCTCCATCTCCACTCCCCACCCCTCCATCTCCTCCTCCATCCCCTTCCATCTCCACTCCCCGTCCCCCTCCAGCTCTCCACTCCCCATCCCCCTCTAGCTCTCCACTCCCCACCCCATCCAGCTCCACTCCCCATCCTCCTCCAGCTCTCCACTTCCCATCCCCCTCCAGCTCTCCACTTCCCATCCCCTCCATCTCCACTCCCCATCCCCCTCCAGCTCTTCACTCCCCATCCCCCTCCATCTCCCCCATCCCCCTCTAGCTCTCCACCCCCAGCCACTTCCATCTTCTCTCCCCATCTCCCTCCATCTCCACCTCCATCCCCCTCCATCACTGCTCCCCATCCCCCTCCATCTCCACTCCCCATCTCCCTCCAGCTCTCCACTCCCCATCCCCCTCCAGCTCTTCACTCCCCATCCCCCTCCAGCTCTCCACTCAATCCCCCTCCATCTCCACTCCCCACCCCCTCCATCTCCACTCCCCATCCCCCTTCATCTCCACCCCATCCCCCTCCATCTCCATTCCCCATCTTCCTCTAGCTCTTCACCCCAGATCCCCCTCCAGCTCTCTACTCCCCATCCCCCTCCATCTCCACTCCCCATCCCCCTCCAGCTCTCCACTCCCCACCCCCCTCCAGCTCTCCACTCTCCAGCCCCCTCCATCTCCACTCTCCATCCCCTTCCATCTCCACCCCCATCCCCCTCCAGCTCTTCACTCCCCATTCCCCTCCATATCCACCCCTCCACCTCCCATCCCCCTCCAGCTCTCCACCCCCATCCCCCTCCATCTCCCCACTCCCCATCCCCCTCCATCTCTCCACTCCCCACCCCCCTCCATCTCCACCCCCATCTCCCTCCAGCTCTTCACTCCCCATCCCCCTCCAGTCCACTCCCCACCCCCCTCTAGCTCTCCACCTCCCACCCCCTCTAGTTCTCCACCCCATCCCCCTCCAGCTCTTCACTCCCCATCCCCCTGCATATCCTCCTCCCATCCCCCTCCATCTCCACCCCCATCCCCCCATCTCCACTCCCATCCCCCTCCAGCTCCACTCCCCATCCCCCTCCAGCTCTCCACCTCCATCCCCCTCCAGCTCTACTCCCCAACCCTCTCCAGTTCTCCACTCCCCAGCCCTCTGGCTGCCCCAGCTTCTCTAACCCTCTGATCTGGTTCTTGCCCCTGGGCCTTTGCACAGGCTGTGCCTTCTGCCTGGAGTGCTCTTTTTTCCTTCCTCATGGACACCTGTTCCTCGGCCCTCTGTGCTTGGCTCCAGTGTCTCCTCCTGCAGGGGGCCCTCCCTGCCCTCCCTGCCCTCCCTCCCACCACTGCTGGGTCGCCATGGTTTATGTCCGTCACTCCAGGGGCCACTCTTTGCAATCACCTTGCTCACTTATGGGTGTACCGGAGGGTGTTTGGGTGTGTGTGTGTGTGACCTTGGCCCCTAAGACCCTCAGCTTTTGTGTTCGCAGTCATGCCCCTGTACCTGGCAGGTAACAGGGGGTCTGTCCCCTCTGTTTGTTGAGCAGCTGAAGGTTGATGGTGTCCTGGTCGAGGCAGGTCGAAGCTGCCTCTGGGTTTGAATGTCGGCTGGCTCTGCCTCTTGCAGCTGTGTGGCTGTGGGTGGTGGCTTCCCATCTCTGGGTGTGGCGAATGGACGAGTCAGGTTGGCCTTTGTGGCTGGGGTGAGCCAGGCGGGCTTCCTGGAGGAGGAAAAGATGGTGCTTGTTCTGGTTCCAGCAGGGTGGAGAGCAGGGTGACGGTGCGTTTGGTAGAGTTGAGGGTAAAAGCCAACGCCAGGAGGTGGGCTTGTTTGGGAGCTGACAAGGGGGGTGCTGGCAGGTGGGGGCAAGTCTCAGCCTGTGGGCCATGCGTGGTCATGGTGGGCTTGGCAGAGGGGAGCCTTGGAACTGGTCCTTGCTCTCCCCGTGCATCTGCTTTGCCGGGAGACTAGCCTGGCCAGCCCCAGGGGCGCGAGGATGGAGGCCCGGCCCTTCTTCCAGCTGTGGGTGGACTGAGCTGGTGGCTTCAGAGGAATGGGGGGTGCCCGGGTTCCCCCAGCCTGCCTGGGAGGGTGAGGGGGAGCGTGGGAGCTTGCTGGGGGACAGTGAGCATGAAGGAGCTGGTGGGATGCTGTGCGGGGAGGGCCCACGGAGCCGGCCAGTGGGCCTGGGCCTGAGCTGGAATGTGTGTGGGTGGCCCCGAGCCGGTGAGTGTGAACCGGGTGTGCACGAGTGTGAATGAGTGTGAATGTGAGTGCAGCAGAGTGAGCAAGTGCGACTGCGGCCTTGAGCGAGTGAGTGGTGGGTGTGAGCACAGGGGAGCGTGACACAGCGAGTGAGACCTGCTGCTGCGGGGCTGAGCTGGGAGACGCCCGGCCCCGGGAAGCCCTGACGGGGGCGGCTCTGCCGGGGAGGCGTGGGGCTCAGTCCACACTGTGGCCCACATGCCCTGGCCGCTCGCGGGCAGCCTGGGCTGGAGCAGCCTCGACTCCACGCTGCCAGCCCTGTGCCCTGGTGCCCTGGCTCCCCATGGCCCAAGCACTTGGTCCTGGGTTTGGATCCTGGCTCACTCCCTTCCTTGCCACGTGGCCTTGGGTGACTCCTCCCTCAGAGCAGCAGTTTCCTGGCCAGGGACACGGGATGGCTGTGCCCCTGAAAGGGTCCTGTGCAGGAAGTGGATGTTGTCACCCTCTCCTTCCCTCCCCGACTAGCTCTGCCCAGGGTCAGAGAGGAGGAGCGGGCCTCTTGATTCTCACCATCGCTTGCCTGCCTTTCGGACTCTCTAATGCATGATGCTCTCCATGCCAGCCCCTCTCCCACCTCGCTGCGCCCAGCCTGGCCGCCCGCCACATCACTCTCCTGGACTGGCACAGTGGCCTCTCCCTTGGCTGTGGCTTCTGCCCTCACCCGCGCTCCACGGCCAGATGCATCTCCACTTTGGAGTGGGACCTTGCCCCTCTGCAGCTTGCGTAACCCTCCTAAGGTTCTCTGCTCTGGAGATAAAACCCATCTGCAGAACCCTGCGTGACCCGCCCCTGCTGCCTCCAGCCCTCCTCTCTCTTCCTCTCCCCCTGGCTCTGCTCCAGCCAGGGCCCTGGGTTCCTTCCCACCTCAGCCCAGTCCTCGCTACCCCCCTTGGCCCCTCAGTCATCTCCCTGGATTCTGGCCAGTGTGACAGGTTGCCTGTCCTGGGAAGTCCCTGCTGAGTTTTCTAAATTGGGAACCCCTCTTTGGACCTATGTGTCACTCCATTACTGCTGGGAGATTCTCTGTTTCCCTCTGGACAATGTGACCTTGGGGCCAGCCCCCACTGGCCTTGACCCCATGCCACCGGGACACCCTGGGACTCTGTCTGTTGGGGATTGCAGGCTGAGCTGGCTGGGGTTGGGAGCAGGTTAGGAGAAGATGGGGTCTGATCTCCCAGCTGTCTCTCCCAGGTGGAGGTTGAGAGCTTCTTGGTGCCCAGGGAGAGCGCCTGCCAGGCCTGGCTCTGCCCTAGCCTGTGACGGGACGTGCTGCAGGTGGCTGGCCACCGAGGCTTCCGGGAGCTGGGGAGGGCGGCTGTGAAGATGTGCCCGGGCCCTCCCTGTTTCCAGCCTTCCTGCAGGGCCTGTCTCTGGAGCTGATGCAGATGGCAGGACCAAGTGCCAAGCCTGGGGGCATCATAGTGAAAAAAACGCTTAAAAAAGAAAAAAGGGCAGGAAAGAAGTGGCTGGCTTGTCCCCCTGTGAGCTGCCCGCAGCTGCCCTTTCAAAGGCTCCCTCCTTGGGGCCTGAGGGCCTGCCAGGCACTGGAGAGGGCTGGCCTCTCGGAGCTTGGCTGCCAGCCCCTGGGTGGGGGTAGGAGTCATGTCCAGCAAGAACTGAGCACTCGAAGTGGCACACACTGGAGTGGCACACACTGGAGTGGCACACACTGGCACTGAGGGCACTTTACACTCACAACATTCCTGTGGGGTCAGCATTTTTAAAATGATCGTTTCCATTTTAGAGATGGGGAATCTGAGACTCAGAGAGGTGAAGTTGCTTGTTCCAAGTTGCACAGCTAGGAGAGGGTGGAGGCCAGATTGGAACCTGGGGAGCCTGGCTTCAGAGCTTGAGCACTGCACACAGCTGCTCCCTTGTGGGAGGGGGCAGCCCTGGCCTCACCAGTCCCCGATCCCTCAGCTTTGGCACGAGGTGGAGAAGGGGTTTCCCAGAGGTCCGTTGAGACTGACTGTCCAGTGCTCTGCCCTCTGTACTATTTTTTACTTGTTCTTTTCATGCAGAAGTTAACACGATAAAGAATGTATAAACCCCTCAGTGCAGATTAGCGAACAATTATAAAGGGGTCACCTTGTAGACATGGGCTGCCTTCTCCCTAGAGGTGATTGGCGTCCTAACATTTGTGGGAATCACATTTTTTTTGTTGTATTTGACTACCTCTGCAGGCCTCTTTACAAATGTGAAAGTTGTTTTGTCTTCCCCAGAATCCTATCGTGGAACCATAGAGTCTGCAGCCTTGAATCTGGCTTCTTGGACACAGCCTGAGTCTCAGATTCCTCCCTGTGGTCCTGTGTGTCTGCACTTGGTTCCTCTTGATTGCAGAGTCATATGGCATGGATGTACCACTGTTTATCCGTTCACCTGTCGATGGACCGTTGGGTTGTTTTCAGTTGTTCTGCGATTGTGCATAAAGCTTCAGTGAACATTTGTGCGCGAGTCTGTGTGGCTGTTTTCATGTCTGTCTGACAAAGTCCTAGGAGTTGAATTACTGAGTCATATGGCAAGCATGTGTTTAACTATAAGAAATGGCCAAACTGTTTTTGCAAAGTAGTTGCTCCATTTTGCATCCCGTCGGCAACGGGTGAGGGTTCCAGGTGCTCCTTGTTCTCACCAGCACTTGATGTTGTCTGTCTCATGTTTGCCATCCCTATGGGTGAGCAGTGGTCTTTCGTGGTTTTAATTGCCCTCTCTTAAGGACTGATGACGTTGGGCATCTTTTCGTGTCTTATTGGCCATGTGTATGTACTCTTTGGTGAAGCGTCTATGTTGTCTTTTGCCTGTCTGCTGTTGGACTGACTGGCTCATATTGATTTGTGGGTGTCCCCTCTGTATTCTGGGTACTAGCTATCATTGCACTACTTTTGACTTTGTATGGTAACTCAGAAATTCTTAAATGAGGCTGGGCACAGTGGCTCGCACCTGTAATCCTAGCACTTTGGGAGGCCAAGGCAGGAGGATTGCTTGAGCTCAGGAGTTTGAAACCAGCCTGGGCAACATGGTGAGACCCTGTCTCTACAAAAAAATACAAAAATTAGCCGGGCATGGTGGCACGTGCCCATAGTCCCAGCTACTTAGCAGGCTTAGGTGGGAGGATCGCCTTAGGGTTGGGGCTGCAGGGAGCCATGATTGCACCCCAGCCTGAGTGACAGAGCGAGACTATATCCAAAACAAAAACAAAAACAAAAACACTCCAAAATACCAAACAAACAAAAATAAATTCTTGCATGAGAATAGTAGACACCCCCACCCCCGGACCCCATCCTTCAGGTGTCCGTCGACCCATCTCCCTGTTTGTGGGGTCCTCTGGGTAGTTAATGGGGCAGTTTCCCAGTAGCCTAGCCGTGTGGCCCGGGGCCCCTCGGTGGTCTTGCCAGGGTGTGGGATGCCTTTAAACCCACACATCTGGGATTGAATCACAGCTCCGTCACTTCCCGGCTCTGAGAACCTGGGCATGAGATTTGATTGTCTGAGCGTCAGTCTCCCTCTCTGTCAAATAGGTAGCAGTACCTGCCTCACAGGGTTCTCATGGAGAAATACTTGGCCCAGTGCTTACGACACATGGGCCCTGACGGCAGACATGGTCTTTTTTCCTGCATGTCGGTGTCGTCATGCCAAACTGCATACATGCGATGTCAACTAACAAAACCCGTGTTTTGTCCGCAGGTCTCCCTGAGTCTTTGAGGACACAGCCTCGCTGGAGGCAGTTTCTGGTAGGTTCATGTCTGTCTCCACTTGGTGTCCCCAGGAGGTTCATCCTGCCTGGACTTTCTCACGGGAAGTGGGTCTGGAATTACTCGGAGCCAGGTTCGGCCTGGAGTGTGTGGTGGGGGCCTCGGGGGGCGTGTGGGGTCTGGCACATCAGAGCTGTCCAGGGCAGGGAGCAACTTAGGGCAGTTTGCGGGGTCCCCCAGTGATGGGCCGTTTCCTGGCTGAGTTGGTGCAGTGATTTTTTGATGACACCTGAGAGGTGGGAGGGTCCCTGACAGTGTCAGTGTCAGGAGGGTGGGCTTCCCCGGGCTCCGGGGTTCTTGGTCACATTGCTTTTGTGCTTTGGCGGTGGGCCCGCAGGTTTGGCCAGGGTGGGGCCTGTCGATGGGCCCAGGTGTTCGGGTGTTGGGTGCTGGAGGAAGCCCTGAGGCTGAACCACCACTGTGGTCCCCATGCCTAGCAGGCAAAGAGGTGGCCTGGGTCCTGGTCTTATCACTGCTACTTCTGTGCTGGGCACTGGGGCCAGGTTGCTTTATCTCTCTGTATCTCTGTTTCTCCATCTGTAGACTGGGCGGGGAGGCAATAACAGTTTCCCCTTATAGGGTTTTGCTGCGGTGATTAATGCTCATAGAGAGCAGTGCCTGGCCTGAGAAGGTGCCTGGTGAGTCATAATCACAGGTCGTGCTTTTCACAGGTCACCCCATTTTGTGACCCTCACAGCAACACTCCAGAATGGGTGGTGCCTCATTTTACAAGTGGGGAAACTGAGGCACAGGTTGGTCACCTGTCCCAGATCTTTCAGCTGGAAGCAAAGAGCCAGAAGCAAAGAACCCCTTCTCACCCTTCCCAGGGAATGCAGCAAGTTTCTCCCGGAGTGCTCATTTCCCAGCCAGGCAGATGGTCGCTGAGGGCATTGCAGGGCTCGTGCGCATGGAGGCTGGGGCACATGGCGGGCACACAGCGTGTTCTGGCTCATGACAGGCTGTTGTCGGGAGATTTCATTCTTGTTCCAAATACAGTCATGTGCTGCATAACGACATTCTGGTCAACGATGGACCGCATATATGACAGTGGTCCCATAAGATTATAATACCACATTTTTTTTTTTTTCGAGACAGAGTCTTGCTTGGTTGCCCAGGCTGGAGTGCAGTGGTGTGATCTTGGCTCACTACAACCTCTGCCTCCAGGTTCAAGCTATTCTCCTGCCTCAGCCTCCTTAGTAGCTGGGATTACAGGCGTGCGCCACCACGCCTGGCTAATTTTTGTATTTGTAGTAGAGATGGGGTTTCGCCATGTTGGCCAGGCTGGTCTCGAACTCCTGACCTCAAGTGATCCTCCTGCCTCGGCCTCCCAAAGTGCTGGGATGACAGGTGTGAGCCACCAAGCCCAGAGAATACCACATTTGTACTGTTCCTTTTCTGTGTTTGGATACCTAGTGTACCACTGGGTTCTAGCTGCCTGTGGGAGTCAGTCCAGCCACACGCCGTACAGGTGGTAGCCTGGGAACCGTCGGCTACACCAGGGTTGTCCAATCTTTTGGCTTCCCTGGGCCACATTGGAAGAAGAATTGTCTTGGGCCACCCAGAAAATACACTAGCACTAATGATAGCTGATGAACTAAAAAAAAAAAAAAAATCACAAAAAGGTCTCATAATGTTTTCAGAAAGTTTACAAATGTGTGTCAGGCCACATTCAAAGGCATCCTGGGCCGGGGTTGGACGAGCTTGGATGACACCACACAACCTGGGTGTACCGCTGGCACTGAGGTCTAGGTTTGTGCAAGTCCACCCCCATCGTGCTCCCACAGCCACAGCACCAGCTCCCGTGCGTTTCTCAGAACGTGTCCCCGTGGTTAAGCAGTACATGACTATATATTCGTTTATGGAATGGCTCTTTCTAAAGCACCTACTGTGTGCCAGGCTCTGTTGTGGGTGCTGGGAATAGACCTGTGGACAAGACGGCCAAGCACCTAGTCCTCCCTGCGGGGAGACAGACCATGACCAAAAGTCAGTAAGTGCGACGCTTAGCGGGTCTCTTGGTGGTGAGCACCAGGCTGAGGAACAAGTGGTGAAGGGGTCTGGGGAGCCTGTGGGTGGGCTGGGGGTTGCAGTTTCAAAGTGGGGGTCAGGGTAGGCCTCCCTGAGAAGGTGGCCTTTGAGCAAAGACCTGAAGTAGGGGAGGAAGGAAGCATGTAGGTATCTGGGGGAAGGGTGACCCAGGCTGAGGGAACAGCCCTGCCAAAGCACTGAGGCAGCTTGGAATGGGCCTCCCGGGTTGCGCGATTCTGAGTTACCTCGGGGGAGTTTTCCTGGAGGAGGCCTCTTTACTTCTTCCTGAGCCTTTGGGGGCCCCCCACTAGGCAGGAGGGAAGATCAGCCCTGCAGGTCATCTGCTTCCTGGGGCTGGGCCTTGGGCCCTAAGCCCTGGGCCTCACAACCAGGTTTTGTCTTGGAGGGAGCAGGGGAAGGAGGATTGGGATTTGGAGGTAGGAGAAGGAGGAGTGGGACTGGGGTGGGGGAGGAGGAGTGGGATTTGGAGGGAGGAGGGGAAGGAGAAGTGCGATTTGGAGGTGGGGGAAAGAGGAGTGGGATTTGGAGGGAGGGGGGAAGAGGAGTGGGATTTGGAGGGAGGAGGGGAAGGAGGAGTGGGACTTGGAGGGAGGGGGGAAAGAGGAGTGGGATTTGGAGGTGGGGGAAGGAGGAGTGGGACGGTGGCGGTCCCCCACAAAGTGATGAACTCAGCAGGGCTTTCTGCCTAGGCTCATGGGGCTTTGAAGTTGGAAGGAAAGCGGCCTGGTCTGGGCTGTTTTTCCCAGCCTCCTCCTCCTCTGCCTCTCTGTCCCCCGTCCATCGGCGTCTCCGTCTCCGGCCTAATGGGGAGCCTTCCTCCTGTGGCTGAGTTATCTGCTTGTCATGCCAGTGGCCCACCCGAGGACGATAAAAGGGCTTTTTGTCTGCAAGCACTTAGCTTCCTCTGCCGGGGCGATCCATCACATCTGAGGGAGGCCGGGAAGGCAGACAGACGGTGGAGTGGGGCCTCCTCCTCCCCTGCTGAGGGAACCTGATGCTCCCAGGAGCCCCCTTGCAGGACCCAAGTGGCTCCTCAGCCCGAAGGCAAGGCCTGTCTGGGGGCCAGCAGGGGTGAGTGGGAGTGGGGCCATGGGGGCACATTGAGGCAGGCAGATGCTCTGCACTCCCCTGACAGAGGACAGACGCTGCCCGGATGCCCTGCCCCACCACACCCACTTGGCAGCTCTGTGGGGCCCCTCTGGGACCCTCCATGCTGGAGAGGGTGGGTGGGGGGTGCAGCCTTTTCTGAGTAAGAACCGTGATGGTAGAAGGGGGCATGGGGGAGACAAGGGGGGACAGACCTCAGGGCCGACACTCGCTATGCGTGCACTAAGCACTTTGTGGAATTACCTCCTTAAATCTCAGGGCGACCCTGGAGGTGGGCACCGTCCTTATCCCCATTCTCCAGATGAGGAAACTGAGGTACAGGGAGGCGATGTGGCATCCCCAGGGTGCAGCAGCAGAGGGAGGGCTTGGCTCCAGGCTCCCAGCGGTACACTCTTCCCTGCGGACCTAGGACCTTAGAAGGGGGCTGTGGGAGCCCCTGGCCCCAAAAGTGGGTTGCCCGTGACTCGAAACTCTGTGAGTGGATTCTTCAGCTGGGAGTGGGGTGGGGAGGTGGGTGTCTGGGATTGTCTATACATTGGGGTGAGGGGTCCGGTGTGGGTGGGGGCTGGGGTCTCGGGGTACCCTGGGCGGGTGATCGGGGACACCGAAGGTGTGTAGGGGGAGGTTTTAGGGCCCTGGCCCGGTGGGATCTCACCTCTCGGGGGCTCTGGGAGGACCGGCTTTAACCCCAGTTGGACGGGGCCCTGGGCCCTGCTTGGGTGGGGAGGAGAGCAATTCAGGGCCCCCTGCCCTTCCCTGTCTGCGCCACCACCCTTCCCTCTCTGCCATCCTCCTCTCTCTCCTTCCCAGCCTGGATGCTCAGCCCTGGGCGGGGGCTCCCTGCAATCCCTTCCTCCCCTCCCCCTTCCTTCCTGCTCCCTACCCCTCCTTCTCCTCCCTCCTTCTCCCCACAGGCCACCCTCAAATGACAGCAATTAATGGTGCCTGTGATGGCGGGCTGAGAGGAGGAGGCTGACAGTTGAGCGTGTCTGCCTGCGGCCGCCCGCTAATCGGGCCCGGGGGATGCCCCTCCTGCCGTTGGCTCCAGGCGCCTGCCCTGCCATCACTCAGAGGGGAGCAGGAGCCCTGGACAGGCCTGTGGGAGCTGGTGCAGAGCCCCCATCCCTGCAGCCCCCTCCCTGTCCTTCTATTATTATTATCATTTTCTTTCATAAACGGGTGGGCTCTGGCTGGACTGTTGTTCAGCATGAGTTGGTGGATGCCTCCCAGACGTCCTTCTCCTGAAATGACCTCTCATGTGCCTGTGTTGTCCTCAGGGCCAGCCATCCCCACAGGGCCCCATCCTTTTGTCCCTGCTTCCCTGGGAGAGGCGGGTTGGGTGGAGCCCAGGAACCGTGTCCTGTCCGGACAGCAGGCATCAGTTAAATGCCCCGGCCTGAGTCCTCGGGGCCTGGGGGCAGCTATTTGAGCCCAGAGCCTTGTCTGGTGGGGTGAGGAAGTGTGTTGTGTTTGTCAGGGTTACAAGAATCCTGGCCAGCTCTGTCCACAGTGGGCCTGGGCTTGACCATTTATCACCTGGCAGCAGCAATAATGAAGCCCCTGCTGTATGCTGGGGCCTGCAGCTGGTATGTTCACTTTGGTTCATTTTACTTGGCAGTTTTCTGAGGAGTGTGGTATTTCTCACCTTGCTTTTGTAGAGGGGGAGACTGAGGGGCAGAGAGGCAAAGCGATTTGCCCTAAGGGGCACAGTGCCCTACGTGACCTAGCTAGCATAGGACAAAGCTGGGGTTCAACCCAGACCCAAACTGTCCAATGCTCATACATCAGGGGACTTTGGGAAACTTGAGGGCCAGTTTAGGAACCAGCAGACTGATTTAGAAGTGAGGAAATAGTCCCTGGGTACTGGGAATGGAGTGAGTAGTGTTAATATATGCATCTCTCTCCCTGTTCCACTTAAGATCATCTTCATTGAGATGTAATTAACCTATAATGATGCACCCATTTTAAGGGTTCAATTGCATGTGTTTTGACAAATGTAAACATTTGCATCACCTCCACAATCAGAATAAAGTGTTTCTGTTCCCCCCAAATCCCCACCAGTCCCTTGGCACTAAATCTCTAGCACCCACCTCCACCCCCCACCCCCGACTAGAGGTACCCACTGATCTGCTGTTATAGAAGCTTTTAACTCTTCTAGAATTTTATAATAAAATTATCATTTTATTATATACTATACTTTGTTGTGTCTGGCTTCTTTCACTCTGCATAACCCATGTTGCTCATGTATCAATTCATTCTTTCTCATGGCTAAGTAGTATTTCATTCTGTGGATATATTACAGTTTATCCATTCATCAGTTGATGGACATCAAAGTTTCCAGTTTTTGGCTATTGGGAATAAAGCTGCTCTGAACATTCTTGTGTAAGTCTTTGTGTGAACATGTTTTCTTTTTTCTTATGTGAATATCTAGGCATTGGGTTGCTAGGTCACATGGTAAATGTGTTATTTTAGTTTATAAGAAACCACCAGCTGTTTTCTAAAGTGGCTGTCCCATTTTGCATGCCCACCTGCAGTGGATGAGAGTTCCAGTTGCTCCCCATCCTTGTCAGCACTTGCTACTGTCAATCTTTTAATGTTAGCCGTTCCAGGAGACCCTAATGCACATGCGATTACATTTTTCAGCTTTTGCTGCCTTTTGGGCAAAGCTGTGGTTCTGTGTTTTGATTTTATGTGTCTGGCCAGCTGGTGGGAGTCTAAAGGATGGTGGGAGATAATCTCGTGTCTGCCAACGCTAGCTCTGTGTTTTCCTTTCTAGTCTTTATGCTGCTGACTGACTGCTTCTCGTCCGGCTGCAGTGGTTGAGACCACAGTGCAGTGCCGGATTGCACCAGTTGGGTTGTTTGGGGTTAGTTAGCTGTGAGTGTTGTTATTTATTTTTTTATTTTTTATTTTTTTTGAGACAGAGTCTTGCTCTGTCGCCCAGGCTGGAGTGCCATGGCATGATCTTGGCTCACTGCAACCTCCGCCTCCCGGGTTCAAGCGATTCTCCTGCCTCAACCTCCCAAGTAGCTGGGATTACAGGCATGCGCCACCACATCTGGCTAGTTTTTGTATTTTTTTTTTTTAGTAGAGACGGGGTTTTGCCATGTTGGCCAGGCTGTTCTTGAACTCCTGACCTCAGGTCATCCACTTACTTTGGCCTCCCAAAGTGCTAGGATTAGTGAGTGTTTTTTTTTTTTTTTTTTTTTTTGAGTCGGAGTTTCGCTCTTATCGTGCAGGCTGGAGTGCAATGGCACGATCTCGGCTCACTGCAACCTCCGCCTCCCGGGTTCAAGCAATTCTCCTGCCTCAGCCTCCCTAGAAGCTGGGATTATAGGCATGCGCCACCACGCCTGGCTAATTTTGTATTTTTAGTAGAGACGGGGTTTCTCTGTGTTGGCCAGGCTGGTCTCGAATTCCCGACCTCAGGTGATCTGCCCGCCTCGGCCTCCCAAACTGTTGGGATTACAGGCGTGAGCCACCGCGCCCAGAGGTGTTGTTCTTAACACTCATCTTACAGATGAGGAAACTGAGGCTCTGACAGGTCAGGTGACTTCCATTCCGATAAGAAATGAAACTCATGACTCTGAGTTGTGTGCCCTTTCTCCTCCTTCAGGCTAGGAGGTGCCAGCTCCGTTTGTTGCAGTGATGTGTTTGCCAGTCCAGAGGGTCATGCCAAGAATTGGTGGCTGGTTGGGGCCAGGACCACCTTTTTCCTAGGGTTTCCTCTGCTGGAGAGATGAGGGTGTGGAGGAGACGCTGTGCCTTCCGGATCAAGCACTGTCCTTTGGCACTGAGCACTGTTGAGTGAATGTCAGGCGTTGGTTCTGCCAAGGGTCTTCCTTGTTCAATCCTGTTGTCTTGGGCAAAACCACACCTGCCTTCCGGGGAGCTATTTTGGGGCAAGGGAGGAGCATGGCATATGGAAGCCCAGGAATGGGCTGGGATGGAAGAGGGGGCCTCCTTCTCCTTTTTCCTTGCCTGAGGGGTGTCAGCTAAGATGACTTTTCGGGGAAGGAGGCCTGTAAATTAAATAAGCAATCCCGTAAATAAATAAGTAATGAAGTCAGCGGGGTGCCTAATTACATCAGATTCATCATTGTGGATGGATGCCTGCCCGGTCATTGTACTTGTTTTTAATCTTCGGCTCTGACATGTGTCTCCTTCCGTCTCATAGTCATCCCCACCCCAGCTGGAGGGAGGAGGCGGGGAGGCGCTGCTGTAGGGGCTTCCAGAGAGCCTTGGTGGTGGAGGTGGTGGTGGGGTCCCTGGAGGGTTATTTACCCAGTCTGCCTGTTTATGGCAGTCGTGGAAGGGATGACGTCTGTTCCGCAGTGAAACCTCAGGAGGCCTCGGGCCATCCTGATTCAGCAAATCCCTCATCAGGCTGCGCTGAAGGGTAGATGACAAACATGGTGCCCCGCACAGATGGGGCCACAGCACACGCAGCACGCCCTGGAGGGCGAGATGGGAAGGACACGGACGGGGGCAGATGACCTCAGTGCAAAGTCCCAGGGATCCAGGTGGACCCGTCTTTATGCTGCAGTTGGGTTTGTAAACCTACTGGAGCTTCGAAGTGGGAGCACCCCATGGCAGTGACAGCAGCAGTCCTAACAGGGTTTGTGATCGTCCTTGTGTCACACTTCACATGTTATAATTTATTTAATTGACTGGGCACAGTGGCTCACGTCTGTAATGTAATCCCAGCACTTTGGAAGGCCGAGGCAGGCGGATCATCTGAGGTCAGGAGTTCGAGACCAGCCTGGCCAACATGGTGAAACCCCGTCTCTAATAAAAACAGAAGAATTAGCCGGGCGTGGTGGCGGGCGCCTGTAATCCCAACTACTGGAGAGGCTGAGGCAGGAGAATTGTTTGAACCCAGGAGGCAGAGACTGCAGTGAGCTGAGATCGTGCCACTGCACTCCAGCCTGGGCAACAGAGCAAGACTCCACCTCAAAAAAAAAAATAAATAAAAAATTATTTCATCACCTAAAAGCTCTTGTAAAGTAGGGATTATCATCATCCCCTCTTTACATATGAGGAAACTGAGGCACAGAGAGGTTCCGCATCTTGCCCGAGGTCACACAGCCAGTGAACTTTGCACTCAAGTCATCTGCCCCCGTCTGCGTCCTTCCCATCTCACCCTACAGGGCGTGCTGTGTGTGCTGTGGCCGCGTCTGTGCGGGGCGCCGTGTTTGTCATCTACCCTTCAGCACGGCCTGTTCAGGGATTTGCTGAATCAGGATGGCCTGAGGCCTCCTGAGGTTTCACTGCTGAAAAGATCTCATCATCCCTTCCACGACTGCCATAAACAGATGCCATTCTGAACTGTAAAATAAAATCATGTTTCACTAAGGACAAAGCAAGCCCATTTGCTGAAATTAAAATAGCTTCTTTCCAGATCTTCTCTTTCTCTTTCAGCGGCCCTGATTGGCTGGCTCTTGGGGGACTCTCTGTCCTGCCTGAGATAATGGTCCTTAGACCCATTGTACAGTTGGAGAAACTGAGGCTCAGGGAGGTGGAGGAGCATGAGTGAGACCACACAGCTGGGAGGTGGTGAAGCTGGGATTCTAGCTGCTTCTTACTGTTTGGTTTGGGGAGCGGGGGCCACCTCATGTGCCTGACGTGGAAGGGGCTGCCTGTCCTCTCCGAGAAGCGCAGGGAGCTGTGTGCACCCCAGGCTGGCTTTGCTGGGGTTCTTGCTGTGGCTGATTGGTTAGCGTCCTGTCTGTCCGCGGGGGAGAGGAGACCAGCTGCCCCACCTCGTGGTTTCTCCTCAGGACCTGAGCATGTGCTGGGCATGGACAGAGGATGGGGGTGGCTGGGGGCAGTCTTGTCCTCGTTCGCTGTCCATGCAGCTCCAGGGTGCCCAGCCACAGCCCACACCTGTTCCCTCCATGGTGCCTCTCCATATCTCCAGACTCCAGGTCCTGTACGAGGCAGTGGGGCCTGAACCCTTGGGATGTCTGGGCCTCTACTGGGGGCCCAGGGAGGGAACACCCTTTACTTTACAGGGTGTACTTGTGCAGCCGGACAGGGCCTGCGTTGCTGGGCCGTGGCTTGGATGGGAGTGGGGGTTCACACATTCCCCTGGTGCTGACTTCAGGCTTGCGGGGTTTGGGGCTCTCCCTGCCCCTCACTGTCACCTGGGGTGGAGAGAGGAGTTGAGGAAAGACCCACATGAAGAATTGTGTGTGTCCATGGTGTTCCTGGGGGTTGGAGCAATCCAAGGAGGCTGCCTGGAGGAGCTGGAACACTCACATTGAATAATCATAAGCCCATCTTGGAGGGACTAATGTGTGTACATGCTTCAAACAGGACCTGGCACAGAGCAAATACCATATTTACCATAAAAGCTAACATTTCCTGATCCTTTTCTTGCCTCAGTGCTGTGTGTGAGTTGCCAGTATTATTATTATTAACATTAACTACAATTTCTAACGTGCACCCCATACATACACGCATGTACTCTTTGCAGCAGCCTTAGAAAGTAGGTGCTATTATGATCAGCCCTGTTTTCTAGTTAAGGGGATTGAGGGCAGAGAGAGGTTAGGGGACTTGTCCAAGGTCGCCCAGTTGGCAGAGCTAGGATGTGAACCCAGAACGCCTGACTCCACGGCAGCTGCTTTTCATCGTGTGGATGGTGCAGGTGCCACCTGCAGCCCTCCCTCTGCCCCGTGGGTACGCCGATCACTGCCGCAGCCAGCCTGGATCTCTTGGCAGGGCCATGCCAGCTGTGGGACAGCCTCCATGTGCCACGTAGGGCCCTCAGGCACGCAGCAGCTGCTCTGGGCAGTGTGGGATGGTCAGGACGTGGGACATCTGCTTCCTGCCTCCCTGCAGCCAGATTGGTGTCCCCACGGCCTCCTCCTGGTTGAGGGGATGGCAAACAGCAAACAAGATGCGGCGCTTTGCCTTATGGATCACACAGGCTGATGGGGAGATGGGCAGTGCCAAAAAACAAACACGATTTTGCAAGGCAAGAAAATGCTGCCTGTGAAATAATACAGGGTGGGGAGGTAGGGATGACTTCAGTTTCGGGGGACTCATTTTAGGTAAGAATTCCAGGGTAGCTTCTGAGGAGGTGGCATCTGAGCTGGGCCCTGGACAATAAGGAGGCACCCACTATGTGAAAGGAAGGGGGATGAGGGAACAGCAGGCGCGAAGGCCCTCCGGCCACCATGTTTCAGGCATGCTGATTGGGGTTCTGTGCCTCAGTTTCCCACTCTGTAATGGCTGGAGCAGAGCAGGGGGGCCCCAGGAGGGCTTTCCTGGATCTGAGACTGTCCTGCAGACCTCCAGGGCTGGGCTGTTTTTCACATTTAAGGCAGAAGTCAAATTTAATGACTTTTGCCTTTCCCTTTTGTTCTTTTGCTCCATAGTTAATTTCCATGTATTTACATGGTTTTAATTTACATGTATTGGGCACGTGGCATGTTCCGGACTCATGTACGTCACTGGGATGAGAATGGTGGAGAAGTTGGACATTGCCTGTGCCTTCGAGTTTAGTATCCAGAGGGGGAGTGTCAGTTAAACAAGCAAGTGCTATCGCGGGTGGTGAGGGTTGTGAGGACGAGGTTCAGGCATTCACCTGGGTGAGGCAAGAGCTGAATTAGTCTTCCATCAGGCCAGGCGTCCAGGGACGAGTCATTCAAGGGGAGACCTGGGGGTGATTAGTTAGGGGCAGTTAGTTAGGGCTCCTGAGTTGTGGCAGAGACACACTCGAGCCGAGTTAGGCTATGACGGGGAGTTGATGGGTCCTCAGAGTGGCCAGGGTAGGACACGTTCAGGCACGGCTGGATCTAGGTGCTCAAACAATGCCTCTGGGAGCTGGCTTTGCCTCAGCTGTGCCTCCTTCCATGCGGGCCTTGTTCTCAGACAGGCTCATGCCACCAGCCCAGCCCAGCCAGCCAAGGAGAAGGAGAGTCACCTGGCATCCCAGGAGGGACACTCCTTTCTCTTGTTTGAGTGAGGTCCTCGACATTTGTTTCACTGTTTGCAACAGCAAGAGGAGGTGGCCAAAGAAGGGATAAGGGGATGTCCCAAACTCAGACACAGGGAGGAAAGGAGTGAGTGAGTCAGTGCAGGTCAAAGGGGAGGAGTGGGGATTGTGGCTAACTGGCATGCTGGGTATTCTGATGGTTTTCCAAGAGAAGCTGGAAATCTGGATTTTATAAGGAATGGCCTAGTTTTTAAAAAACATTGAATGGGCCAGAACAAGTTTTCTTCATGGCCACAACTGGCTGTCACCATTTTATAGCCTCTTCTTAGCAGTGACTTTTAAAGTATTTTGTCCCCACTGTGATCTGGGTAGAATGTCCCATGGGCTGTTCCAGAAGGTCTCAAGTCTTGGGAAGTCACGTCTGACACCATTGGAGATGCCATTTCTGAAAGTCAAGGCCCACGGCCACAGCAGTTTCTCAGAGAACAATACCATGTCTCCAGTGGGGCCTGACATTCTTGGAGACAGTATAGTCTAGTGGTTAGTGTCGTAGATGCGGGTTTCACACTTGCTGAGTTCAAAACCGACATTGCCACTTCCCAGCCCCGTCCCCTTGGGCAAGTCACTTCACTGCTCTCTGCCTCAGTTTCCCAGTATGTATTAATGGAATGGGTATGACAGCACCCCATAGGATTGTTGTAAGGCAAGCTTGTCCAACCTGCGGCTCAGGACGGTTTTAAATGCAGCCCAACACAAATTTGTAAACTTTCTTAAAACAGATTGTTTTTCGGTTTTTTGTTTTTTTTTTTTTTAGTTCATCAGCTATGGTTAGTGTTAGTGTTATGTGTGATCCGAGACAGTTCTTTTAGTGTGGCCCAGTGAAGCCAAAAGACTGGACACGCCGGTTGTAAGGCACAGTGGAGGCCGCGTGAAGCCCACTGACCCTGGCACACTGAGAGCTTGGGTGATGCTGGCCGGCGTGATGTGTCCTTCCCGGGTTAGGTCCCTGGGATCCAGCTGGCTGGCGTGGAGCATTCCTGGGCACTCCTCTTTCCTCTGCCGCTGCCCCTGCCACCGGGGTGTGGGTTCCCAGGAGCCCCAGAACAGGCAGCCACCTGCCCCCTGCCCCCAGCCGTCCTTGCCAGTTGCTGGGTGCCCATGGTATTCTGGCGTGCCGGATGGTGCTGCAGTTGGAAGTGAGTCTTGAGTGAGCAATTAACTCTGCCAGCTGCCAGCTCACAGCTGCTGTGGGTGGGGGCGGCCCCTTTTAAAAATAAAAACAACATGCAGAAAAACAGCCCTGGAGTACCGTTGGCTTCCCTTAGCCAACGTGGTCAGGGCTTCATTTTGATGCTTTTGTGGAGAAGAATCCCGGGCCTGGATGGGGAAATAGGATGCATTTTGGTCTGGGGAGTGTCTTTATTTAGGGGCAGAGGTGATGGCCTGTGTCTGGCCTCCCCATCCAGGAGGCAGGCCCCTTTCCTCAAGCTGCCCACGAGTGGCTGGCTCATGGATGCCTGCCACAGGGAAGGGGATTTGGGTTCCTTGGGGCCAGTTTTTAGCAGGCTCAGGCCGGAGAGGGTGGCTGTGGGATCTCTCAGGTCTGTTTCCAGCTCTGTCGGCTATAGGGGGGCCCTGGGGCCATCCCGGAGATCCCTGGAGCTCTCCTCTGCAGCTTCCAGCCAGTTTTCTGGAACTAGCGGGAAAGGAAAGGGGCACCAAAGGTGTTTCCGGGCATGCGACTGCTGCCACTTTGAGGTCTTGGCTTTGGTAGTGGGTTGAGTCATGGCCCATGAAACATAGGTACACTTGGAAACTGTGAATATGACCTTGGCCTTATTTGGACCACAGGTCTTCGCAGATGTCACTAAGGTAAGGGTCTCAAGATGGGATCATCCTGGAATAGGATGGGCCCTAAATCCAATGACAAGTGTTCTAAGAGAAGACACACAGCAGAGAAGTCCACGTGAAGACGGAAGGAACGCCAGGAGCCACTGGGAACTGGAAGACACAGAGAAGGCTCCCCCTGCAGAGTCTTTGGAGGGTGTGTGGCCCTGGTGACACCTTGAGCTTGGATTTCTGGCCTCCAGAACTGTGAGAGGATAGGTCGCTGGTTTCAGCCACCCAATTTGTAATAATTTGTTATAGCAGCCACAGGAAACGAATACAGTTGTGAACTTTATTTTAATCACTCATGTATTTTAAAATTAAAATGTAAAATGTAATTTTGTCTTGTTCACTGCCATATTTCCAGTGCTCAGCACATACAGTAGGGGCTCAGCAGATGCTTCTCGAATGTCTGATAGCTCCAGGCCTGGGTGAGGAACTCCTACCTGCTGGGAGTTGGACCCAGCTTTCAGGAAGTCGGTAAACTGGGCTGGAGTGGTGTGCATTCAGCAACACCATCTTTTTGTTTATTTATTTGTTTATTTGAGATGCGGCCTTGCTCTGTTGCCCAGGCTGGAGTGCAGTGGCATGATCTTGGCTCACTGCAGCCTCTGCCTCCTGGTTCAAGCAATTCTCTTACCTCAGCCTCCTGAGTAGCTGGAATTACGGGTATGCGCCACCACACCTGACTGAATTTTGTATTTTTAGTAGAGATGGGGTTTTGCCATGATAGCCAGGCTGGTCTTGAGCTCCTGGCCTCAAGCGATCCACTGCGCCCGGCCTATTTATTTTCAGTTGAGGTGAAATTCACATCACATATAATTTACCATTTTAACATGAACAGTTCATGAGTTCTTAGTACAATCACAATGTTGAGCACCCACCCCTTCTATCCAAAAAATGTCCTCATCACCCCAAAAGGAACCCTGTACCGGTGGGGTCACTTCACGTTGCCGCCTCCCGCAGCCCCTGGCAGCTACCAATCTGCCTTCTGCCTCTGTGGACTTACCTATTTTGGGTATTTCTCCTGGACGGAATCATGCACTGTGGGTTTTGGCTTCTTTCACTCCGCACAATGTGTTTGAGGTTGATCCGTGTTGAATGGTGTGAGTCCTTCATTCCTTTATATGGCGGAATTCCATTGTGTGGCATACATCAATAGAACCATTTGATATCTAAGTGGCTTTTCAGATGAGGAAACTGAGGCTGCCCAGGTCACGGAGCCCTGGGGCCCGGGATTGAGGAGGTGCAGATAGCCAGACGTGTCTGGCTCACGGTGCTGTCTCTTTCTCCTGCCCCCACCCTGCTCCACTCGTATCTGTGCCTGGCCAGGAAGCAGCAGTGTGTGGGGAGGAAGTGAGTGGGGGTCTCTTCCAGCTGGAGCCGGATGCTGAAGCGTAGCTGCGGCTGTGGGTCTGGATCTGGTCCTCAGAGTTCTGGCCCCCACCTCCCCCCTGGGCCCCACACATGTAGTTTCTGTTGACCTGGGTTGCGAGAGAGGCAGCAGGCAGGAGCTCCCCCATTCGCCAGCTGAGCCTTCTGATGCCTCGAGAGGCTGGGGGCCTTGCCTGGGGCCACTCAGCTTAAGGTCCCCCTGCCCCTTTCCAGACCCCCTTTGGCCCACTGTCCTGGCCCCTGTGGCCTGCGGTGAATCATATTCTGGGGGGTCTTCACCGATCTTTCCCACCGTCAAAGCTCTGCTCAGCAGACGGGCTCCAGGAAGCGGCCTGTCGGCAGATTTTGGCCAGGGGATGCTTTTTCGAAGTATGGAGGGGTGGTCGCCGTCGAAGGCTTGCGTGATGGGGAGTTCTTTTGCTGAGCAGATAACCAGACACTGGCTTATTCTGAATATGAGTTTGGTTTTGGCCACAGGCTCTGTCTGGGGGCTGCTGCCTGTGGCTGTTTCTGGTGTTTGATGATTTGTGGTCTTCATTAAGTCACTCAACAAACAATTTGCTGCGGAGTGTCTGGCGGGGAAGACACAGGAAGCAGAACGAGTGGCCGTGAAGAGACATGCCCAGTGTCAAACCTGCCCATAGCACACAGTCGCTCTGAGGGGGTGGGAGGAGTTACCGTGGATTCCAGGGCCAGCCTTTGGCGAAGGTCTGGATGCAGGTCTGTGTCCAAAACAAACAAAAATGAACAGAAGGAGGTGGTGAGGCCTGACTCGGCCGCTCTCAGGCACCGCTTCCTGGTGGTGTTTGCATGGGGCCAGTTTGGCCTGGGTGTCATGGTCCCGCCTGGTCTTGGCGACGGTCTGGGCGGGAAGATGGTGCTGGATCTTTGGGCTAAAAATATGCCCGTGCCTTCCTGTGCCTCAGTTTCCCTACCTATAAAAGAAGGCGTAAGAGTAGCAGAATCCCACCTTTGGCTTTGGGGCAGGTCTACGGAAACCCCCCAGGGGTGTTTCCTGGGGAAGGCTAGAGGGCCAGCTGTTCACAGGAGACATCTGGCTTCCAGGGGCCTCCGCAGCCACTATGCTCATCCCCTCGTGGCCAGTCTGGGCCCCCTGCCAGTCCAGTGGCCACGGGCCCCTGTCACAGGCAAATCTGGTCTTAGTCCTGAAACCCTCCTGTGACTCCTTGTGGCTGAATTACCACGTGGATAGCGGAGACAAGCCAGGCTTGCCCAGTTCAAGTCCCAGCTCAGCCACTAGCTGTTGACCTTGGGCAAGTCACCTACCCTCTCTGGGCCAGCCTCCTGCTCTGTCTGTGTGTGGCGGCTCAGGGGCATACCTGCCTATGCCGCGGTGGTGTGAGGCCAGCTGGTGAACCAGGGGACCCGCTTAGCACAGTGCTGGGCACACAGTCCGAGCTGCTGGGCTCGGTGTGTGTGGCCACTGTTATTGTTATTAATATTATTACTCTCAAGATGCTCCTGAGAGTAAAAAGGATGACAATGTTATTGCTGGAGTTGAAGGCCAGGCCCAGAGTCCATCTGACCACTTCCCCTCCACTCCTATTAGCTCCCTGACCTCATCGTCAAACTCTCCCCGCCTCGCCCCTGCGCCCCGGCCACACCAGCCTTCTCTCTGCTTTGACAACACACCCGCGTGGTCCAGCCTCCAGACCTTCACATCTGCCATGCTTCTGCCAGGGGTGCCTTCCTCACATCTGCACCCCCAGACCCTTGTCATCATGTGGGCTGCTGTCCAGGGACACATTCTTAGGCCCAACTCTTGGCTGCTAGGGGCAGGGAAGTGAATCTGGAGACCCTGGTGGAGCCTCCTCTGCCTCCTGGGAGCTCCAGCAGCTTCCTCTGGCGCCTCATCTCTGCTTTCCAGAGCACTTGGAGAAGCAGAGCTCAGCCTGCCCCTTCTACGGATGGAAAGTTGACACCCAGAGAAGCTCAGACTTGTCTCTGAGTCACACAGCTAATTGCAGCCAAGGTTCAGACTCCTGGCTGACTACCAAGCCATCATTGTTGGCCTGTGTGTGTGTGTGTGTGTGTGTGTGTGTGTGTGTGTGTGTGTATTATTTGGCCACGTCTTCTTTTCTAGGCCTGTCACCGAGATGACCCCAGATCAGAATGCCAGTGTGAGGGGGTCACGCTTTCTTTTCCTAGGATTAAAAGGAGGACAGAAATATTTGCAAGGGAGAGCCTGCTCCTCTGGCCATCTGGCCCTCGGGACAGAGGACGGGGGAGGGATGGGCCGAGGCCTGGGTTCGGAACCAGGCCGGAGCCAAGGCGCCAGAGCTACGCTCAGGTTGGAGGTGCAGGTGCGGCTCGAAGCTGGACAGTCCGGGCTGGGAGGAAGCGGGTTAAAGTGGGAGAAGCGGGGCTGGAGCTCTCTTTCGCCTGCCAGCGAGCGAAGAGCCGAGCTATAAAAAGGCCTCACAGTGTTTCAGCTCCCGAGTGTCGGCTGGAAGCCCGCCAGGGTTACCATGGCGATGAGGAATTATTACTTACTGCCAAGGCTGGGAGAAAAAGCTCGTACTTTTGGCTTCCAAACAAGAGGAGTGGACTTATGTAATTCCCTGTGTTTATAGGCCCAGAGTGGCAGAGGCGAGAACGGATCGCTGGAGGCCCGACGTCTCGTTCACGGCCCAGCCGTGGGGTCAGGCGGCCCCGCACTTGTCGCCGGTGGGCCTTGGCCTGCCCGGGTTTGGGGGGCATCGGGCTGGGAGCCTGGGGGGCCTGGCCTGGCCCTGCAGGGCCTCCAGGGCCGGGATGGGAGTCGTAGTCTCGCGGGAAGGTGAGGCCGCCCTCTGGGGCCGCCCCTCTGCGGGTGTCATCCTGGAGGAAGGATGGGTCTGATGTTGGCTGTGGTGTGCCTCCTGGAAGCCGGCAGCACAGCCTGTGTGTGTGGACTCTGCTGGCCCGCTGGCTGGCACTTTTTTTCTTTTTCTTTTTTTTTCTTGTGAGAGAGTTACTTCAAGTTGTGTTTGGAGCTGACGTGAGCGAGGTTGGTCATGTGCTCGGGTAAGAGAAGTCGCCGGGCTTGGAGTGGGCAGGGAGGTGCAGTGTGGCTGGGTCACCCCGGCCGGGGGAGGTGGGCGCAGACTGGGGTGGGGGGCTGTGGCCTGCAGGCTCTATGCAGGGGCGCTGATTGGGGGCCGAGGAATTCATCTGGAAAGAGCCCCAGTTCTGTCGCTGGAGGTGGTGGCCAGGGCTGGGGGCTGAGTGGCCGGCCGCAGGTCAGCCAATGGGGGCAGCTGGACCCTCCCCTGGCAGCGCAGTGTTGTCGGCCCTGAGCTCAGCGGGATGGTGGGCAGGGCTGTCTCATCGGACGAAGTTGCTGCAGTCACGGAAAAGAGCGCTCGGAGGCGCTGGCCGGGCAGGCCGGGGTGAGGCTTCTTGGCCGGCCCGCGTGGGAGGGGACCCGGGTGGGCACTGTGCTCCTCTCCTTGGTGCACATCCGGCGTCCCTGGGGGGGAGCATGGCGAGCCTTGGGGGCTCAGGGGGCTTCTGTTCCCGGAGTTGACTTCAGGAGGGCATGTGATCGTGGGCGCTCCCGAGGCTCTGCCCTGGGGCTCCGCGGTGGGCTCAGGCAGGGGAGAGCCAGGTGCAGGCAGCGCTGCAGCCCGGCCCCGGCGCCCGGCTCCCCACCGAGGTGGCGCTTGGCTCGGTGCCCATGTCTGGTTTGAAATCAGCGCCACCGGCCCAGGCTTGCCCAGGGACTTGGCAGCGAGGAGCCGGGATAAACACTGGAAAGTTGGAAGGGCTTCCCGAGCTCACAAGGAGCCTTTAGTTGCAAACCGGGGGGATGAGGGAGTGATTTGTCCTGAGGTCTGGGTGCGCCGCGGCCATAGGGAGGTGGCGGGAATGGCTCCTGGGGACCTCTGAGCCCAGGCTGGGGAAGGGAGGGGGCTGGGCTTCCAGGCAATGTTGCTCCTTTGCCACAGACCTGGGTTTGAGTCCTGGCTCCGTCCTCTCTATGCTGTGTGACCTTGGGCGTGTTGCCTCCCCTTTGCAGACCTCAGTTTCCTCGTCTGTAAAATGGGGCACAGTGGGGTCTACACAAGCATGGGACTGACGGGAGAAGGAGCTGCAGTTTTAGGGGGAACGCGGGGCAGACTGCCTGGGTTCCTGTCCTGGTTGGACACTTCCTGGCTGTGTGACCTTGGGCAAGTCACTTACTGTCTCTGAGCCTCAGTTTTCCCATCTGGCAAATGGAAGTTGCATCTTTCCCCACCTCATAGGCTGTATGGCTTAAGGGAGTGAATGAAACCTGCCTTCTAGCTCATAATAGGCTCACAGTTGATAATTCACTGGCACTTTGTTTTCTCGATGCTGACAATACCGGCACCTGGTCTGAGGGTGGGGGGCCCCTGGGATTTCAGCATCTCAGGGCGATGGTATTTATGAAGTTGTAGTGGCCGGACTGAGGTTCCAGTCCTGGCTCGACCCCTCAAGGATGGTGTGACCTTGGGCAAGTCCCGGAATCCCACAGAGCCTCAGTTTCCTTGTCCTTTACCACAGTGGTAGCACTGCAGCCTGCCGGTGTGTCTCGGGAGAGCCTGAGAGAAGCCTGAAGGGGCCCGCACAGTGCTGGCCTGGGTGGGCCTCCGTAATTGTAACCACAAGGTTGGATTTAAGTTCGAGTTCCGTCCATTTTTCTTTTCTTCTTTGCAGAGAGCTCTCATGTTTTGTAGAAACCTGGGTCCAGATAATGGGAGGTAGGTCGAGTGGGTGCTTCCCAGGCTCTGCCTTTGTTTGGGATCCCCAGGTCTCCCCCCATGCCTGCCTGTTCTGCCCCGTCTCCCACTCAGCCTGAGCCCCTCCGTGCCAGCCCTGGGCCAGGCACCCCCCACAGTGCCTGGTGTGGCCTGGGGACTGGCGCGGGAGGGCCAGTTCTCCTGCAGAAGGTGGCAGCCGTCCTGTGTTTGTAAGTGACACCGGATGCTGGGCCAGTGACTGGCTCAGGGCCTCCGCTCTTGGGCCAGCAGGAGCCAGTGGGGAGTTCCCCGGGCGTCCAGGCCCCCCGCACCAGCTGCCCGCTGTCTCATTGTCATGGGGCCTCTCCTGGGACCTCGAGAATGGCCTCCGAAGGCGGGGGGGTTCTCATCCATGTCCCCTTGTCACCCCCAGGGCCTTGGTGTCCACTTGGGTTGGCCACAGAGCTGTGTCGTGGCTGCCCCTGACCTTTGCCAAAGTCCTCAGGGACTCGATTTTCCTACCCGGTGGAGAAGAGTCCTGGGTGAGGTTCAGAACAGAAGTCAGCACCAGGGCCTTTGTGACGAGGCAGCTCAGCATGGACTGGTTGTGATCACTGGAGTCTGCACATGTGATAAGAACACATAGAACTAAATACGCGCACACTCACACATGCACACACATACATGCACACTCACGCACACACCCACATGTATACTCACACGCACACTTGTGAACATACACACCATACACACAGTCACACGAACATGCACACGCATACTCGCACACTCACACTCACATGCACACTCACACTCATATGCACACTCACAGTCGTGCACACACACCCATACTCACATGCAGACACCCACACAGATACATGCGCACATGCACACACACACTCACACAAGTGAGTGCATTGGAAACTGCTGCAATCTGCATACGGCTGGCTATATCCATGCTGCCTTCCTAGTTATGATATGGATGATGAATTGTCGTTGTCTCAGGTTTGTCTCAGGATGTTATTCTTGGGGGAGGCTGGGTGAAGGGCACACAGGATCCTGGGATCTTGATTTTTTTTTTTTTTTCCTTTTTTGAAACCGAGTCTCACTCCGTCACCCAGGCTGGAGTGCAGTGCAGTGGCACGATCTCAGCTCACTGCAACCACTGCCTCCTGAGTTCAAGCGATTCTCCTGTCACAGCCTCCCAAGTTGCTGGGACTACAGGCGCATGCCATCAAGCCCAGCTAATGTTTGTATTTTTAGTAGAGGACTCCCCCATGAAGCTGGCCTGTAACTGAGCTTGGTCCCTTGGACATCCCAGGGGGTCCAGGCAGAGTTTGCTTTGTGCCTCAGGATCACAGAGGGCTCCAGAGCATCCCAGGCTGGGGGACACGTGGTGCCTGCAGGGCCTGTGGGGGCCTCATGACTGAGCTGCTGTAAGGGTGTTCCTGTCATCAGAGTGGCGTGGTGGAGGCTTGTGTCCCGTGGGCATGGGTCGTAGCTTAGGGTCTGGAGAGATGGGGGTGGGATAGGGTTTGGGGGCATCCAGCCTCATGAGCCTCTTCTTTGCTGTTCTTTGGGGCCCCTGATCATGGGCCTGCCTCAGGACCTTTGCACTGGCTATAACCTTTTTTTTTTTTTTTTTTTTTGAGACAAAGTCTCACTCCCCCAGGCTGGAGTGCAGAGCTGTGGCCACCTTTCTTTCAGGTTCAAGCGATTCTCCTGCCTCCTGAGTAGCTGGGACTACAGGCGCATACCACCATGCCTAATTTTTGTATTTTGAGTGGAGACAGGGTTTTGCCATGTTAGCCAGGCTGGTCTTGAACTCCTGACCTCAAGTGATCCACCTGCCTCGGCCTCTCAAAGTGCTAGGATTACAGGCATGAGCCACCACACCCGGCCTGGCTGTAACCTCTTCTGGGAACACCCTTTCCTGAGACCTTCAGCCTCCCTGATATAGGCCTCTGCTAATGGCGCCTCCTGAGAGAGGCCTGATGTCAGTTGTGACTCCCTGTGACACCTTCACTACTCCTTGTAACACTGTCACCACCAGGGTCTGCGGTATGCCCATCACCCCTGTCCCCACCTTGTTTTAGTCTATTTGGACTGGGTGGCTCACAAACAATAGAACTTTATTGCTCACAGTTCTGGAGGCTGGATGTCCAAGACCAAGATGCTGGCAGATTTGGTGTCACATGGGACGAGGGCCCGTTTCCTGGTTCATAGATGGTGGCTTCTCCCAGGAAGAGGGGCAGGGCGGCTTTCTGGGGGCACCAATCCCACTCATGACAGCTCATCACCTCCCAGAAGCCCCACGCTCTGACATCATCCCGTGGTGATTAGGTCTCAACATGCAGATTTTGGGGGGACATAAACATTCACACTCCAGCACCCCTCCATCCAGGATTTTGTTCATCTTTGTCACCGCTGTGTCCCCAGCACTGGGTATGTAGCAGGCACTTAGGAGACAGTTGTGCCTGACTCAGTGTCTTCCACGGGGCCTCAGCCTGTCCCCTCCCCATAAATGGGGCCTCTCTGGTGAAGGAGGCCCTGCATTTTGGGGATGATTTGGAAAACCAGGAAAAGTTCTCATGCTTTTTCTCTGACTGCCACTGGGGTACCCACCAAGCATCCCAAGAGAGCTACCCCTCCTAGATACAGTCATGAGAAGGAACCCAGGGATGCTGTAGGTACGGGGAGTGGGGGAGGGGTGGTGACAGCCTCAGCCTTGTGTGTTGAGGACCAAGGCGAGGTGAGCATTCCACATACCTTAGTTCATTGTGTCCTTCCCATAGCCTTGTAAAGTCGGCACAGAGTCACCCTCTCCTGATAAGGCACAGAGAGGGTAGGCAGCTTGCTCAAAGACACACAGCTGCAGGCCTGCAGTATTACCAACTGAATGGCATTTCCAAGGCAGTTGCTTCTTTGCTCAAGGTCATGCTTAGCATGTTAAGGGGATCATCCTGTTTCATCCCCAAAAGTCCCTCTACTATCCCTATCTTCCGAGGCGGGTCCTGTTTTCTGGGGATCTGGCTCAGAACTGGCAGGGGCCCGTTTCCCAGGCTGAGAGAGTGCGCCTCATTTAGCCCAGAGCAGAGGCCCAGAGATGCCCACACTTCTGAAGGTTGGGGGTCAGTTTCCAGTGTGGCTTAGAAGTTAGAGGGCAGGAGGGGCACCCCAGAGTGGAGGAACTGCCCTCTTCCTCCGGAGTCGTTCATTTGCATGACAATGAGCCCTTTGTTCCTGAGGCCAGCCTCCTTCCCAGGCTAATAACATAATTCCTGGCCTGTGATGTCATAATGGGCCCTTTCTGTGGCTGGGGTCAGAGGCTGGGTGGGCAGCTGTGTGGGCTGGGCCAGGCCTGCTAATAACCAGGGAGGTGGTGATTGCCAGGGGCCTGTGTGCCAAGCTGCCTCCTTCCAGGGTCTCGCTGAGTCCTCCCGAGAGAGCAGCGGGAGGTGGGATTTGCTCCCCTGTTGACACTGGAGCAAGCTGAGCCTCCAGGAAGCCCTCCCTGGCCCCACCGTTTGTCTGGTCCCCCTCGATGAGCTGCTTCAAGCTTCTTGGCCTGTGGAGTGGGGGTGACTCACTGTCAGTTTGGCCCTCGGCCGAGAGGCGTGGGCGTGAGAGTCCCTTGTTTCCTGTAAACTGGAGGGAGGCCAATACCCAGCGGCTACTGTGTTGGGGCCACTCGGAAAGCCAGGTTCAAACCTTGGCCCCACTTGGTCCCCTGGGCATCGGCTGAACTCCCTGTGCCTCCGTTTCCCCCTCTGCTTCATGGGGTTCCGCTGGGGCTTGGGCTCAGAGCTAGGCAGGGAGTGAGCTTTCAGGAAATGGGCAATGTCAGAAAAGGCGGGGGCTGGTGGAGTGGGGTGAGTGGTGATACCCCCAAGAGTTAGGTCCATGTCCTAGTAACCCAGCCCCTGTCAGAGAGAGACCGTATTTGATAAAAGGGTCTTTGCAGATGTGTTTTGAGATGAGCTCATCCTGGGTTACCCAGGTGGGCCCTGAATCCAAAGACCAGTGTCCTTAGAAGAGACAGAAGAGGAGAGAGCAAGACTACATGAACTACAGGAAGACAAAGGCAGAGATTGGAGGGCTGAAGCCGCAAGCCAAGGAATGCCTGGAGCCACCAGCATCTGGAAGAGGCAGAAAGGAGCCTCCCTTTGAGCTTCTGGAGGGAGTAGGGTCCTGCTGACGCCTTGATTTTGGACTTCCAGGCTCCAGAACTGTTAGAGAATAAATTGCTGTCGTTGGCCGGGCGAGGTGGCTCATGCCTATAGTCCCAGCACTTTGGGAGGCCGAGGTGGGCGCATCACTTGAGCCCAGGATTTCAAGATCAGCCTGGGCAACATGGCGAGACCCTGTCTCTACAAAAAGCACAAAAATTAGCCGGATGTGGTGGCGGCTTGCCTGTAGTCCCACGCTGAGGCAGGAGGATCAATTGAGCCCAGGAGGTCAAGGCTGCAGTAAGCCATGATTGTGCCACTGCACTCCACCCTGGACCACAGAGTGAGACCCTGTCAAAAAATAATAAAAAAATAAAAATAAATCACTGTTGTTTTAAGTTTCCTGGTTTGTGGTCATTTTTATGGCAGCCCTAGGAAATGAACACAGCTGGCGACGCCAGTCTCTGGAGGTGGGGGAACTGGCCCTGGCGGGGGTTGGTACTGTTCCCCACTCCAAGCCTGAGGGTGCAGGACAAGTTTGGGTGGCCGAGAACCCCTTTGTGCCTGGGAGTGCATGAAGCCCCATTCGGGGAGTCTGGACTTTCCAGGAAGGACGCCTTGCTTGAACCTGCCTTTCTTGCCGAGAACCAAATCCACAAGGCCCTAGACCCCACCTGCCGCCTGCTGTTCGCTGTCCCCTCAGACAGCCCTGCTAAGGGGACAGGACCCAGAGGCAGGAGGCTCTCGGATTCTACCCCGGCTTTGCCCCAGGCCCCGGACGCCCTTTCCCCACGCGTCTGGTGACTCCTGCAGAACCCGGGTTGCACTCATCCCCCAGCAAGCCCCAGGTTTGCCGGGTGCCCTTGACAAATGGAGAAACTAGGCCCAGAGAGGGCAGGCTACTTGGCAGAGGCCACACAGCTCCTTAGTGGCACTGACGGCCTTACAGTCTCGCCACGGGGGCTGGCACTGGGGCTTCCAGGAGTGGGGATCAGAGTTCTCGGCCACTTGGAGACCTGGAGTGGAGCCGGCCGGCTGTGTGGACCTGGGGTCAGTTACCTGATATTTGGGACACTCGGCTGCCTTTGATGGACCTGGCCTGGTGTAGGTGGTACCCCGAAATCTGGGCTTTAAGCACACCCTGTCTGTGCTCTCAGCCTCAGTCTCTCTGTTTGCAAACTGGTCTTTGAGCTTCAGCTCCACGTCTGCGATTTTGCTCTTAGCATGTTCATGCATTCAGCAAACATTTATTGAGCACCTGCCATGTGCAGTGTGCTGGGACTCTGGGGGACACAAAGGTGTGACTCTTGCTTCATGGATCTTGTGTTTGGGGCTGTGGGGGGAGAGGAAATGCAGCAGCACAGGTTGGAGTCCAGATTCCGGGTTCTGATGAGGGAGGTCACGGAGCTGGGCCGTGAGGGAGGTGAGGATGTGGCCTTTCGTCTCCTCCTGGGCCCGGGGTGGACAGTGTGCAGCAGGCTCTCAAGTGGACATGGAGATGCCCACAGCCTGTCCGCGGCGGCCCATGGGCACCTCTGGCTGGCAGGACCTGGCCTGGTCTTGTGAGCAGGGACATGGGATGGGAGGGCTGCAAGGCCTGGCTCCAGCCTGGTGGGAGAGACAACAGTCTCCTCTAACCTAAGCAGCAGGCATGGGTATGCTGGTGACAGGGTCCCAGGACACAGTGGGTGAGCTGGACACAGGAGGTGGCTCGCCTGGGTTTGCATCCAGGCTGTGCCCTTGTTGGCTGTGTGACCTTGGGCAAGTTGCTCGGCCTCTCTGTGCCAGTCTCTCCAGCTGTAGAATGGGGATGATAACAGAATCCCTCACGGGGGCGCTGTGAGGAAGGAGTTGGTGCCACCAAGTGTTGTGTTGGGGACTGGCTGTGCCAGTGGCTGCGAGGTGTTCCCTCCCGTGGCTGCTCAGGGCAGCGGCGTGGAAGATGGAAGTGGCATTTGCTCATCTTCCCGCTGCCCTGCTCCTCCCTGTGCAAATAGCCTCAGTCTTCCACCTAGGAAACGGGAGCTGTAACAAGCACATGGCCCCATGGAGGTCGGGAGGAGAAGCGGAGCTGGGGTGCATCAGTGCCTGTGGGGTGGGGGCTTGGGGTCGCCACCTGCTCCAGATTGAGGCCTTGGCTGCCCCCGAGGCCTGGAACAGCCACTTGTTTTACAACCCAGGAAACTGAAGGCCTGGCAGGGATGGCCCCAAGACATGCCCATGGGTACAGCCCATGTGGTGGCTCCTGGCTGCAGACAATGCCTCTTTTTTCTGGCCTGGCGGGAGCAGCCCAGGCTTGCTCAACCTGGCCTAGGTTTATCAGCACATTTGGTTCTGCGGTGCGGCTAGCAGACATTCCCTCCAAGAGAGATCGTGATGTTCCTCCGGAAACCGAGGTCCGGAGGCTCAGGTTACTGTGGGGGGCGGCCGTCGGGGGGTGTGTCTGCCTCTGAGAAGTGACCCAGATCAGAGCTGGGCTGTGCTGGGCAGTGTTCATCTGCAAAGCTGCCGCCTGCTCTTTCACCCATGAGAGCCACTGACAGCTCAGGAAGGGACTGGGAGCCACCCACTTTCCCTTCAGGGTGACACAGGACAGGCCTCTCCCTGGCTCCTGCCTGGCCCCTTCCCCCTACACTGAGTCTGGCCTGGGTCTCCCATTCCATTTCTCTGGCCTCTTCTTGGCTGGCTTTGGACCTGTCCTCACCTACATGGATAAGGGACCTAGCGGGTGGAAGAGATCTGATTCCAGGGAGATCCTATCTGAGAGTTTGTGTTTTAGGAGGGTTGCTATCTTAGGTCTCTTGGTTGCAATGGACAGACTCCCTCTGCCTCCTGCATTTAGCACAAATAGTTCAAGTAACTAAAAAACCTCAGAGAAGCTTCAGGCACAGTTGGGTCCAGGTGCTCCCCACTTTCAGTCCCTGTTAGCCTGAGACTAATAATTGCAGTTCAGTAGCCCCAGTGGAAGGACAGCTTCTTGTTCCCAATATTCCAGCAAATATCATGGGAATGAGTTTTGTTGCCTCAGCTTGAGAGTTCAGAGTTAAGCCCCCCCCCCCCCCACCAAAGCCAGTGCCACTTTGGCTGGAGGGCTGGGTCAGCCTCCCTGAGACCCCAGGACTGAGGGTGCAGGGGGGGTGGTTGCCCAGGGAAATTGGGGTGTGGCATGCACGGAGTGGGGCCGGGTGGGCAGAGACACTGTGTCTTGCTCCCTGTGTTGGAGATGGGGCCAGGTTGGGGTCCCTGCCTGGCCTGCCTTTCATGGCCAGTGTGTGTGTGTCCCATTGGGGTGGAGCAGGTGGCGCCGATGAGTCACTGGGTAAGTTTCATTCCTGTTATATTTAATAGTTGAGGGCCTCTTGGGTCCCCCCTCCAAGCCGTTGCTGGCGCTCCACCTCCTGTCCCCCCATCAGCCCGCTTCAGCTCCCCAGCCTTCCCTCACCTCTCTTGTGGCGTCCAGTGACCACGTCATAAGCCACAGGTCATGTCCTGGCAGCCCCTGGGCTGTATTTGGCTGTCAGACTGATTTATTGGGTTGGTTTTATAGTCAGTGTTTTTTTAGAAATATCGGGAGATGTCTCAAAATTGGGCTTCTTGGCTTTGCTGGAAAGATTTGGATGCCGTGGACCCCCTGCCCCACGTGGACCCTGTTCCAGCAGGGTCTGGAACATCAGGAATGTTTGGGGGCCACATTCCTGGGTCTCTGCTCAGTGTTGGCTGGGGCTGAGCTGCGGTCACCCCCTTCCTGCGGGCCCCTCCCCTCGGCGTGGTGCCTGCCTGGGCCCTTGTGTTCCGGCAGGGTCTTGGGTATCTACAGCTCTCCTCTTGCTTTTTGTCCCTGCCCTTCTTCGGGTGGATCATCCGATCCCAGGTAGACGCTTAGCTTCAGCCGTCGCCACTCCTGGGCGCTGAAGCATTTGTTTACTGTCTGAGCTCCTGGCTGCAGGGGCCATAGGACCTTTTGGGTTCTTGATCACTGTCCCGTCATCAGACATTTATTGATCAATGCCCCTGGGGTAATTGAATGGCCCAGATGCGTCCACTTCTGAGCATTGGACAGAGCTGACGTAAAGTGGATTCTTCCCGTTTAGCCTGGGAGCCCAGGCGGCAGTGGGGTCCTCCCATCCAGGCCCTTTGTGGTCCAGCCTGGCCACTTGCTGGGGGCTGGGATGGGTTGGGGAGGCAGGAGGGGACCCTTGTTGAGTGGGTGGGCTCTGTCGCCCTGGACGCTGCTGCTGGCACAGCTATTCTTAGCAGCAGAAACATTTGTCCTCATTCACATGTGGTGGATGCCTCCAGGGATCTACCCTGAAATACTAGAGGCGACCCCATAAATTCCTCAGAAAGCCATCCTTGAGGGCCTGCGTGCATGGAGGAGAAGCGGGAGGAGGCGTTTCCGGCAGCTGCACAGCTGTGGATGTGTTTGCCAGATGTTGGAGGCAGGGAAGTCGGTGGGAACCTTGCGGAGGCCGCCTTCACACTCGGGGTCTGGGCATGGACATGAGCGGGTGGGACAGAGACTGCAGACTGGTGGGCAGAGAGAAGGGCTCTGGCCCTGGCCTCAAGTTTTGGGGTCCAGGGGCCCCTCTGAAGCAGTCAGCCCTTCCCTGGGCCCTGGCCTTGAGGCCACCTGGGTTGGAGGCAGCTGGCGAGGGGAGAGCTCAGCTTATCGGGCGCTTCCGAGGGATCAGAGGTGCAAGTCGCTGCCCAGCCATGCCCTGTGGCCGTCATGGGGTCCTGAGGTGAGGTGGGCCAGAGACAAGGCCTGGACGCATGCTGCACTCGGCTCTGAGGGCCTGCTGAGTGCCGGGGCCACTGGCAACACTTTGCCTTTTATGGGGGCAGCCTGAGCCTTTGGGGCCACCGCGGAACAACACAAGCACAACACTAGCAATCAGGGAGGTCTCCCTGGAGGAGGTGTTGTTTAATTTTAAATTGTGGTAGATACATATAATGTGAAATTTACCTTCAGCCATTGGTAAGTAGATAATTCAGTAGTGTTAAGAATAGCCATATTGTTTAGCAACCGATCTCCAGCACTTTTCATGTGGCAAAACTGAATCGCTATATCTGTTAAACAGTAACTCCCCCTTCCTCGCTCTCCCCAGCCCCTGGTCCCAGCCATTTTCCTTTTTGTCTCTATGAATTCAGTGACTCTGGCCACCTCCTACGAGTGGAATCGCACAGTGTTTGTCCTTTTGTGGCTGGCTTCTGTCACTCAGCATAATGTCAGGAGCTGTGTTCCATGTAGTCTGGGGTTGTTGGTTCATTCTTAGCCATGAAGCAAAACGGATGAAGACCCAGGACCCCAACCCCGTCCGCATCCTTTAGAAACCCCAGGTCCCACCGCCTCTCCAGGTGCTGTCCAGGAGCTCAGCCCCAGCTCAGCCACCCAGCTCCCTGAGCCCCACTCTGGCATGGCCTCCCTCTCTCCTGCCGTCACAGCCCAGGGGCACGGGGTTAAGTGGTTTGCCCAGGTTACACAGCTGGTGCCAGCGTCTCCCTCCCCACTGCCCAGACACCAGCCTCCTCTCTGACTCCTCACTTCCCTCTGCAGAGAAGATTGCTGTTGGGAAGGCCAGATGGAGGAGATGGGTCTAATGGAAAACACGTCCCTCCTGGGGCGCCCGGAACTTAATGAGGAAGAGGCGGCAGAACCAGGCGTAATGTTTGTGAAGTACGCAAGTGGGGAGGGCCGCTCCCCGTGCAGGGCTTCTCGGGTGGAGCCACAGGAACCTGGAGTGCAGGGAGGGTTCGTCCTGCTGTGGTTTATCTCCCTCTCTTCCTTTTAAAATTAAATGGAAACAAAAAAAAAAGGAGGGGAGGAGGAAGTGATTTTGAGCATACTTCGCCGTGGCGGGGGAGCAGGGCCGAGCTGGCTGCCGTCCAGCGGACAGGAACGCTCCAATTATATTGGAAACAGTAACGGGCCTCCTCGGAGGCTCCGACCAACGCCACTTCCCTTTCTGTTCACTGAGGGCGGGCGCCTGGGCTGGCAGGGCCGTGGGGAGGGCCGGGGGTTTGGGCACCCGTATCCTGACTGTGTGGCCTTGGGCAAGTCAGTTCACCTTTCCGAGCCTCAGTTTTCTGATCTGTTCAGTGGGGCGAATTGTGTTTGGTGAATGGAACTGGAGCGTCTGCTGCCTCTGGTGTTAGCATGAGATAAATGTGGCCTGGAGTGGAGGTGGGGCCTGCTTTGCCTGGGGTGAAGGGGTGCAGGAATGGGGAAGCTGGGGGGCTTGAAGCAGAATGTGGGGAATGATAGAGGCTTTCCCAGTGGCCGAGGAGCCTCTCTAGAGGAGGGGAGAGATGGGGCTGGTGCTGGGGGTGGGTTTTGCACCTGGCCTATTTTCCCCTGGAAGCAGGAGCAGGACGTGGCACTGGGGAGACAGGAATAATGGGCTGGGGCATTTGGGCTCACTTGAGAATCACAGGCTCCTCCCAGACTCAGTTTGCCTATCTGCAAGGCGAAGATAGCCATAGTGACTGGCTTGGTTAACATCATCGCCATCACCTCCCTCCTTCCCCCGAGTGGTCGGCGTGGCAGAGGGCAGTAACAGCCACGCTCTCCTTCTGGGGGCTCTTCTGTGGGCCGAGAACTGCACCGAGATTCTTGTAGCTCTTTTTTCCAGTGAATCTTTCCAAGTGAAGCTCAGAGAGGTCAGGACCTCACCCAAGGTCACACAGCTGTGGAAGTGGCGGAGTTGGGATTTGGAATTGATCAGCACGTGGGAGCCCTTTGGAATGGCAGTGTGTCCACAGGAGGTGGCTTGGTTGAGAGGGCACTGGCTCGTTTCAGTGACCGAGGGGCTCAGCCCACAGCCTCCATAGCTCCTGCTCCTACAGGTGCAGCCCACAGCCTCCATAGCTCCTGCTCCTACAGGTGCGGCTAAAACTGCCGAGGAGGAGCCCTGCCTGGTGGGGGAGACAGCGGTAAACAGGTGGCTGTGGCACAGGGGGCCGAGTCCATGGGAGTGGCAGGGGGAGCGGGCCATGGCACCGGGGGGCCCCCTTGGGGTTGGGGGAAGGTTCCAAGGAGGTGCCAGTAGAGGCAGGAGCTGAAGGCTCAGGAGAAGACAGACTGAACCTGCCCCATTGAGTCCAACCAGCCAGGCAGGGCATGTAAACAAAGGTAGCTGAGTAGGAGGGGACGTGGCAAATAGGGAAAGCCGAGCCTATCTGGTGTAGATAGCCTCTGCCCACTTCCAGCCGGCCATGGCTGGAACCTCAGTTTCCCCTGTCAAACGATTTTGTGGTAAAATACGTACAAAATATACCATTTTGGCTATACTAAAGTGAACAATTAGTTTGCATTTAGGACATTCACGGGTTGTGCAACCACCACCTCTGTCTAATTCCAAAACAGTTTCATCCTCCCAGAAGGAAACCCCAAACCCATTAAACCGTCACTCCCCTCTCCTCCCTCCCCACAACCCCTGGCAGCCTCGGGCCTTTGTTCTGTCCTGGGAATCTGCCCCTCCTGTGAAGTTAATGGAATCATGCAGTGCGTGGCCTTTCTGAGCGGCTTCTTTGCCTTTTGTGCCATGTCTTCAGGGCTCACCTGCGTTGTGGCTGAGTCAGCGCTTACCTTTGCGTGGCTGAATCGTAGTCCATTGATGGACAGACTGCGTTTGTTTCATCTGTTTGTCAGTAGATGGACATTTGGGTTGTTTCTGCTTGTTGGCTGATGTAAATAGTGCTGCTGTGGGCATTCTAATCCTTTCTGTTTGTTTTGTCACCAGTTTTCCGTTCCTTGGGGATGTGTAGCTAGGAGTGGCATCGCTGGGTCATGGGGTAATTCTGGGTTTAACCTAGTGACTGTTTTCCACAGTGGCTGCACTGCACATCTGACATTCCCACCCGCAATGTGTGAGCAGCCCTCATTAGGAGAAGCCAGACATTCCAAATTTCCTGTGAAATCCCTCTTTATAAGAGCTGGTCTCTGGGGCTTAGCTGAGCTGACCCTGGGGTGAGGAAGCAAGTCCCAGGAAACTGCCCAGAGGGAGCAAGTCTGGGACCTGACGAGACGCTCCGGGCACCCCAGCTTTCTGGCTTTAACCTGGCCCACGTATCTCTACCCTGTACATCTACCCGGGGTCAAGGAGGAGGATTCCCAGGCTGGAGTCCTCTCGGCCTTTCTCCTCGAACCCAGCTCAAGGGGAAGATGTGCTGGTTTATGCTGAAAAGGGAGAAGTGGTGCCAGGTGGGGGACTCGGGAGAGTTGAGACCCTCCCACGCTGAGTCTGGGTTTGGGACTGGAGGCAGTTTTCCCTAGGGTCCTTCTTACTCAGCAGGCTGGGACTTGGGGAGCAGTTATATGGGTTTGGGGGTTCCTGAAGGCGACAGTGCCTTTCTGTGTCCCTCATGGAGCTGGGCATGTGGGAGGGCCTGGGAATATTAGCAGGATGAAGACATGCTTGGCCCTGGGGATTGGTTAGAAATGTAAGACCAGAAAAACCCGGAAAATGAAGCAGCTAAGTTGATACCCATCTGGTGATGAGTGTGTGCATCCATCCGCCCATCCATCCATCCATCCATCCATGCATCCATGCATCCATCCGTCCATCCATCCATCCATTCGTCTGTCCATCCATCCATCCATCCATCCATCCATCCATCCATCCATTCACCCGTCCATCCATCCATCCATCCATCCATTCGCCCATCCATCCATCCATCCATCCGTCCGTCCGTCCATCCATCCATCCGTCCATCCGTCCGTCTTCCATCTATCCATCCATCCATTCGTCCATCCATCCATCCATTCATCTGTCCATCCTCTGTCCATCCATCCATCCATCCATCAATCCATCATCCATCCATCCATCCATCAGTCCATGCATCCTTCCTCCTTTCTCTATCCATGCATGCATTCATCCATCCATCCTCCTTTCCTCCCTCCCTTCCTCCTTTCTCCTCCATCCTCCCATCTCTATCCCTCTTCCATCTTCTCCCTCCATCCAGCCACCCCCTGCTGAGCACCTGGGTGGGGAGTCTGCCAGTTGGGCCAGACCTGTCACTGGGTGTGGGCCGTGGTCAGCAGGGCCTTTTGCCTTTTGTCTGACTTGGTCACTGCTGTAGCTGTGCTTGTACAGTGTTTGCACATAACAGATGCTGAAATAATTCTCTAATTGATGAGAATGGGTCAGCAACCGGAGTTTGGGATGGGTTTGGCTTGCCTGGTCTCAGCTGGAGGGCAGACCGCACCCTTGTGGGTGGCACCCGGGATTGAGCTCTTAGTATTTGACCCTCAGCCCCTCCGGCAGAGCCAACGACAGGCTGGGGTTGGGTACCTGGCTCTTCCTTAGGGAGTGGAATGACCTTTCTGCCAAGTGAGGGCCAAGGAGTCTGGCCTCATTCCTGCAGGCCTGCCGCTGTGCATGGGTGGAGGCCCGTTTCTCTAGGGCCCTGACAATCGTGGCTGTCATCATTCAGGGTTACAGGGGCCCTTTTACCTGTGCCCCACACTCAGACACCTGTGCCCAGTGCTCCTCGACACAGGGGCAGCTACAGTGTCCTTTGAACACAGAGACGCCAGAGGCAGACTTGCCACAGGAGACCGCACGTCAGCCTTGTTTAAAGTGCACCAGCTGTGTCCTTCCTAGCTCCCTTGCAGTGAACACCCCAGCTTTCTGGCTATAGCCAGAAAGAGTGACCTCACATGCCTTCGCTCACCCCACTCTCCCCATCCAGGCCTCCCTGCTGTCCTCACACACCAGGCTCGGTCCTGCCTCTGGGCCTTTGCACCTGCTGTGCCTGCTGTGTAGACTCCCTCCTCTCCCCGGCGCCTTTGCATAAAAGGCACCTCTGGTGACGCACCCCTGACTGCCCACTTTCAAAATGTACCCCCATTCCCTGCCTGCCGCCTCCTGGTTCTGTTTTTCTCCATCGTGCTAACACCTTCTGCCATCCTCTTACTCCCGTCTCACCTGCTGGAATGGCAGCTTCACGAGGTGGGGGATTTGGGATCAGTAATTCACTGCTGTATCCCCAGCACCTTTCACACAGTAGGTGCTTAACAAATCGTGGTAGACAGAGTGAGCCACCAGGCCGGGCAGCAGGAGCTCTCTCTTCACCCCCTTCCTCATTGGCTGTGGGGGCCCCTCTGGACTGGGCTGGGCGAGGTGCACCCTTGCCACGTCCCACCGGCTTTCCGCATCTCAGGACTCACTCCAGAGCTGGATTCCTGAGCATCCGTTCTGCGCCAGGAGTCCTGCTGAAGGTGGCCATCAGATACTTGGCCAGTTCCCCAGTTTTTACTGCACGCCAGAAAGTAAACACCCAAGGTGTCAACAGCTCGACCCGTGGAGCTGGCGCTCCGCAGCGTCTTGTGCGCACATCCCAGAACTGCTGTCCCAGAGTTCCCCCCGGGCCGGCTTCTCCTCGGGCCAGACTGGCTGCAGTGGTTTTGTTTAGTAAATATTTATTAGATGCCTACTGTGTGCTGGGCTCTGGGGATACAGCAGTGAACAAAACAAGTATTTCTGGAGCACCTCCTGAAGTAGGTAGTGTTCTCCCTTAAGGTACGTCTGCGTGGAACCTGGGAGTGCGGCCTTGTTTGGAAAGGGTTTTTGCAGATCACATTAGTTAAGATGAGGTCACAACCGGATAGGGGAGGGCCCCAAATCCAATATGACGGGTGCCCTTAGAAGAAGGGGAGACACAGAGACAGGAGATGCAGTGGAAAGGCTGCGTGGAGATAGAGGCAGAGGATGGCACGATGCATCTACAAGCCAGGGAACACCGGGGGTTGCCGGGGCCACCAGAGCTGGAGGAGTGAGGAAGTAGGAAGGGCCTCCCCCAGAGCCCCCAGAGGCCGTGGGGCCCTGATGACAGCTGGATATGGACTCGAGGCCTCCAGAACAGTGAGACAATCCATTTCTGTTGCTTGAAGCCATGCAGTCTGTGGTGGGGCAGCCGAGGGCGCTAATACGCCTCGTGTGTGCCAGGTGCCGTGCCTCTCGGTGGCTGTCACACAATAGGTGCTTATTCCACAGTGAGTGGAACAAATACCTACTGAGCGGTGAGGGAGGCCGTATGTGGCTGAGCTGCAGGGCTCCTGGGGCCTGCCTGTCTTCGCAGGGCCAGGCTGGGACAGTGGAGGCACGGCCTGTGTTCCCGCCGTGGTTCCGCCCACCCCAGGGGGGCTTTGTGCCTTGGGCTTCTCAGAGTATCAGAGGGTTCTGTCGAGTGTGTGTGTGTGTGTGTGTGTGTGTGTGTGTGTGTGTGTGTGTGCGCGCGTGCGCGCGCGCTCGTGCCGTGGGCGCTCTCTGCCTGGCAGGTTGGTTTTTAATCCCGAGGCTCCCCCACCTGCCACAGGTTCTTCCAATGTCAGCACCCATTAGTTCCCAGAACATTTCAGGCACGTGCGGCGCAGAGCCCCGCGTGCCTTTCATCCTCCCCACAGCCCGCGGCTGAGCGCTCCGGGCACATCCTGTAGCTCCCACACCTCCACCAGCCCCCGCCTGCCCCTCACCCTGAGGCTGTAATTCCACCCTCCCCAGGTCTGAACCAGGCCGCTCAAGACACAGAAAATCTATGGAATGTGTCTCGGTGTGGCCTCATCCTGCCGGAGCTGGAGAGGAATGCAGGGGTGGGAGGCCCCATGGAAGCTTCCAGGGCCTCCCGGAAAGGCGCCTCTGCCCGGCCAGGTGGGAAGAGGACACAGGTGTGGTGGTTTCTGGCATCACTGCGTTGCTGGCATGCACCTCCGCTGGGCAGAGTCATTCAGTGTGCACCTACTGTGTGCCAGGCACCAGAAGGGGCTCTGGGTCCAGCAGGAGGCAAGGCGGACAGCCAGTCAGAGCTCACGGCCTGAGCTTTCCGCTGTGGATTTGGAAACCTTACCAAAGCCCGCAGTGGCCGGGAACAGGGAATGTGGCCCACTTGGCTTCTGCTGCTGCCTGGCAGAGTGCAGTGGGGGCGGGGGGCACTTGTGTGTTTGCTACCTCCTGGCAGGCATGGCCCAGGGACAGACCCCTGCAGCCGTGCATGGGGAGCCCCTCCACCTGCCTGCGTGGGATCTGCAGCCCTCCTCCAGCTGGTTCAGGGGCCAGCAGGGGCCCTGGGGCTGTGGTTGGTGGCTTGGATGTGCAGAGGCCTGCTTGGGCCCTTGGTGTCCCCGTTGGGTATCCCGGCCACCTGAGATCTACAAGTCCCTTGACCTCACCCAGGCACCGTCTTGTTCTCCTCGGAGGCCTGACCCTCCTGACTCTGCATGGCTGAGCACCTGCTGTTCCCCAGGCACCTCTCGGTATGCCACAGGCACAGGGTCCTCGCAGCGGGCCTGTGCAGCGGGACTCCTGCAGCGAGCTGTTTCCTCGGCCTGCAGAGTCAGCCTCCCTCCTGACTTTCATCCACCTGCCCATTTCCCCTTCTCTGTCGCTGTTGCCCTGATCCCCCAGTGTCCCCTCTCTTGGACATTTGCAGGAGCCTCCCCAGGTCTCCCTGATCCACTCTTGCTGTCCCCAGTGCCTGCTCGTAAAACACTGACCCTTTACTCTCCCCCGCAACCACCTTCTGTGGCTCCCCACTGCCCTGAGAACAAAATCCATCCTTACCCGGGCCCATGGGGCCCTGAATGACTCTGTCCCCACTTCCCCCCATATTCACTCAATGAATTTCTCAAACATAAACGGCACCTGTGCTCACCCCCAGGCCCTCGCTCACCCCTGGGCCTGTGCTCACCGCCTGGCGGGGGCTCACCCCCAAGCCTGCGCTCACCCCCCACCAGCTGGCGCTCACCTCCCTGCTCTTGCTCAGCGGCGCCTCCAGCTGGAGCACTCTCCATCCCCTCGCCTTCACCCTCTGGAAGTTCTTCTTCCTCGTATCTCCTGGCTCTCCCCAGGGCTGGGCAGAGCCCCTGGCCTGAGACCCTCCAGGGCCTGGACCCCGCTGGGTTCACAAGAAGTCCCCAGCACTAGCCCGGGGCTCAGCAGGGACCACAGTGTGTATGTAAATAAATGAATGCCGCCCACCCTTTCTGACCCCACCGCAGCCAGACGCAGCGGCGACATGGGGCGTTTGTGTCTGAATTCCCCCTCCAGCCCGGATCCATCCTCAGAACCTCCTTTGGCCAGGACCAGATCCTGGAGACCCTGGAGGGGCTCCCTCGTCCTCTCCTGCCCCCATCTTTGAGGAAATGATGTCATCATTTTTTTTGGCATTCACTTCCAAACCTGCTGATGAAAAGTCAAAGCTTATTTTTTTCCCTATTCGCAGTGCTGCACACCCGCCTCCTCTATCAAGTTTCAAAACCTTTGCATCACTGCCCTGTAAAACCCTGTAACCATTAGCAGGCCTCATTCCTGCCTCACCCTGCCCTCCTGGTAGCCACCAGTCTCCTTTCTGCCTCGTGGATGTGCCTGTTCTGGACATTTCATATCCGTGGAGTCAGGCAGTTCGTGGCCTTTTGTGTCTGGCCTCTTTGGTTCAGCATGACATTTTCTGGTTATGTGTGGTGTAGGACACAGCCGTCCTTCGTTCCTCTTTATGGCTGAGTAATACTCCATCGTAGGGATGGACTGGAATTTTTGCTGGGTCTGCCTTTTGGCTGCTGTAAATTCTGTTGCCATGAACATGCATACCGTGTTTTGTTTGAGTCCCTGTTTCCAGTTCTTTTGGGTGGATGCCTGGGAATGGAATTGGTGGGTCATATGGTTATTCTATGTTTAAATTTTTGAGGAACCGCCAAACCGTTTCCCTAACATTTGTTTTTTTTCGAGTTGGCAGGAAACGTGGCTCAGGTCGGGAGGGGTTGGAAACTGGGTTTCCTAAGCTCGTGGTGAGTGAGGGTGGCACGAGGTTACTGGAGTTGTTCCCTGTTCAGGCCCCACCGGCATGTGAGGCGCTGGGTGGGGGGCTGGTGGGGGAACCCCTTGGTAGGTGAGGGGCCGAGGTTCCAGCCCCATGCTCCGGGGTGGGCACTGTGTAAATCCCAGGCAGTGGAAAGCCAGCCAGCCAGCTGCGGGGCACTTTAGGACGGTGTCACCCTCCCTGGTCTCTGGTGCCCGTGTGCACCATGGTAAGCGTGTGCCAGGGGCCTGTCACCCCCAGGCAGCATCTCACTGGGCAAAGGAGGAAAGAAAAGCTGTGGGTAAATGAGACCTCTCGGCCACCTTGTGCAACTCAAAATCCAATAGCAATTTGGAAGTTGCCCGTGGTGCCCTTGAAAGAGGGGCAGACCTCGGGAACAGCACCCTGCAGAAGTGACGGCCTTATCTCCTCCGAGAGACCGGGAACTGTTTAGCACCTAGAGAGAAGGGAATAGAATTTGCTTTGCTGCATGAGATGACCAGGGTCTGCAGACTTTGAGCCGAGCTCTAGCAGGAAGAATTTTAGAACAGGGCTGGGTCCTGGTGGCCACAGCTGTTCTCTCTCCCAGGGCCAGACTCTTGTTTCTGGCTGCAGAACGGATGTCTCATTGCTCTTGGGGCCGGGCAGGGCTAGCTGTGCCTTGCCTCCCCATCATAGCGTCACTGGTGACTGGGCTGCAGCTGCATCATTGACAGTCCTGGTGACAGCAGTATTAGGCATTCTGGTTTGCTGAGCATTTACTGTGTGCTGGGAGCTGCTGAGTGCCTGCTGTCCGCCACCCGGCCTTTCCTGGGGTCCTTGCAGGAGGACTTAGGCAGTCGGAATATGCACAGACGTCTTCATGTGTGTGGGAGTGCGTTTGTGATTCCGATGCCTTCCTATTTATTCCACATAGTACTGGGTTTCTGTATACCTATGCTGATAATAAGCTTCTCTTGTATGTAAAGTTATGCCTAACTGAATGAAAGTGACAGGCCCGGGGCTAGACGGCTGTCGCCTGGGTAATCTCTATAAAAAAGTCCCTACGCGGGGGTGGCACATGAATGTCTGATGTTTAGGGAACACTGTGTGTTTGGAGGTTCAGAGAGGGCAAGTGACTTGCCCAAGGCCACGCAGCTTAGCGATGGTGGAGCGGGACGTGTTCCCATGTTCACGGGAATTGCGCCATACATCCTGTCTCGGGGCTGGGAAAGCCCACGCAGGCAGGACCGAGGTGGTGGTAGATGTGTCAGTCTTGGCTCCGGAATTCCTTGGCTTTTCTGTGTTTGAAGGATGGACAGCAGCCAGTTGAAGGGGTGGCCTCCTCTGTGACTCCTTCTTTCCCTGTGTGAGCCCGAATTCTTGGTGGCATGTGACAGAAACCCAGCTTGGGCTGCCAAAGACAAAACGTGCAGAAGGAGTGCCCTGGCTCCCCTAATGAAGTGAGCAGGCTTCGACCTGCCTCCAGCCACCATCGGACACAACCTGCTCTTACCGCCCTTTCGCCCTGCCTTCCTGCCGGTGGGCGTGGGTCTCAGGCAGGCTCCTGCTGCATGGTGGCCCCCAGAGCTCCAGGCTTTCATTCCCAGCTTAGATCCCCAGCAGAGAGCACCTTTCTCCTGGTTCCAGCAGCAAAAGTCTCAAGGCAGATTCTCATTGACTCCTATTGGGTCACAGGCTCATCCTTGAGACAGTCACTGGCCCAGAAGCATGCAGGACTCTGATTGGCCAGGACCGGGTCACATGACCATCCCTGGCACCTGGGGAGGGAGGGAGGGTCAAGTCTACACTAATGAGAGATGAGGTGGGGCCTGGGAGGCAGTCAGGGCCCCCAACCTTAACCTTCCTCCCAATGCCCCTCCACATTAGGCCTCCAAGGGCTTTCCTGCTTGGAGAAGGACGGTTACCCTCTTCAGGTTGGGGGAGGGGGTGTTCTGATGAAATTGCAGGGCTGGGTATGCTCTGTTTCCCCTCCTGACCCCTGACCTCGTGTGGTGCAGCCTCAGTCCTCCGCCACTGGAGGCCCACATCCAGGCGCTGGGTCCCGGTGCCAGGGTGCATTTCCCTCAGCTCTGGGGGGTGTGTGCAATTGTGGGGGTGCTGGAGAGGGCTTTGCATGAGGCAGGACCTGATGGACACACCTTTTCTGAGGGACTGGTTCAGGGAGAGTGTGGAGGGGGCCTTGGTCTGGGATGGGACCCTGTTGTAAGCCCAGCAGGTGGCGTGGAGCTGTGGCTGGCGGAGGAAGGGGAGAAGCCTTGTTGGGGGTGGGGGGTGCTTAGGGGTTTCCTGGCAAAGGCAGCTTCGGAGTAGGGGTCCCCGTGGCTCCCTTGCTGGGCCGTGTCTTCTCTGTGGGGCTGTTTTTCCATCTGTAAAGCTGCTAGCCCGCTTCGTGTTATTCCTCTGGCGTGGCCACGAGTAGATCCTCTCCCGTGGAAGGCTCCAGTATCTGCCCCAGGAGCCGTTTGGGGTACCTATCCCTAGGCTGCAGGGCCCGACTGGCTGTCATTCTGCCCTTGGCTCTTCCTGGTGTAGCCCTCCATGTCCTAATCCCACCTCCTAGTTTGCATCTGGCTAACCTCATATCAGTCCTGTCCCATGTCATGGTGTCAGCCTCCTGCACAGGGTCATAGCCTTGCCCAGGTCATGCTGTGGCCTGTGGCCCGTGGCCCGCCTGAGCTGGCCCTGGTCCCTGCTGCCCGGGACAGCGGTGTGTGATGTCCCTGCTGCCGGCCGCCCCTCCTGGGACAGGTGCTTTCTGGGAATTCTGCCCTGTGACTTAGAAACCCGGGGGCCATGGAGTGAAGTTGGATGGGCTTAGGGGGGCTGGGAGCCATCTGGGTGGTGGTGAGGGCAGCGCAGAGTCCCTGTGCCTGCCGGGTGAAGGCCTGGGTGGGGAGGAGGCCTCTGGTCCCTTGCGTGGCTTGCATGGCTCGGAGGGACCTTGAATGCCATGCCTGTCTCCTTGTGCTCCCGGAGAACAGGTGAGTGTGGCAGTGGATGGAGGAGGGTCCAGGCAGGCCCCTGGGTGCTCGCGTGTCCTCACGGGACCACAGGAACGACTCGGGGACCTGTGCACGGAGGAGCCAGCTGCCCCGTGGCTGATCTTGTTTTTCTTTTCTTGTTTTCCCGCAGGTGCCAGTGACGGGGTGGCCCGTGAGCTGATGACGAGGACTGGCTTTTAATCCTTGGTGGTGATTAAGAGAAAGCTTATTGGGGCCTGGGAGCAGCTCCCCGCCGACCCCCACCACCATGTCGGGATCCACACAGCCTGTGGCACAGACGTGGAGGGCCACTGAGCCCCGCTACCCGCCCCACAGCCTTTCCTACCCAGTGCAGATCGCCCGGACGCACACGGTAAGGGGGTGCACATGTGTGCGCCTGGGGCTACCTTTGAGACCCTTCTTCCATTCCACTGAGTCTTCACCCCTTCCTTTCTCCTGGGAGCCAGGCTCATGTGGCTCTGAGCCTCCCAGGGCAGAGGGGAGGCCGCCACAGAGACCCCTGGTGTCTGAAGCCTTTTCCAGAATATCTGATAAAATCTCTTTGCTCCCATTTTAAAGCTGGGAAGATGGAGGCTGGGGCCAGGCTGAGCTGGGGCTCTGCCCTCTCTGGACTGGTAGTGGGATTGGCACGCGAATGTGGAGCTCCTGCTGTATTCACTTTCCTGCAGCCTAGCCTCACCTCTGCTCCCCCGCTGCCGCAGTATTGGGTAGGATTGGGGTGGCTTCCAGGGGGCAAGGGGGCCGGATAGGTCACAGCTCCCCTTCCTTCCTGTCCTCCCGTTCCGTGTGTATTCACCTTGGTGCGGCTCGAGGCTCTGAGGTGAGGAGGCCCCACACAGGTTGCGTTTCTGCCTCCCTGACATGAGGGTCCAGGGTGCTGGCTGTGTCTTTGGGGAGCCCGCCCTGTGGCCAGGGCAGATGGCTTGCCCTGGGAGCAGGTGGGCCTCGCTGCCTGCCCACATGTGTGCCCTGGTCGGGTCTCCTAAGCCGCACCCCACCCCACCCCACTTCCCAGCGGGGGCCCCATTTCCTGCCTCTTCTCTCACTGCATGGTGTGGCCAGGACAACGGGCCTTGGTTTCGCTCCTTTGGCATTTATGGGGTGCTTGCTGTATACCATGTCTCTGGGTGTTTGCCAAGCGGCTTTCAGAGTTGTGGGCCTCCCCCTTGTGACCTCCTGGCTGCTGAGTGAGGGGATGTGAGGCCTGGAGGTCACAGCTGGAGTGAAGCTGACCCTGCCGGCCACCGTGGGGGTGCGTGTGTGCGTGTGTGTGTGTGTCTGTCCTGCCTGGCTGGTGTGGTCCCCTCTTGTGAGAACCAGAAAGGAAGCTGTGTGGGAGGACGTTTCCATCAGTGAGCAGAAGGTTTTGCATATAAGCTCACTGGCCCTGCCTGGGGGAGTCCCTGACACAGTGGCCTCCTGTAGGTTGGGCCCCTGGGGCGCTTTGCAGAGTCAGCTGTCCTCAGTGGGTGCGTTGTGGATCCCTCTTAGGACGGCAGTTCCCTGGGCAGAGTCATTGCATTCTCCTGGGCGGCCCTGTGAAAGAGCAGCTCACGCTCTCATCCCACTTCGCAGATGAGGAGACTGAGGCCCAAGAGGTTAAATCACAGGCCTCAGGTGCGATTGCCCTAAGTGGGGAGGCTGCCACAGCATCGGGGCTCCAAGCTTCTGTGTCCCCCCACTCCCCCGTGCCTCTATTTATTGAGCACCTACTGCGTGCCTGGGGCTAAGGAATAGACTCCCAGTGGGAAATGATTTTATATTTTGTCATCATTGTCTTTATCTGTCACCACCACCAACAAAAAGAAGAGCTCTTGTTAACTGAGCACCTACTATGGGTCAAATGTTGTTCAAAGCCCTGAGTGTATATGGTTGTGTGCATTCCCCTGATCACCCCAGAGTGGGACTATCATGCTCTGTATTTTGTCAATGGGAAAATATTTCACAGGGTAGGAAACTGGACAAGTTACGTAACCTCTCTGAGCCTCAGTTTTGTCACCCATAAAGTGGGGGTACTGAGAGTACCTGTCTCCTAGATTCTCACGAGGGGTAAAGGGGATATGCCGAATGTTCTTAAGATGGCGCCTGGCTCAGGGCCAGCCCGCTCTGTCCGTTTGCTGCTGCCGTTCCTTGGTCTTGTTGCTGTACCTGCAGCTGCCCAGAGGGGAACCTGCCTGCCCTGGGGGTGCTGCTGGCTTCTGGTTTCTTGTCCTGTCCTGTGGAGGTTCCCACTCTTCTCAACCGCCCTCACCCGGCTCCTAGCCTTGGGGAGTCCTCAGGCTGCTGTGGCCTCTGCTCTCCCACCCCTCCTGCCCTTTGCCCCAACTGGGCCCTCGGGGTCACTGGCTGACCCTAGACACCTCCCATTCTTCTCCTGCTGGGCCGTCAGTGACGCAGGATGTGGGTGGACAGGGCCAAGCGCTCACCGCCCCCTCCAGGCAGGAGGCTGAGGCCAGGGAGTGAGTGGGGCCCAGCCTGGCGGCCACAGGTGAGAACATGTCTGTCCTTGTGTGGGGGCAGCAGGGGCCACCTGTGTGTGCTCCTCCCTGGGGGAGCTGCCCCATATCGGACCCTCCTGCCTCATGGTAGGGCTGCCCATCCAGAGAATCCTGCTTGTCTCTTGAAGGGCAGGAGGAAGAGTTCTGGGCACTCTGAGGAGGGCCCTGCTGCCCTGGGCATATTGCAGGGTGGAGCCGCTTTCTTGCTGTGGGTTGGAGGTGAGCTGGGGGCTGTGATCTGGAGGCCCCTCCCTGGAAGCCCCTCAGCCCTCAAACCCTTCCTGTCCTTTTAAAGGGCAAGACCCAGTTCGAAAGATACTACCCCCTTCCTGAGCTCCTCATCAAGCCACAGAAAGACAGATCCCCCCGGGTAAGGGGACAGTCAGTGGCGGGAACCTGGCTGTCCTGGTTCCTCGTACAGTAGCCGAGGCCATTCTGCTGGGATCCACGGGATGCCTCAGTGACCTTCCCAGATTCAGGTCACCTCCACGCATACTCCCGACAGGCCTACCTCCTGGGACAGCTCCTCCTGTCTGGAGAGTCCTCTTCCTGGTGCTTTGGGCACGGGGCTGCTTTGATGGCAGGTCTTCCCTGGAGCCTGTGAGACCTCAGTGTGGCTTCGAACCCTCTCCGTGTTCAGCTTGCTGAGTGGCATTGGCCCGCTCACAGCCACGTGGAACGGCCTCAGTTTCCCCACCTGCAGTACCGGTGTCCTGGTGGGTCTGTGCATCGGTGGCAATGTCTGCACGCAGCAAGCGCGGGGTAGTCATCTCTTTCCTCCTGGAAGGGTGGCAGGAGACCCAAGCAGGGCCTCTTCCCCCTGGGGAACCACAGGACCGTGGATGCCGAGCTGGCGGTGGAATGGTGCAGGCCGTGGAAGCCGCTGCCTCTGCCTGTGCTCTGCCCTGGCGTCATCTGCGGGCTGCTGGTGAGTGATTCCCAGCACAAATGGGAGGCTTCACTTAGTTGGGTGCTTGCAGACAGAGGCCTGGACCCTGAGACCATGGAAAGCCCCCAGGTTCCCTGACTCAGCCTCAGCCATGCTCCAGGCTTCTATATGCATCATCCCTGCCCTCCCGCTTCCTACCTGCCGCATCCCTCTGTGCCTCATTCTCTCCATCCTCAGGGGCCCAGCTTCTCTCCGTGACAGTAGCAGGATCCTATGACTCTCCCTGAGGGTCCTGGGGAAGCGAGGGTCTCCAGGGTTGAGGGTCCAGTAACAAAATGCTCACAGCTTTTGTTTTCCCGGAGATCAACGCCTCCTCCTCTCCTGGCCTCCTTTCAGGCTTTCTGTGGCCCAGCTGCATTCTGCCTTCTTCTTCAAGTCCTCTGGGACCCCTGAACACTCCTGAGCTCCTCCAGACCTTGGGCTAAACGAATGGGCTAAAGGAATGCAGTTAAAAGCAGGGACACAGAGTCTGAATCCCAGCGTGACTCTTTTCTGCTGTGTGGCCTTGGGCAAGTTACTTAACCTCTCTATGCCGCAGTATTGAAGACTGGTTCATAGCACCGGTTCTGGAGCCAGGTTGCTTGCATTTACATCCTGCCCCAGTGATGTCCTAGCTGTGAAACAGGGGGCAAGTGGCCTTACCGTCCCGTGCCTCAGTTTCCCTATCAGTTGAGCAAGGATAGTTTTAAGATTGTGAGGATCCAATTAGTTGGTAGGTGCAGAGTCCTTCGCACAGGGTATGGACAGAGTAAGCAGACATTTGATATAATCAATAATGTAATGATGACGATGCTATTATTACAACATCGCCTTTAGTAGCTTTTTCTGTCTTGCCCCAAGGGTACACTTTGGGCTTTGCCCCTAGGGCAGGGGTGAGCACAACCTTCTCTGTAAATATTTCAGGCTTTGCAGGCCATGCAACCGCCCTTCGCGGCCCGTATGGTGTGAAAGCAGCTCAGCCAGGGTGTAAGGGAGTGGGCGTGGCCTGTGCCTGTGACACTGGACGCTGCTGCCTTGGCCTTGGGCCCTAGTGTGCTGCCTCTTGGCCTAGATTAGCTCTTATCAGACTCCCTATGGGAAGGACCGGTCTGTTTCATTTCCAGTTTGTCACAAATCGATATGGGGTCCCACTGCACAGACGCAGGGGCTCAGCCAGGCCCAGTCCGGCAGGGTCAGACAGAGTTGGTTGTGCCCTTGGATGCCAGGGTCACGCCAACCCCAGAGGTCTGCATGCTGTCATGTTCTGTGCCCACTTCGTTGCAGTTGGCAACGTTGCAGACCTTTGGTGGAGTAGTACTGCCCTGGGCTAAGGCTCCCAGACCCTGGAGACTGCCTGGGCCAGGCTGGGGCAGGTGGGCGCGTGGGGATCACTGGAAGAGGCTAGACTTGGGAGGCTTTGCAGTGTCCTGAGTGCCCTGGGGGGGGTCTCTCCATTAGCTTCATGGCCCCCTTGCAGCTCAGTTCCTGGTGCTTGGTGATGGCTCTTAAGAGGCTGTTGAGGGATGGTTTGGCCCTCAAAAGAGAGGCTGGTGGGAGCTCCCATGCTGGGGAAGATTCATTCATTCATTGGGAGCTCCCATGCTGGGAGATCCATCCATCCATCCATCCATCCATCCATCCATCCATCCATCCATCCATCCATCTGGCAAATACTTATCAGGCGTCTCGGGCCCGTCCTCTTCCAGGCCCTTGCAGTGCAGCTGTGAACAGAACAGGTAAGCATCCTTGTCTCAGGGAGCTGACCTCCTTGTGGGGAATGGCGAGTTGGGAAGGAGATGAGGGGAAGGGCTGAGGTTGGGGGAGCCCAGATTTAAGTAGAGAGTCGGGGAGGAGCCTCACTGAGAAGCTGCCTTTGGAGCTGAACCTGGAGGAAGGGAGAGGGCCAGGCATGTGGGAATCTGGCTGAGGAATGTTCCAGGCAGCAGGAACAGTATGTGCAAAGGTCCTGAGGTGGGAGCTCTCTTGACTGTAGCCGCCATCATTCCGGGAGAGACCCGTGAATGCAGCCAGGGTCTAGGAATGTGCTGAATTCTTCCTTTGCTTTCCCATGAATCCAGGGTCCAGGAACGGGCTGAATTCTTCCTTTCCTTTCAGTGTGCAATCCCAGGCATTCCCTTGACACCTTCTGGAGTAAGGAGCCCTATGCAGGGGCCAGAGAGGGGCACTCCTCTCCCGCAAAGGAACTTCTCCCAGTCCATGCTCAAACATCCCCCCGCATCTAGCCCCTTTCTCCTCTCTGCCCCCAGCCACTCCTCCCCACCCTTGGGACCCAGCCAAGAAGGCACCAGCTGGGATTCCCTCCTGGATGAATGGCTTTTTCTGGTGGCCTCTCACCTTTCCCAGGAGTTTTAAGGGTGTAATTTATTGGTGGCCCTGATTTCCAGCTTCAGAGGTGCCATGGTCAGGGAGAACCCTCTGAGGCCAGGGGGCATCACCTGAATGGCTTTTTCCTGCCTCCCTTTCTGAGCAGCTGGGTCAGACTCCCTCTGCCCAAGTCAGGTTTGCTGCTGTCCTACAGGGACAGGTTCAGAGCCTGGGGACTGTCCCCTCTTGTCCCTCCTCAGAAAGCCAGCTCAGCCTTTGCCTTGCATCTCAGAACGTACCCCTTATTGCTGTGTGACGTGGACAAGCCACTTACCCTCTCTGTGCCTCTGTTTTCTCGTCTTTGTGTGGGGCTTCTTGTAATACCCACCTCACAGGGTTGCTGTAGGGATGAAATTAACTAATATATTTAGAGCGTTTAGCTGCAGGTACACAAAGGCAATTTATTACTGTGGGGTATTATTGTTGTTTTTTATGATTAATGTTGTCGCGTTGGGGAGCTCTCCTGCTTGGAGACGTGGCGAGGTGGTTTCCAGCCTGGGCGTATTCCAGCTCATGGGACCCCTTGGGCTCCACCTCAGGTCAGTTTCTCTGGTGGGGCCTCCCCAATTCTTGCCTTCCCCTAGAGCCTCCAGGTACTCTTGTTGGGGGAGTCCCTGGGCTCAACCCTGGTGACCTGCTTCAAGCCTAGTGGTGGGGGCCAGTGTGGACCGAGTGTCTCCCAGGGTTTAGGGTCCAGTAACAAAATGCCCACAGATTTTGGGCAGAAACGGCACCCAAGATGCTCCTAGGAGGATCTCCTAAATTGGGAAACGAAGGCCAAAGGGTTCATGCAGAGGCCTCCCCAGCCCCCACTTCGGGCCTCCTCCACCATGGTTGGCTGCCGTGGGCACTATCGGGCCGAGGCCCTCTTCCCAGGGACTGGACCGTCCGCCCTGCTTCTCTGCCCACTTGGCCTTGGTATGGGAGAGCTGGGTGGAGAGGATCCTCCTGGCAGACTGTGAGGCCTGCTGCTTTCTTCTCACACCTCTGTGTGTGTGGCAAGGTCTTTGCCTGGCAGCTGCGTCATTGTCAGCCCAGTGGCCTCCTCCACTCCCTCCCTCCAGCCCCGTCTTCTCCCTTCTCCTCCCACTGAGAGCACCTAGAGTCTTGTGCTAGACACTGTGGGATGCAGGAGGAGGCTCGTGCCTTTTCTGCCTTCTGGAGGCTGCTCTCAGCCTTGGGGGAATCCCTCAGAGAGGTGAGGGAGATGAGTGTAGGAGGTGCAGGCCTCCTTTAATCTGGGCTGGGCACCCATTTCAAAGAGGAGAAACTGAGGCTCAGAGGGTTAGAATAACAGGGCCAAAGACACACCTTCTGTTGGAGGCCTTGCAGCTTTTGGTATCTACATCGGACTGTCCAGGGAGGTCCTTTCCCCAGCTTTTCCAGCTTCTGAGGCTGCCAGGGTCCCCATGGATTCCACTTGCTCATCCTTCCTGGCCTCTGGGCTCCCGGGCTCTTATGTGCTGATTTTGTTGGGTCTGCAACAGATACATTATCAACGCACCCACCTGGCATTGTCTCTGATTCTCTTTGCAAAAATAACTGCCTTGTTGAAAAAGCCAGACAACAAAAGAGTGACTAGATTTTTATGGAAAATTGGGAAAATTAAAAAAAGGTGCCAAGAAGAGACGAAGTCCCTTGTAATCCCACTCTCTAAAGCCTTACCTGTCAGACATCACTAACTGATTGCCGCAAACAGCCTCACTGAGTGTTCCAGGCAGACAGAACTAATCTATTGGAATTGGTGCGTAAGTGAAGCCTGTCTTGTTTTTGTTTGAGAGGCTTGTTACTGTCTTTTTTTTTTTTTTTTTTTTAAACACAGTTTAATGTTTCTCAAATCTGGGTGTACTTGGCAATTGGTATACATCTAATTTGTTGATATTGAGTTTTACCCCCTATGATAATGGATAATGTGTTAAAGAAACAAGTATTTGGACTCTTGTTAAGCAGGAAGACCGTACAGGACAATTGTGCTATCAGCGTCAAGACTGTCACGATAAGGGAGAGAGACCAGGCTCAGCGCCAAATACGGCCAAGACAGCTGGGGCCTCATAGCCTAGCCGCAGGGCGGAGGGAGGGGTCGGTGGATGGAAAATTACTAAGAGGAGCGCTTGAGGGTGGGGGGTTCCTCTAGACTGACTTAGCAGGATGCCTGCAGCTGGGCAGAGCCCCGCAAGGCCAAGGCCAAGGCCGAGGCCCCGTAGAGAGAGGATGGGTCAGAGGAGCTTGACTCAGGTGTGGGCAAGGAGAGTCTTTGTCAAATGGACGACGGTGTGTTATTAAAGGAGGAAGGTCTGCCTAAGGCTTACCCTTCTGGCTGTGATACGAGCGGGGAGTTCCTCTTTTACAGGGCGGCCTTGGGGTCAGGGGTCGCTTTGTTCTGAAACCTGGTCTTTGGGCCTCGCTGGCTGTCGGGTGTTTGTCGCCATCACTTGCCACCATCCATCCTTCTCCTGGCGAGTGAGGCCCGAGCCTCGTTCCCTCGCGTGGGCATCACTTACCCACCCTGCCAAGAGCTGGGCATCTAGGTTGGGCCTTTTCCCAGTTGTTGCTGCAAATGCATTTCTGTTTTTACAAATAATGCTGCCCCGTATGCACCTTCAGTCCTGTCTTCCCAGGCCTGCATTTCCAAGCTTCAGCTCCTCAGGCTGGAGGGACCCACAGCCTGGCAGGGGTAGGATGGGGTGGGAGGGTAGAAAAGCGAAGACAGCTTCCTCTACTCTGGCCCCCCAGTCAACGCCAGCATGGCCGGCAGACAGAGGCCATGGTTAGGATGGTTCCAGGCCTGTATTAGCCTGTGGCCTCAGACAGCCCCATCAGACCTCCCAGGCTTGGCAGTCTCATTTGGAAGGTGGGCGTGATCGTGGGTCCCTGGGATGCTGTGTGGGAAGGATGCAGCCCAGGGCCGTTCAGCTGTGTTCTTTCTCCTCCTTGGTGTTCGGCCCCAAGGGTAGCCTCTGGCCAGACGGTCCCTGAGGTTCCCTGCAGGACTTGGGCTTATCTGCCTAGGGCAGGAGCGAGCCTGAGCAGGGAGTCCACGGCCTTGCCCACTGTGCCCTGCCGTGCCCCGCCATGCCCGTGCCCGCCCACGCTCACCACTCCTCTGTCCCCTCCTGCAGGACGTCGGGCTCCTGGAGTACCAGCACCACTCCCGCGACTATGCCTCCCACCTGTCGCCCGGCTCCATCATCCAGCCCCAGCGGCGGAGGCCCTCCCTGCTGTCTGAGTTCCAGCCCGGGAATGAACGGTGAGGAGAGAGTTGCTGCCTCCCTGTCCAGGGCGTGAGAGCTCCTTCTCAGATGGAGAAGCAGAGGCCCGTGGCAGAGCAGGAGCACACAGGGTCCTGTGAAATGAGGGGATGTCGGGCCGTGTGTTCACCCTTGACCTGGCGTGGGCGTGACTCGGGGTGAGGATGGGACGAGCAGGGAAGAGCCACGTGGCCCTCAGACTTCCAGCGTGGAACTTCAGTGGCCTCTGTGGGTTTAGGCAGCAGTGGGGACCTCCAAGCTGGGCTGCAGCAGGGCTGGGCTTCTGTGGGAAGATTTGAGTCCACACCTGGTGCCCCTGGGGCCCCTGCCCTCTCCTCCCATTCTTCCTTCTTCTCCAGCTGGCAGAGGACACCCTCTGGTGTGTGCCTGTGCTGGGCCAGCCTTACTTTCCTTGATCCAGGTGGGAAGGGAATGAACAGGTTAGGTGGTAGGGTGAGAGGGAGGTGGGGAGTGGGAGGGAGGTGGGGTGGGGAGCTGGAGGGACTACAGCAAGGGGAGGGCCAGGGCTGGGTCAGAGCCAGCTCTCCATGCATTCACTTGGGATCGGTAGGCCACGTTCTTTCTCCCATCTTCTCTAGGAGCTTCTGCTGGAGACGGCTGAGGTGTGGGGAATTGTGCCTATTTCTCAGATGGGGCAGCTGAGGCTGCGAGGTTGAGGGATGGGCTCTTGTTTACTCAGCCAGGACTAGAAGTCGAGGCACCAGGCCCCAGCCCTTCATGGTACCACGGAGGTGTCCCAGGGCCCCAGATCAGGCGGGGCTGGTGAACTCAGGTGGGCGCAGGCGTCTGGAGGAGGGGAGGCCGAGGCAGCGTGCCTTCTGTACCTGGATTGGTTTCCTGGGCCTGCCGTCGCAACGTGCCACAAACTGGGCGGCTTCAAGCCACAGAAGTGCATTCCCGTGATCTGAAGTCAGGGCGTCCGCAGGGCCGCGCCCCCTCAGAAGGCTCAAGGGGAGGATGCTTTTCTGTCTCCTCCAGCTTCTGGGGGCTACAGGCGTTCCTCAGCTGTGGCTGCATCGGTCCAATCTCTGCCTCTGCCTCTGCCTCTGTCTCACGTGGCCATTTCCTTGTCTGTCTCTGTGTTCTCTTGTTGTGTTACAAGGATCCCAGTGATCCTAATCCAGGATGGCCTCATCTTAGCTTAATTCCATCTGCAATGACCCTAGGTCCAAAGAAGGTCTTATTTTGAGGTTCCAGTGGCTGTGCATTTTGGGAGGATGTTATATTTGGAGGTTCCAGTGGCCGTGGATTTTGGGAGGACATTATTTGAGCCACTGCAGTGCCACTATCATGTTTAAGAGAAAACACCATGCGCTTCCTGCCAAGCCCCATGTAATGGTGAAGCCCTGGGTTCTGGGCCTTGAAGAGGGGGATGTCTTGGGGCCCAGCTTTGGAGGGACAAGGACTTGAGGGCCCTCCAGGGAGGTGAGCACAGAGGGGTGGCTGCCCCGCTCCCCGGGGGGGCCAGCAACACGGCCCCAGCCCGTGCTGCAGTGGGCAGCATTCAGTCAGTCTACAGGCACTGATTGAACACCTACTGTGCGCCAGTACCTGGGGACAGCCATGAACAAGACAGGTGAACCACCCTGCGTTCATTCATGGGTGGGGGAGGTGGCCAGGAAACACCTGTTGTCACCAAGCGCGTGGGAGGGCAGTGGAGAGAGAGCAGACAGGCGGGTGTAGTGTGGTCTGGCCTGGGACAAGGAGGCGCCATCTGCACCATGACAGGAAGGGGAGGAGCTCACATGGAGGGCCTGAGGTCTCAGTGCTCCAGGCAGAGCCCAGCAGGTGCAAAGGCCCTGGGGCAGGAGTGCAGTGGCGGGACAGCGAGGGCCAGGCCAGGCAGGGCTTGTGCAGGAGGGGAACAGCTGTGGATTCCCTGCTTAGCCTCTGGGAAAAGCATTTCAGCAAGGCCCATATTCAGGCTCTTTCTGGTGGGTGATGGTTGGAGCCTCAGAGGTGGAGGCCAGGAGTCCCAGCTCCGTGGGGTGTGCTTAGTTAGGCAAGGCCATGCCCTCTCTAGGCACACTGCGGAGGAGGGTTCAGGAGAGCCAGTCGCTGGGGAAACTGGGCAGCTCCAGTCTCTGCACCAGGCTGCTAGGCTGAGTTGAGAAGGTGGTTAGGCCAGGTTCAGCAGCAAGAGTTCTGCGATCGGCCAGCGATGTCTGCCCTGCGTGGGTGAGAGGGAAATGGCATCACGGGTGCTGTTATCTGTGTTAGGCTCACAGCGTTTCCCGGATGGACTGTGCCTGTGAACCACCCAATGATCTTGTTAAAATGCCGAGTCTGACTCAGTAGGCCTCAGATGGTACTGGAGATTCTGCATTGTAGCCAGCCCCAGGTGGGGACGGTGGGGTGGTCCGTAGCAAGGGAGGGGCAGTCACTCTGGGGTGTTCCAGTGCCACCGTAGCACACTCCCTCCCTGTAAATGTCCTCGGTGAATGTGGACCTGAAGGAAGGCAGCGCTGCATTGGAGTCCTGCCCTGCTGTGGGACCGTGGGAGGTGGGCTCCTGTGAGCACCTTCCTGGCAGGATCATACAGAGCACGGCGCGCAGTAGATGCTCGGCGCAGAGGGTGGTCGGGGCCTCGGGAGTTCTCAGAGCCGCAATCTCCTATGTGACGTTGGATGCCTCACCTCCTGCAGGTCCCAGGAGCTCCACCTGCGGCCAGAGTCCCACTCATACCTGCCCGAGCTGGGGAAGTCAGAGATGGAGTTCATTGAAAGCAAGCGCCCTCGGCTAGAGCTGCTGCCTGACCCCCTGCTGCGACCGTCACCCCTGCTGGCCACGGGCCAGCCTGCGGGATCTGAAGACCTCACCAAGGTAAGCCTGGGCCCCCAGCTGGGAGCTCCTCTCCCGCTTGAGGTTCTGCTGCTGGTTGGGCTGGGTGGGAGGTGGTGGGTAGGGGTGCAGGGAGGGGGCAGCTCGGGCAAAGGCTTGGAGGTGGGCCAAGCACCGGGTGCACAGAGCTGGGTGGCAGGAAGAGGGCAGGCGCTGGGTCTCTGGAGGTGCCAGAGTGTGGGAAGAAGTGGGGAAGGTGTTCCAGGTGGGCAGAGCAGCAAGTGCAAAGGCCCTGGGGCAGGAATAGGCTTGTGGTCACGGGGTAGCTGGCGTGAGGGAGGGGAGAGCTGGGATGGGAGGGCCTGGGGTGCCGTGGAGCAGAGAGCTGCCATTCGATGGGGGTCAGGACCGTCCTGTGGTCGGTGGGCAGCTTTCAGCACATTCTGAGAGCTTCCTCGAGGGTGGGTTGTTTGGTTCCATGCTTGCTTGGAACAGGGGGCTCAGTGACCCCTGCCTCGAGCCCTGCACAGCAGGCAGCCCCCTGGGCCTTGAACCCCGGCCCGCGAGGTGGACAGCTCAGGGCTCTGCCAGGCACCTGAGGCTTCTGGATTCTTAAGGGTCAGGGAGGGGAGACTCCAGAGTCCCGCAAAGTGAGATGAGACAGAGTTGGCTCAGCACTAAAGGGGCGGTGCTTGGTTAGGACATGGCCTGGACCCCTAGAATGACAAAGCCGCCTTCTACTGCCCAGTCTGGCTGCTCCTTGGGCCACCGTGTGGCACTGGGCTAGCGTGGGTTGAGTCTGCAGCCACCCAGGCCTGAGGGACCACGGATGCACTTTGGGCAGGGGAGCCAGACAACTTCAGGCTCGTCTGCATCTCCATGGGGGGCTGCCTGGCATTGCAGGTGGGCCCAGGCCTCACCTGGGCACACTCACTTATCCCAGGGCCCTCCGTCCATCTGCCCTCAGGTGACCCAGGTGCGATTTCCACCACCCCCACCTCCACAGCTGTGCTGCCTTTGTGCCTCTCTGATCCCCATTTCTTCCTCACTGATCTGGGACCTTGTGGGCAGGGTGTCACCTGGTCATGTGGGTAGAGGGCTCGGCTGTGGGCCCCATGCGTGGGAACTATTTGGCACCCGTGAGCCGGCATGGGTGGTGGTCTGGCTGCGGGGCCAGGCCACCTGGGCCAGACTCGGCCTTCTCTCGGGGAGAGAGGATACCTGCGTGGAACCTGGGATATCCCTGGGGTGGGCTTGGGCTGGCAGGAGGTGGGGGTGCCGTCCTGGGGCTGGGATGGCTGGGCTTCCCCTCCTGCTCTGAGTGGCTGTGGCCCCGACACCTGCACACCTGCCAGATACCCACAGGGCTGCCTCTGGGGCCAGGGGAGGGAGGGGCTGGGGTGTCTGTGTGGTCGTTGGCTGGCTTGGCCTCCCTGCCACTGGGGCAGTCCCCGCCTCACCAAGTTGTCACAGGAAAGTGGAGGTCAGTTAATGAACTCCTAGCCAACAGACCACATGCGCCTGAGAGCCCACTCAGGAACCTCCCCCGGCGGATGCAGCTGTGTTCTTGTTGGCACTCAGGGACTCCACCCTGGCCACCTCCCTGCTCTCCTGCGTACTTCCAGTCCATCAGCAAATCCTGACACCTCTGCCCTAAAATATCTCAATTCCAGCCTTCTGCCCACACCTGAGGCAACCCCCGGCCTGAGCTCGTCATTGCTCTCCAGTAACTTTGCAGTAGCCTCCTCCTGGGTCTCCCTGCTCCTGCCTCCCTCTACTCCCTTCAGTTTATCTTCCAAGCAGCAGCCAGAGGGCTCTTATAAAGGCAGACGACTGCATCCCCCTGTGTGTTCCCCCCTGTGCTCCAAACCATCCATGGCTCCTGTCTCAAGCAGGAAAAAGCCAAAATCCTTGCCATGGGCTGCAGGTCCGGCGTGATCCAGCCCCGTCACCTCCCTGACCTCATCTCCCTGCAGCAGCCCTCTCAACCGCTCACGTACAGCCTCCCAGGCCACCCTGGAGTTCCTCAAACACGCCAGGCACATTCCCACCTGGGGACCTTTGCACCGGCTGTGCCCTCCGCAGGAGCGCCCTCCCCCAGGCACATTCCTCTTTCCTCGCTCCTTCCAGCCCTGGCTGCCCTCCAGGGCCTGCATGGCAGGGGAGACCTGTGGCTAGCCCTGTGGGGACTCTCGAGGCCACTCATGGCTGAGGCTGCAGCCCCACCACGTCCTCCTGGGGTGTGAGATTCAGCCACAGGGGCCCTGCCGGCCTTGAAGGGGGTCTCTGTGGCCTGGGGCTTGGGCCGCCTGCACTTGGGTCTGGGCTTGGGACTGGTGTCGATGCCAGTTCCTCTCGGGCACTGCCCCCTCGGGTACCCCAGCCAGCATCCCTGCCCCGACGCCCAACCCTTCCAGCACATCCTTCCTGCCCTTCCTCCCCTTCCTTCTCTCCTTCTACACCTTCCTCCCTCCTTCTTCCTCCCTCTCTTTCTTTCCACCCAAACAGCCCCCCTGTCCTGCTCACTCCCCTTCACCCCCTGCTTCCTCAGCTCCTGCCATCTCTCCCTGCTCATCCCCTGGGGCAACCTCCCTACCACAGAGCCACTCCCAGCCACCACCCAGCGCCACCCAGCCCATCTGCCTGCGGCCATCTGTCCTTGCCTTCATTACCTGCCCCTCCCCCTCACCTCCCAGCCGCCCCTCACCCATGGGTTCTGCCTGCCATCATCTCCCACCAGTGGCCTTGCCCCTCCCCCATCCACTCACCTCCCCCATTCCCTTGCTCCCCCACCCCCTACCCCCATCCGCTCCCCCTCCTTCCCCCACTCGCCTGGAGTCCAGGGTCCTGTGAGCCCAGTCAGCCCTTGCAGGAACTCACAACTCACAGCCGGACAAGGGCGCCTGGGGGTGCTTGGCCCGTGGCCATTTCTTGGCTGGAGAACGACACCTCCCACGTGTGTGTCCAGCCTGGGGCCTGCCACGCCTCCAGTGCCCTCCACAGCCCTTTGATTTCACTCCTCTTTGAAACAGAAAGTGGAACCTAGACGGTGGCGGTGGTGAGGATGTGCACAGATTAAGCACCTGTGGTTTGCTGCTGTGGGAGTTTGCTGTGGTTTCAGTAAAGCTCAGGACATACCAGGCTGGAGGCTTGTTCTCTCTCCAGCTTCCACAGAGGATGCCGATGGCAGGGCTGGTGGGGGAATCGCAGGCAGTGTCCCCAGAGGCTTCAGTCCCCCAGGGTCACTCAGCCACCCAGCTGTGTCTGACTGCCCAGGCCAGGGTGGGGCTGTGGCCAGGTGGCATCCTAATCCTTGTTGTAGCCTGGTGCCCGGCCAGCTGTGACACGGGCCCCTCCCTGCACAGCCCTGGGGCACCCTAAGCTCCTTAGCAGCCTCAGGGCAAAGGCCATCCTCCTCCTGCAGCGGGAGTAGGGGTGGGCGGTGGGGACTGGGAGACAGCCCCGGGGAGGGAAGTGGCCACTCAGGCCTACAGGGTCCCCTTTTCTGCCCAGTGCGGCCGGATTGGATTGAATGGTTGACCCCTAGGGTGAGGCACCTCCTTTATCAGGAGGCTGGCACGCAGGAGGCATTCACGCAGTGGTAAGAATGCTGCAGTGATGGCGGGTGCCATTAAGTGAGCGCCGACTGCCTGCCACGTGCCAAGTCATGCCCAGCCAGTGTCATTCCCTGATCTCTTCCCAGCCCAAGGAGGCTGGGTCTGTGACCCCCTTTTGTAGACGGCCCCAGGCTGAGCGAGCTGGACGTGGGGGAACGGGATTCAGGCCCAGGCAGCTGGGAGTGCACCCCATGCCTGCCTCCAGGTTGACCTGCTGCTGTGGGTCTCCCCTCTGGTCTCCCTGGTGGGGTGCCCTCCTCCCTCTGCCTGGCATCCCCCATTAGCACTGGAATCTGCTTTCTCCTCTTTTGTTTTGTTTTGTTGTTACAGAAGGCAGGAGAGAATTTTAGCTCAGCCTCCTGGGAGAGATGTTTCCATTTGAACAACTCCCCTGAAGTGGGGCCTGGATGGATAGCAGGCCAGGGTGTGTGTGTGCATGCGCGCGCGCGTGCGTGTGTGTGCGCGTTTGTGTGTGGGTGCGGGTGTGTGTGTGCGTGTGCGCGCATGTGCGTGTGTATGCGCGCATGTGCCTGTGTGTGTCCCTGCGTGTTTGTGTGTGTGTGTGTATGCGTGTGTGCACACATGTGCCTGTGTGCGTGCATGTACCTGTGTGTGCGTGCGTGTGTCCATGCGTGTTTGTGTGTGTGCGTGAGTGTGCATGTGTTGCACGTGTGTATGTGTGTTTGTGTGCGCACGTGTGTGCATGTGTCCGTGCATGTGCGTGAGTGTGCATGTGTGTATATGCATGTGTGCGTGTGTTTGTGTGTGCGTGTGTGTGCATGTGCACGTGTGTGTGCATGTGTTTGTGCGCAGGCAGCTCAGGGCCCAGCCTTGGAGGGTGACCAACCCCTGAGTGGGCAGTTGTCCCCCAGGTGCGCGTTTTGTCTCTGCGCAGAGAGCAGGCCCGAGGGGTGAGTTGCTGCCTGCCCGCCTCTCCAGCACGTCCGTGCGCTCTGGCCTGTGGGTTCTGGAGGGTCTCCATCCCTTACCGTTGCTCTGTGGGTTCTAGAGGGTCTCCGTCCCTTACCGTTGCTCTGTGGTTCTTTCTGCCTGCCTGGCTTTCCCTCTTCTTGTCAGGAATGCCTCTGCCTGTGGTGCGCCCTCTGGGATCTCTCTTAGTCTCTGTGTCTGTCTCTGTCTGTGTCTCTGCCTCTCCATCTCTTTCTCTTTGTGTCCCTCTATCTCTATCTCTTTCTGTTTGTGTGTGTCTGTCACCACGTCTCTGTCTTTCTGTCTCTGTTTCTGTCTTCATCTATGTCCATTTCTGTTTCTCGATCTGTCTGTCTGTCTTCGTCTCTGTGTCTGTCTCTCTCTCCTCTCTGCTTGGACCACAAGGTGGAGGTGTGATGAGCTTGGTGCTGGGGCCTGACCAGCCTGGCCGCAGTAATTGCTCCAGGCCGTGAAGAGATTTGGAAAGTCTGAGCAAGGGAAGATGCCTGGGAGAGCGAGTTGAGAGGTTTTCTGCATCTGCTGTGTGGAATTCAGCTGGGCGCCTGAGGCAGGAATTTGATGGGATTTTTCTGTGTGTGCCCCCTCTGCCCCACCGTGTTCCTGTTTTCTGATGCTTCTCTGCTCTTCAGCCTCCGGAGTTTTGTGGCATCAGAGACTTCCTTGGGAATTCACCGAACTTTGTTTTGGGGACTTTAGAATTGTCACAAATAGCACTATCTCTGAAAATCCCTAAGGGGGACAGACAGCCCCTATCAAATATAAACATGAATTCTGGCTCACATAACTGAAGTCCAGCATTGGTTAGCTTCAGGTAACAGCTTGATCTAGGTGACACGATGTCCTCAGGACCCTGTCCCTTTTCATCCCTTGGCTCTGCCATCTTTCACAGGGTCTTGGTGTGTTAGCAGGAAGGAAGCCGGTGACTCCAGGCCTTCCTCCAGGTTCAAGGCCAGCAAAAAGAGAGAACTCTTCCTCCTCCTCTCCGCATTTCTAGCCCCAAACTGCTTTTCCTCCTCACCATGAGTGGGCCCATGCCTGTCCTAGAACCTGTCATTGTGGCCGGAGTAGGGGGTGTATTGGGAGTGCGTGAAGCTGGGCCCTGCTTTTTCCTGGAGCTGGCACAGGGGAGCCCAGGGGCTTTTCTGCCTCTCTGTCTTCAGTTTTGCATAATAAACTTTTCTCTTTCACGCTAGCTTGAAGTTTTACACCAGGGGCATCTGATGAGTAAGAGGTACCCACTGCCCCCTGGCAACTTGTGCGGGGTGTATTAGTTTGTTGTTTTGTTCCCTGCAGCTTTGGGTGAGTGGGAAGGTGGACAGTCATCAGGAGTGCACCTGCAGGCCTGACCGCCAGGCTCCCTCAGCCCCCGTCCTGGGAAACCCAGCACCAGGGGAAGCGCTCTTGGCAATCCGGGTTTGCCTCTTCTTTTTCAGTTGAGGGTCGGTTCACAAAAAAGTAACCACATTAAAGTGAAGAGCTCGTTGGCTTGTAGGACATTTACAATGTTGTGCAGCTGTCACCTGTCTAGTTCTAGATCATTCTCATCACCCCAAAAGGAGACCCCCATACTCATTAATCAGTCACTCCCTGTGTTAGTCTGTTCTTACACCGCTAATAAAGACATACCCGAGACAGGGTAATTTATAATAGAAAAAGGTTTAGTTGACTCACAGTTCTGCATGGCTGGAGAGGCCTCAGGAAACTCACAGTCGTGGTGGAAGGGGAAGCAAACACGTCCTTCTTCACATGGCAGCAGCAAGAAGTGCTGAGCAAAAGTGGGGAAAGCCCCTTATAAACCATCAGATCTCATGAGAACTCACTCACCATCATGAGAACAGGACGGGGGAAACCGCCACCATGATTCAATGACCTCCACTTGGCCCCTCCCATGACATGTGGGAATTATGGGAACTACAATTCAAGATGAGATTTGGGTGGGGACACGGCCAAACCATGTCACCCCCCACTTCCCCCTCCTCCTTTTTCCTGGCAACCACGAATCACTGTCCATCTCTCTGGATTTGCCTATTCTGGACATTTCTTGTAAGTGGAATTGTACACTCTGCAGCCTTTTATGTCTGTCCACTTCCACTCAGCATCATATTCTCGGGGTTCATCCACAGTGTAGCCTGGGTCAGTGCTTCATTCCTTTTTTTTTTTTTTTTTTAATAAAGATGGGGTCTTGCTATGTTGCCCAGGCGGTCTTGAACTCCTGGGCTCAAGCAATCCTCCTGCCTCGGCCTCCATGTCCAGCCCTTCACATTGCTTGTATGGATATGCCATGTTTTATTTATCTGTTCATCAGGTGATGGACTTACTTGTGCAATTTTGCTGCGAATAAAAGCTAAACCCGAACTTAAAGAAGAACCCATTAAAGACAACGGCTTTTATCCATGGAGAGTTTAAAGGAAGTAAGTTTTCAGCAACTTTTCCAAGTGTTGCTAGTGGTTGCCAGCCGCTGCTTTTACTCCTGGTGCTGCCTGTTAGCCCTGGGGATGGAAATCTTCTTTTTGTTAATGTTGCTTTGGAGAATTATTCCCAGGTTGGACGAGCAGTTTGCTCTCAGAGTTTTAGGGTGGCCTGGCCCCCATAGCCCTTCCTTCCACATCCTTGTCCTTGCTCTGTTATCTCTCTTCTTGGTCCAGGTGGAAGAGCAGAGATAGGATAGCGGAGATGTTTCTTGCCACCAGTAGTGCGACCGGGCTCTGGGTGCCATGTTTGCTGCCACCTTTTGTCTTAAGAACCTCAAGAAATGACATGGGCTGTAGGGAGAGACCAGCCAAGCACCCAAGGTGGACCGCAGTGAGGGCCTGGGCGGTGGCGTGGGGATGTCTCACGTCAGTTGGCACAGAAGGGGTGTTGGGCACTCTGGGTAGCGGAGCCAGCCTGTGCAAAGGCCCGGGGGTGCCAGACGCATGAGCTGTCCATGGTTTGCTGTGGGTGGGGTCAGATGCCCATGGCCCCCTGCCTGCCTTCCTGTTGGGGAGCAGTGAGGGCCCCACACCCACTGGTACGTGCATACACACTCCTGAGGCTTTTTCTAGGGAGTTTTTCTTCCACACACACTTTTGCCTTGAGTTTCTGGAGGTCCTGCACTCTGGGTCCCTGGAAGGGGTGCTGCTTTGGCGCTTATGCTCAGCCCTATGGTTCTGTGGGGTGAACGGATGTGTGGCTGGGACCCCACGTGGAGTCCCCACATGGCTCAGCCCCACGGTTCTGTGGGGTGAACAGATGTGTGGCCATTTCTGACGTGGGAGCCCCTGCAGCCTCCCCCTTCAAGCACCTTCCAAGGTAGGATGCTGAGTGGCCTTGGGCATGTCGTCAAACAGAAATCCCACTTCCCACGGTGGTTATGACGGTTACGTGGATTAAGATTTGTGAATTGCTTAGAGCAGGAGGCCAGCAAACTCCAGCAAGCTCCAAATCTGGCCCTCAGTGTGTTTTTGTAAATAAAGTTTTATTGGCACACAGCCATGCCCATTTGTTCCCCGTTGCCTGTGGCTGCTTTTGCAATACAATGGCAGGGGTGAGTAGATGAGACAGAGACCTTGTGGCCCTCAAAGCTTGAGCTATTTTTACCATCTGGCCCTTTATAGGAAAGTGCCGGCCTCTGGCATCCAGCCCCAGTGGCCTCCAGGCTCTGTTTCTGCCTCTGCGTAATGGAGATGGAGCAGCAGTCCCCTCGGAGGGCTGTTGTGGGATCCACTTCATGGGGTGTGCAGAGGACTTCATGGGGTGTGCAGAGGACTGGGATAGGCTGAGCTGTGAGCGGCCCCAGGTGTGATTTCTAGGTGTCCCTGGGGGAGGTGGCCTGAGGAGCATGGAGGACTGCATTGGGGCGATTGAGGGATATGAGCCCTTTTCTCTGTTTCCCTCGAGGAGTCCGTGTGTGTGGAGGGAGCACCGGGTTGTCCAGGCCCCTGCTGTCCTTGCCCCCACATCTCACATGGTAACAGAGGCCAGAGGCAAACCTAATGTGACTCCAAGACTCTTGGCCCCTGTGGGTCTTGCTGGGGCTCTGTGGGGTGAGGGGAGGACAGAGGCCCTGAGGATGGCAGGAGTGGACAGAAGATGATGCAGCCTCTGTGAATCCTGAGGTTGGTGGGGCACTCGGTGGCCCCCGGGCTGCAGTTGTCCGGAGAATAATGCACCCTGTGTCCTCTGGGTGCAGCTGCTGCGGGGGCGGGGAGGTGGTGGCCTGGCGCTGCTCTGGGCCTTGTCTGCCAGCAGCTGCCGGCTTGGCCCCAAGGATGGCACAGGGCGGGGGCTGGGTTCTGGAGCCCAGCTAGGGGAGGACCATCCCAGCCAACATTTATTGAGGCTTACGGTATGCCAGGCTCAGAGCCATTAACTCATTCAAGACTCACAAGGACCGGGGAGGTGCCAGCTGTTCTCCCCATTGGGCAGATGAGGAACTGAGGCAGGAAGCAGTTGAATGACCTGCTGGAGGTCACGGAACTGGAGAGTGGCAGAGGGGGCTGGGATTTGAACCCAGGGCTGCACAGGTGAGGCCTGGGTTGTTTTTTCTAACCTCCTTATCCTGAGAGTGTTTCCAGCACAGCCTGGGTGCACCAGACTTTAGCTGGTGGGATGAAGGCGTCCATGGATAACTGAATGCAGGCTTCCTTTGTTGTTAAGCACATTTTCAAAACAGCTGTATTACACAAAGAGTGACTCTCAGTGAAAGAAGATCAGAAAAAATAACGGGCAAATAAAAAGAAGAAAGTAAAAATACCCTCTTCTGCCCTGCTGCCGAGATAACTCCTTTTAGCTTAACTGTAGCCCGTTCTGATGGCTTTTCCGTGTGTTTGGGAACATATGTTTTCTGCAAAGCCACGTGTGTGTTGGCTGCATGGTTCTGGAACTTGCGTGTTTGGACTGAGCTTCATGGATGAATGTTTACAGAGGGTATGCAGAGGCCAGGCCTTGGGAGAATGGAGGCTGTGGGTCTTCGTTCCTTGGGCTGGTGGGGAACACACAGATGGGGTAAGTGGAAGAAGAGAGGTGTGTTACGCGAACAGGGAGTTGGAAGACTTCACAACTTGAGGAGAGGCTGGGAAACCATTCATGTAGCAAGAGCATTTGAACCGCATCTTGAAGGCTGTAAGGGACTCTGAATTTTGGAGAATGGGTGATGGCTGGGATGGGAATGGGATCCTTGAACAGGTGAGGACTGTCCTGACAGATGTCCAGGACTCTGGGCCTGGAGTCAGGGATGGAAACCCGGGGTGTATTGGGGAGGGGGTGTGTATTAGTCCGTTTTCATGCTGCTGATAAAGACATACCCAAGACTGGTCAATTTAAAAAAGAAAGAGGTTTAATTGTACTCACAGTTCCATGTGGCTGTGGAGGGCTCACAATCATGGCGGAGGGCAAAGAGGAGCAAGTCACATCTTACATGGATGGCAGCAGGCAAAAAGTTGGCAACTACATTAGTCAGGGTTCTCTAGAGGGACAGAACTAATAGAAAAAATATATATATATATTACATAAAGGGGAGTTTATTAAGGAGTATTAACTCACACGATCACAAGGTCCCACAACAGGCCATCTGCAGGCTGAGAAGCAAGGAAGCCAGTCTGAGTCCCAAAGCTTGAAGAACTTGGAGTGTGATGTTCGAGGGCAGGAAGCATCCAGCACGGGAGAAAGATGTAGGCTGGGAGGCTAGGCCAGTCTCGCCTTTGCACATTTTTCTGTCTGCTTTATATTCGCTGGCAGCTGATTAGATGGTGCCTACACAGATTAAGGGTGGGTCTGCCTTCTCCAGCCCACTGACTCAAATGTTAATCTCCTTTGGCAACACCCTCACAGACATACCGAGGATCAATACTTTGCCTCCTTCAATCCAATCAGGTTGACAGTATTAACCATCACAGGGTTGTACAGACTGGGGGGTGTCCCCTGTGCTGACCCCATGCCCGTTTTTTTTCTGCCACAGGACCGTAGCCTGACGGGCAAGCTGGAACCGGTGTCTCCCCCCAGCCCCCCGCACACTGACCCTGAGCTGGAGCTGGTGCCGCCACGGCTGTCCAAGGAGGAGCTGATCCAGAACATGGACCGCGTGGACCGAGAGATCACCATGGTAGAGCAGCAGATCTCTAAGCTGAAGAAGAAGCAGGTGTGAATGGGCAGGGGGAGGGGGAGTGTTTGTTCTGAGTCTCCATTCTAGCAGCAGTGACAGCGGTGTCACAGACATGTGCCAAGCCCTTCCCAAGTTCCTGGGTGCTCACTGGTTTTTATGCCCTTTACGTTTATTGGACAGGAGCACATCCACAGAACTTTCTGCCATGATGGAAACACTGTGTATCTGCAGGATAGCCATGTTCCACTGTTGAGCATTTGAAATGTGCCTACTGCGACTGAGGAACTGATTTTTAATTTTTATTTAATATACGTATTAAATGTGCCTTTGAATAGCCACACAGGCTGCCGCATTAGACAGCACAAGAATGGAGGGTGAAAGTTCAGGATTTCTAGCCAGTCTGTCCAGGTTCAGATCCTGTTTCTTCCAGTACCAGGCAACGTGGGGTGGGCAGTCCCTTCTCTGTGCTTCACTTTCCTTATCTGTAATGTGGGGAAACAGCCCCTGGCTCTGGAATCTGAATGGACTGGCCTCCTAACTGCTCTTTACTAGCTGTGTGGCCCTGGAACCTTCATCTCTTGGAGCCTTGGTTTCCTTGCCTGTAAAATGGACAACTTGTAGAGGAGGGAGCAAGATCCCGAGATTAAAAATAAATCCTCATTGTCACTGTTGAAACCACACAAAGACAAGCGGAGAAAAAGCTGATATAAATATTTATAACATTCATTTTATAACTTTGTTTTAAATATGAGTTAATATACAATTCTTTGATAATCTGCCTTTTCCCAGCTCTTCATGGTTTGCTCCCTGGTATCATTCAGGTCTCTGCTCAGATGTCCCTGACACCAAGAGGCCACTGTCAGCCTTGTACAGGAACACACACCCCCAACCCTCCTCTATCCCGGGTTCAGCCAATCCAGCCAATTCTAGCTGCTGCTGGTTTTTGTAAATAAAGTTTTATTGGCACAGCCACGACCACTTGTTTGTGTATCTGTATACACATGTGTGTTTATATGACTGCTTTTCTGCCACAGTGGCAGAGTTAAGTCATCACAACAGAGACCTGTGTGGCCTGCAAAGTCAAAAATATTTGCTGTTTAGGCCTTTAAAGAAAAGCTTTGGGCTGGGCATGGTGGCTGATGCCTGTAATCCCAGCACTTTGGGAGGCTGAGGCTGGAGGATCACTTGAGCCCGGGAGTTTGAGACCAGCGTGGGCAACATAGCGAGACCCTGTCTCTACAAATAATTTAAAACATTAGCCAGGTGTGGAGGCACATGCCTGTGGTCACAGCTACTCAGGAGGCTGAGGCAGGAGTGCCTGAGCCCAGGAGGTTTAGGCTGCATGAGCCATGATTGCCACTGCACTCTTGCCTGGGCAACAGAGTGAGACTCTATCTCAACAAAAAGAAATTTTGCTGATCACTGATCTGTCTCATCACCCTGCTGGTGACATCATTATTTGAATTAATATAGACCCAGCTTTGTTATACAGTGGTCCTCTCCTTGTCTCCCTGTTAACTGCTGTGTTCTGAGCAGCATGGGGTACATAGTAGGTGCTCATTAAAAATGGTTGATTGAGTCATTGTGACACTGTCTGGGCCCCAGGGAGCGTCTAGACTAATGGGAGAAACAGGCTCATATCTAGTGCCCTCCAGACAAGGAAGTAGGGGCTCCAAGGAGGATCAAGGGCTCATTTTAGCCACTGTAGGCAGGTGGGTGAAGGCTGGTGAGAGTAGGCTTCCAGGAAGAGGTGCCCTGGTAGCTGGGTTTTGAAGGACGCTCCAGGGGGAGAGCATTGATTTCAAGTGTCCATCGTGGCTGTCACGTGGTTGGGGGAACCAGGATTTGAGGATAGTCCAGCAGTGAGACCCGGTCCTGGAGACTCTGCCAACTGTCCTAGGCTTCAGTGGGCAGTGGGTAGGTCTCATGTTGGTGGCACAGGCATCCCGAGAGGGGCCGGGCCCCAGCGGCGTGGGCAGGCATTGCCAGGGCCAGCCTGGTACCGCACCGTTAGGCTTCCAGGCCTGGCCTTGGGGTGGGGCTGAAGCTGCGGGTCACTGGCACACATTGGTGACTGCAGCTGGAAGCCAGGTGGCTCAAGGCAGCCCTCAATGGTTAGGTTTTTGTTTGTTTGTTTTTTCCCCTCTAAATTCCACTTTGGCATTTTTTAAAAGTGAAATTCTCAAGCATAATTATTTTAAAGTGCACAATTCAGTGGCATTTCGTACATTTGCAGTGTTGTGCAGCTGTCACCTCTCTCTGGTTCCCAGCCATTTCAACAACCCACAGGGAAGCCTCATAGGAGCTAAAGCAGCCACTCCCCGTTCCCCTACTCTCTGTCTCTATGGACTGACCTGTTCTAGACATTTCCTATATAGGGCATCACACAGTATGCGTCCTTTCTGGCTTCTTCCACATAGTGTCATGGTTTTGGAGTTTATCATGTTGTCTCTTGTCTCCATCCTTCATTCCTTTTTATGGCTGAAACATATTCCGTTGTATGGAGATGCCTCCTTTTGTTTATTTCATCATCTGTGGCCATTTGGGCTGTGGCTGTTGTGAATAGTGCTGCTGTTGAACATTTGTGTTGAAGTTTTTGTTGGGACACCTGTTTTCAGTTCTCATGGGTGTATACCTAGGAGCAGAATTGCTGGGTCGTGTCGTACAGTAACTCTAGGTTTAATTTGCTGATGACTTTCCAGGCTGTTTTCCACATCAGCTGCCCCATTTTACATTCTTACCAGCAATGCATGAAGATTCCTGGTTTCCTGGTTTTCCACATCCTCACCGACCGCCCCCCAGCTTTTTTTTTTTTTTTTTCTGAGATGGATTCTCACTCTGTTGCCCAGGCTGGAGTGCAGTGGTGCCATCTTGGCTCACTGGAGCCTCTACCTCCTGGGCTCAAGCGATCCTTCTACCTCAGCCTTCTGAGTAGCTGGGAGTACAGGTGTGCATCACCACACCGAGCTAATTTTTGTGTTTTTTGTAGAGATGGGGTTTCACCATGTTGCCCAAGCTGGTCTCAAACTGCTGGTCTTGAGTGATCTGCCCACCTTGGCCTCTCAAAGTGCTGGGATTTCAGGTGTGAGCCACTGTCCCTAGCCACACCAACCCTTTTTTATCTTCCTTTAAAAAATGTTTTTGATTCCAGCCATCCTAGTGGTTGTACAGCGGTATCTCATTGTGGTTTTGATTTGCATTAGAGAGCCCTTTATAGCGTGTCACTGCTGTGCAGCAGTTTTTTCAGCATTATCTCCTTGATCTTCCAAACAACCTTATGAGGTAGGCATATACCCACAGGTTCTGCTGAAGTAGACACTGAGGTCAGGGAGGTGAAGGGCCCTGGCTGAGGCTGCAGAGCTGGTGAGCGGGGGGCTCAGGCTTGAATCCAGGCCCAGCAGAGCTAGTCACCCTCTTAGCTGGGTCTCTGTAGGTGTCCCAGGTAGTATTTTCTCTAGTACCTGAGGAAGGGCCACCTTCCCTGGCTGGAGGGAGCCTCCCTCCTGCCCACCCTTTCGGGGCTGTGGGCTTCTTCCCCTTCTTGGCTTTGTTTGTTCCGTGCTTTGGGGGAGCATTTTGATGCCCTTCTTGAAGCGACCACCAGGGGTCGCTGTGGGACTGAGGCAGTTCTGCTCAAACCGCCAGCGATGGAGTCTGTAAAAGCCAGCATCCTGGATTTTCTGGCTTTTCCTGTGTTCACTTCTTCTTGGGCACCTTTCTGGGTTCATACTGATCTGCTCTGTGGTAATGTGCAGGCTGTGCGAGCGTCATAAGTGGAGCAGAACCATGTTCTGATCTCACTTGTGATGCCCTGTCACATTGCAGAATGGGGCATTGGCCTTCCATCTGACCTTGGGCCAGTGCCCTAAACCCTCTGGTCTTCAGCCTCCCTCTTGCTATGAAGCAGACGGCAGCATGATGGGATGCTCTTTCCAACTGTGTTAGGAGGAGGGGGTTCATACATGGACAGATGAGGATGAGGATGATGGGGGTGATGAGGATGAGGGTGATGGGGGTGATGAGGATGAGGGTGATGGGGGTGATGAGGATGATGGGGGTGATGAGGATGAGGATGATGGGGTGATGAGGATGAGGATGATGGGGGTGATGAGTATGAGGATGATGGGGTGATGAGGATGAGGATGATGGGGTGATGAGGATGAGGATGATGGGGGTGATGAGGATGAGGATGATGAGGGTGATGAGGATGATGAGGGTGATGGGCGTGATGAGGATGAGGGTGATGAGGATGATGGGGGTGATGAGGATGAGGATGAGGGGGTGATGAGGATGAGGGGGGTGATGAGGATGAGGGGGGTGATAAGGATGAGGGTGATGAGGATGAGGGTGAAGAGGGTGATGAGGATGAGGGTGAAGAGGGTGATGAGGATGAGGGTGATGGGGGTGATGAGGATGAGGATGATGGGGGTGATGAGGATGAGGGTGATGGGGTGATGAGGATGAGGATGATGGGGGTGATGAGGATGAGGGTGATGGGGTGATGAGGATGAGGATGATGGGGGTGATGAGGATGAGGATGATGGGGGTGATGAGGATGAGGATGATGGGGTGATGAGGATGAGGATGATGAGGGTGATGAGGATGAGGATGATGGGGGTGATGAGGATGAGGATGATGGGGGTGAGGAGGATGAGGATGATGAGGGTGATGAGGATGATGAGGGTGATGGGCGTGATGAGGATGAGGGTGATGAGGATGATGGGGGTGATGAGGATGAGGATGAGGGGGGTGATGAGGATGAGGGGGGTGATGAGGATGAGGGGGGTGATAAGGATGAGGGTGATGAGGATGAGGGTGAAGAGGGTGATGAGGATGAGGGTGATGGTGATGAGGATGAGGATGAAGGGGTGATGAGGATGAGGGTGATGGGGGTGATAAGGATGAGGATGATGGGGGTGAGGAGGATGAGGATGATGAGGGTGATGAGGATGATGAGGGTGATGGGCGTGATGAGGATGAGGGTGATGAGGATGATGGGGTGATGAGGATGAGGATGAGGGGGTGATGAGGATGAGGGGGGTGATGAGGATGAGGGGGGTGATAAGGATGAGGGTGATGAGGATGAGGGTGAAGAGGGTGATGAGGATGAGGGTGATGGGGGTGATGAGGATGAGGATGAAGGGGTGATGAGGATGAGGGTGATGGGGGTGATAAGGATGAGGATGATGGGGGTGATGAGGATAAGGATGATGAGGGTGATGGGGGTGATGAAGATGAGGGTGATGGGGTGATGAGGATGAGGGTGATGAGGATGATGAGGGTGATAAGGATGATGGAGGTCATGAGGATGATAAGGGTGATGGGGTGATGAAGATAAGGATGATGGGGTGAAGATGATGAAGATGAGGGGGGTAATGAGGATGAAGATGAGGGGAGGGATGAGGATGACAGTGATGAGGATGAGGACGATGGGGGTGATGAGGATGAGGGTGATGGGGGTGATGAGGATGAGGATGATGGGGGTGATGAGGATGAGGGTGATGGGGGTGATGAGGATGAGGATGATGGGGTGATGAGGATGAGGATGATGGGGTGATGAGGATGAGGATGATGGGGGTGATGAGGATGAGGATGATGGGGGTGATGAGGATGAGGGTGATGGGGGTGATGAGAATGAGGATGATGGGGTGATGAGGATGAGGATGATGGGGGTGATGAGGATGAGGGTGATGAGGATGAGGGTGATGGGGTGATGAGGATGAGGATAATGGGGGTGATGGGGATGAAGATGAGGGGGGTGATGAGGATGACAGTGATGAGGATGAGGACGAGCAGGGTGATGAGGATGCAGGTGATGGGGTGATGAGGAAGAGGATGATGGGGGTGATGAGGATGAGGGTGATGGTGGTCATGAGGATGACGAGGATGATGAGGGTGATGAGGATGAAGATGATGGGGGTGATGAGGATGAGGATCATGGGGGTAGTGAGGATGAGGATGATGGGGGTAGTGAGGATGAGGATGATGGGGGTGATGAGGATGAGGATGATGGGGGTGATGAGGATGAGGATGATGGGGTTGATGAGGAGCACCTGTGTGTCAGGTGCTGCGTGCTTTGCACGCATCATGAGCTCATTTCACCTTCACAACGGCTCTCTAGAGTAGTAACTCTTTTATCCCCATTTTCCAGAAGAGGAAGGTAAGGCTTAGAGAGGTCCAGGAGCTTCTCAAGGCTACGCAGTAAGTAGGAGTGGGAGTTGGGCTCCAGTCTCACCAGTGCAGCTGTGGAGTCTGCACAGCCTCTCCTAGCACTGATGCTGCCTGTAGGAACCGTAATGGGTAATAATGCCGGCTCGCAGCAGGCCTGACTGTGCCTGCCTGTGTAACTCATTCAGTTCTCACCACAGTCAGAATGGCGGCACGGCAATCAGCCCCGTTTACTGATGGGGCAACTGAGGGCTAGCAGGGTGAGGCTGCTTGGCTGTGCTTCCCTGGCTGGCAAGTCACGAAGGCAGGATTTGAACCTGGCTTTGGAGCTTGGAGGCTGCAGCTGGCCCTGGAGCTGGGGCCTCTCCCGGGTGCGGAGTCCCTGGGGTGACTCACAGGAAATGTGTAGCAGCCTGACTTCCTGTGCGCGGCCGTGGCCCGGGCTGCAAGGGGGCCTCCCCGCGCCCTGGGGGCTGCAGCCCTCCTTCCGCCCGCTGGGGTGCTCATCCCTCACGTTCTGCCTCTCCCCACAGCAACAGCTGGAGGAGGAGGCTGCCAAGCCGCCCGAGCCTGAGAAGCCCGTGTCACCGCCGCCCATCGAGTCGAAGCACCGCAGCCTGGTGCAGATCATCTACGACGAGAACCGGGTATGTGTCCCCGCCCTGGCCTGCTGCCCCCCGGTGCTGGCCATGAGGCGCTTCACAGGGGGCACCATGAATCAGGCCTCAGTGTTTCCATCTATGTGGGGAGGGGACCTCGCCACCCTCTCCCCCAGAGACGCAGGGTTTATGAGTGGGTGGGGGAAGGTGACCGGTGGAAAGCCATCCTGGTGTGGCCTCTGGGCTGTTCTGCTCAGACACTCAGATGGGTGTGGACTGTGGCTGGTCAGCAGGATGCAACACAAAACAGAGGTTTTGGGCTCCAGGAGAGCACCAGGGTCCAGCTGATGGCCAAGGGTAAGGGGCTGCCACTTTAGGTGCTGGTGCAGAAGAAATCCCTTTAAGGCAAAAGATAATGACATTATGACCGCAGCAGTGAGGTTTCATGGAGCAGCCCCTCCTGTCAGTCCTGGAAGGGCAGGTACAGGTGTCATTTCCATTTTCCTAAGGCCCAGAGAGGTTAAGTGACTTGTCCAGAGTCACACAGCTAGGAAGCATTGGACCTGGATTTGAACCTGTGGGCTGTCAGACCACAGGGCCTGAGTTCTCAGCACTGGCTTCCACTGACACTGGGCCCTGGAAGGGGCCTTTGAGATGATTGAAACACAGAGTCTGGAGCAGGCTGTGGAGGCCCATGGAGATCCCACTGGGGGCAGCTATAGTGGGTCTGGTCTTGCTGGAGGGGCTTGGGATGCTCAGAGCAGTGTCTCCAGGGGCTGGACCCTAAGGGTCTGTGCACCCCCAAGGTGGAACCTTGTGTCTGGTGAGGTGGTAAGCTCCCCATCTTCCCAGTCAAGCCACTACCAGCTGGGCTTTAATGATTTACAGTGTACTTTTTCTAAATGTACTCAGGATCTGTGGATGTTGATCCCCTCCCTTATTTTCTGGATGAGGAAACTGAGGCCCAGAGAGGGACTGGTCCTTGTGAAGCATGACAGATGAGGAACCTCCTCTCCCTGCCTTGGCTTCTCTGGTTCCCCTCCTGCCTGTAGTCCCAGCCACCCTTCCCAGCTGCCTTTTCTGTAATATCTTCCTTGGCCAATCAGTGCTCAGAGTTGAGGTGGGGGTGGGGAGGCCTCGAGTCACGTGGTGGGTGCCTGCAGTGGCAGCCTGAGGCAGGGAACTACTGGATCAACCTGTTTGGCTATGCCTCCACCTCTAGAAACAGCGATGTCATGCAGAATGAGACAAGCCTGTTTGGGGCCTGGGAACTGTGTGCCCGGCTCACTCTCCCACACCCTGACCCCTCACCCCAAGCACCACTAGTAACAGTCATAGGAGAGCCAAGGGGCCACACATCCTTCAGCCAGCCATCCTGGGTTCAAATCCCATTTCTCCCACTTCCTGGCTCTGTGACCCTGGAGCGTTGTACTTAAACCTTCCTGTGCCTCATGCTCCACAGCTTTAAAACAATGACAACGACGGCATCACCTAGTACAGTTGGTGTGGGGACTAAAGGGGTAATTTCCTAGTGCCCTTAGGACAGACAGTGTCTGGCACCAAAGAAGTGCCAGCTGGTGCTATTAATTGTCATTATCATAGCTCTCATTTCTTCTTGTGTTTGTTTACCTTGTGCATTTAATAGAATACTATTTGCATTTAGTAGAACTACTGTTATTCTCTCAATTTTGCTCATCAAGAAACCAAAGCTCAGAGAGGGAAGGAGACCTCCCTGAGATTGCAGAGCAAGTGAGCTTTGAGCCTGGGACTTGGAGCCAAGATTGAGATGGCTCCAGGAGCCCAAAGTGGAGGGGACATGGGCAGGGCTCCTGAGAGTGTCACCTCTACCTGCCCTCTCTGATCCTCGGTGGAGAGCAGACACGGTTCTCTCCAGCAGCTGTGGAGGCCAGGTCAGTGGCCCAGCACATTGCTGCAGTGCCTTGGCCCTCTGCCTGGAGCTCCTCTCCTTGCAAGGCTCATACTGTCACTTCCCTCTTTGCTGAAGTGGCCCCTTCTCAGCAAGACCCGTTTCAACCCTCTACTTAATACTGAAAACCCTTTTTTCAGGAAAAGGAGTTTTCAGGATGACACCCGTTTTCCTCCTTTGTGGCTTCTGATTCTCCTTAGCCCTTGTCCCCATGGGACATGATTTCTGTTTTACTTATTTATTCTGTTTATTATGAATGGAAACTCCGTAAGGGCAGGGATTTTATTCCTGCCCACTTTTATTTCCAGTGGCATCTCCAGCACCTAAAACAGTGCTCACCACACGGCAGATGCACATTAAATAATTATTGTGCAAATATTCAGGCGGCAGGAAGGGAGGGGAGATGGAGGCGGGTGGCCAGCTCTGGCCTGTGGAAGAGGCCTCTGGTTTGGGGGCGTGGGGGCTGGTGGGGATCCTCCGCCCGGGCTGAGTCTCTGAGCCTCCAAAGCCTGCAGCCTAATGTGCGGGAGGCCCCCAGCCGCCTTTGGCAGGAGCAGCCAGGACTTACCGCCCCTTGGGGGATCAGTAGGATTAAATTTTAATCCGCCTTCCTTCCCTGCTGGTTCCTGGAGAGATGGAGGACAAGGGTCTGTTTTTCGAGCCAGCCGGAAAACGCAGCTTCCCTGCCGGGCAGGGCCCGCCTGGCAGTTCTGAGTGCTGGAGTCTGGCTCATTATCCATTCGGAGCACATTGGTGAGGCACCCGCTGAGCGAGGCTTTTCCCGCCTCCCCGCCTCCTGGGAGCTGCCTGCGTGGGTGGGGGCCGGGCAGGTGTGCACAGATGGCAGGGCAGCCATCAGGGTGGCTGCAGCCTGAGAGCAGGAGCAGACGGGGTGGCCTGGGCCCAGGAGGGCAGAAGCGTGACCTGGAAGTGGGTGCTGGGAAAGGCTTCTTGGAGGCAGCGGGTGGGCCGGAAGGAGGGCGTTAGGGTGAGGGGGCATGGCACAGGCCAAGTCCCAGAGAGGGGACTGGCGTCTCCTTTGATCTTCAAAGGTGGTGGGCACGAGGTAGGAGCCTGTTGGTTCCGGGACAAGGCACGCACTTGGAATCTGGATAAAACATACACAGAGGCAGCGCTAGCGATGTGTGGATACATAAGGGGCATTTGTGCAGCACAGGTTGCTGGTACCGTAGGAATTCAGGACACTGGGGAACAGTCAGGATGGGCTTCATAGAGGAGACGGGCCTTGAGCTAGGTCGACTGGGGAAAGGTAGAAGGCTGCTTCCAATAGAGATGTAGATGGCTCATTCACAAGGTGGAGAGGAGGCAGGATTGATGGAAGCGGCAACCCCAGTTGCTGAGTAATGCGGAAATCAGCAGAAGACTCAGGTCCTTGTCTTCCAGTTTAAGCGTCTTAAAAGGAAAGTGTTTATATGATGTGATTAGGACTCAGTGTGTGCACAGTGTGATCGGGACTGAGCAGGGCAAAGAAGAATAATACCATTAACAGTCACCGTGAACGTGAAGCATTCAGTAGAGCCTTTTGGGGGTTTTGGCACTCCTCATGCTTGTTTGTAGGGCCCAGCATCAGATCCCCTGATTGAAGATTTTCAGAGCAGTGCTTCAGACCCCGTCCTGTGGCCTCAGCATCCTGGGCCAGGCCCCCACCTCTGGCCTCCATGCCCGGCCACCTGGTCATCAAAACTGCCCCCAGGGTCCAGGGGTTCTTTCAGATTGTCCGTTTCAGCCCCGCGAGGCTGCTGCACGCGTCCTCTGACCTGCCGCTTTTCCTGCTCGTCACCCACCCTGGGAGAGCTCTGCACGGGGCTCATGGGCATGGGGCTCTGTTTGCAGATGAGGAAGCTGAAGCTCCGGGTAGGCCGTTGCCCTGAGGCACTGCTGCAGCCAGCGGAGGGGCTTGGGTGCAGGACTGGGGGCTTGGGGCTTCTTGGGTGAGTAGGTGCTGCCCCCAATCTGCAGATGAGGAAGCCAGTGTGGCAGAGAAGGGGCTAGGATGGGGCTTCCAGGCAGGGGAGAGGCTAGGGAGTGATGAGTGTCAGGTCTGTTTCTGTGCTCTAGAGGAGAGCCGCATGTGGATGTATGTGTGGTTTGTGTGCCTGTGGGTACACGTGTGTATACGGGTGGATGTATGTGTGGTATGTGTGTTAGATACACGTGTGCCTTTGGATGGCTGTGCATACTTGTATGTGAATACTTAGAGTAAGAGTCAGCTTGTGTGGGACGAGCATGTGGTGATTCGTGCATTGATACAGCACACTTGGGTGTGTGTATGCGGGCATGTGTGTATGTGTGGACCTCTGGATGGCTGTGTGCACATGTGTATAAGCGTATATGAGTCAGCATGTGGGGCCTGTGGTTATCTGTGCACTTACACATCCATGCATACACACGTGGGTGCGTGTATGTGTGCAGGTATACCTGTGGGTGCTGTGTGCACATGCGTGAACATTCATCCACGAATTGGCACATGTGAGGCATGTATATAGGTATTCGTGCATCTGTGCACCTGTGTGCATACGCATGTGTTCACATGGGTACACGTTAGGCTGTGTGCATGTGTGTACAGGTGGATGTGCGTGAGATGGCGGGTGTGGGGCGGGTGTGGTTACATCATGTGTTCACTTGGGTGCACATGTGTATGTGCGTGCGCCTTGATGTGTGTGGACATGTGTGTATGTCTTTGCGTGTTCCTAGATCTTGGCATGTGCACTTGGTAACGTGGGTCTGGTGCTCCCGTGGACCCGTCTGCATAGGTGACTAAGGACTTGTGTGCCCCAGCACAGCTCCTAGGCTTTTTGGGCATGGGAGGCCTGGCCACGCAGACCCAGAGTCTCTGCAGGGGTGCCACTGCTCGAATGAGAACGTGCCCGGATCTCAGTTGGCTGGCGAGAGCCCCTACAGGGGGTGGACGCCACGGTGAGCGGGGCCGCTCATTGGCTTGAGTCCCTAGGTTTTCCTTTCCTCTCAGAGCCAGGTGAGCTTGGGCAGTGGCTTCTCTCAGGCTTGGCCACCTCCCCTGCGGCGTCAGCCCCACCCACCACGATCAGAGCAGAGACCTCGGCCCCCAAAGGCCAGGAACGTGGGAGGACGTGCGTGGGGGCAGTCGGGTTTCAGCGGGATTGAGAAAGGCCTGTTTCCCTTCTCCCCCAGGTTGGGGCTGAGTCCCCTGAATTCCAGCCTCCCAGCCGGAAGGTGGCAGCCCAGCCTGAAGCCCTCCTTTGGGCCGGAGCAGTCCCTGAGTTTTGCCACCCTTGGGTGGAGTTAGTTCAGCTCTAACAAGTGTGTCCTGGCGTCCCCTGCAAGCTGGGCCTTGGGCCCGCATGGGGAAGATGCAGACAGGAGCTCCTGTTGGAGCACTTGCTGTTTGCCAGGACCAGGGGCAGCCAGGGAGACAGTGTCGGGAGGTGGCCCCCAAAGGGGCCGAGGAGATGTGGAGATATCAGCCACGGGAATATTGGGGTTGGGGAATGTTCTAGATGGGAGAGGTTCAGGTGGGAAGGGTTTGGGATTTTGCCTAGAACTGTGTGGATTGGTGACCTCCTATCCAAGTGTCCTCTCCGAGCCTCAGTTTCCCCATCTGTAAAATGGGGCAGCCCCTGCACCCCAGAAACAGGTTACTGGGAGGCTTGGCAATCCTGATTGTGGCTTGGAGAGCAGGGAGACAGGGCCTGCCCTCTCATCCACCTCTATGGAGGGGGCAGAGAGGACTCCGTGTCCTTGGAAAGGCCAGGCACATCCGGGATGTGGACTGCTTCCCCCATGGCCCTGGAGAAAGTGCCCACTGCCCTCAACCCTGTGCTGGGCCCTGCTGGACGATAGCAGCTTGGTGGCCAGCGCTGGCCTCTTCTGGTCCTGGTGGAGAGGCAGGGAGGCCCTGGGCCAGCTGCAGCGACGTGGAGAGAGGACAGGGTTCTGGGCTGGGACCGGACAGCCTGCAGGTACAAGAATGCTTTGCCCCAGAGACCGCCTGAGCGAGGGAGCCAGCCGCACTCCATTTCCAGGTATTTAGACCATTCCTGAGCATCCACTGTGAGCCAGACACTGTCCAGGCACTGTGGGTGCAGCAGAGAACAGAGCAGGCACCTTGCTCCTCATGGAGTCCTCATCAGGGGAGGTGGCCAGTAAGATAAACAGTGGGACGCAGACCCTTATCCCTGACCGCATGTGCTGTGAAGACAGCCAGGTGGGAAAACGAGTGGTCGAGGGAGGTGGACCGCCCTGCTGCGGGGGGTCAGGGAAGGCCTCTGTGGGGAGGGGAGGCTGAGTCAAGACATGAGCAAGAGGCAGGCGAGAGCATGTGAAGATGTGGGGAACAGCATTCCAGGCAGGGAACGGTAGGTGCAAAGGCTCAGAGGCAGTAGTGGCTTTCAGTGTGCAGGGGACAGTGAGGGGCCAGCAGAGGTCAAGGTCCTGTGAGGGCTGGGACCCTGTTGACCCTGGCGAGGAGTTTGGATTTGGTGCTCAGGGTGGCAGGAAGACAGCAGCCGAGGAGGTGAGGGGGAATTTTTGGCATGAGGCTGAATCTGTGGCCTGCGTCCACGTTCCCCAGCCATGCCACGTTCTAGAGGGTATCTCCTCTGCATTCAAAGAGGGAAGGGATGACATGCACTTCACTTTGCTCCCTGCAGAACGTCCTTGCAGAGGTCATGGGAGTTTGGTACCCTGGGTGAGTGTGGCCGTTTCGTGAATGGGGAGACTGAGGCCAGACTCAGTCAGGAGACTCAGATTGCTGAGGGTTAGAGCACAGCCGACTCCCAGATGTTGGGCAGGTGTGTTGAGAAAGGCCAGCCCATCTTGGGACAGGGCTCCACAGGCCCACCTCCCCAGGAGGCTGACAAGCAGGACCAGAGAAGACCGTGGAGCAGGAACAAACCCAACACTGGGAGCAGGGGATGTGGGGGCAGGAGGTGAAGGAAACACCCCAGAGAGACAGGAGGAGGTGGGGCTCCCTGTGGCTTTGGCAGGTGAAGAAGGGGTCTTCCTTGCTCTCTAGGTGCTAGCTGTGTGGCCGTGTAGTTTCTAGTGGCTTGGCCCTTTCCGTTGGTATCACTCTTTTATCTAGATGGACAGTTGCTGCTGATCCCCACAGATCATACACAAACTCCTATTCATCCCTCAAAACCCAGCCTATATAGCCCTCCTGTTACCTTTTTGGGAGAGTGACTTGTGCCCCACTTTCACACATACCTTTATCTGCCTGAGCATACTAATCTGCTGTTACTGCTCTTAACCAACAGCCATTGTTTGGGTTTATTCCAGGCAGGGGCCAGGTCTCATTCATTCCATGTCTCTCCCCAGGTCCCAGTGTTTGGGAGCTGCCCTGCCCCCATGCTACCCCATACCCAGTCCTTCACTGGGCCTGGCTTAGGGGTTCTCCCATCTTCAGTACCCCAGGGCAGACTCTTTCCTGCTTCGAGGGTGTGGCTGGGACATTGACTCTCCGGGTGATGTCTGCCCCCATCCACCGGAAATACTAGTCCCAAGCCTAGGGGTGGTCCTGCATGGGACCTGGCCCTTGGCTTCCTCTGTCCGTGGATCCTGGAGGTCATAAGAAGGGCTTCTTCCCTGTGTTTTGTTTCTGTGCCTCAGTTTCACCATCTGTGAGATGGGGCTACTCCTGCCTGTACCTCCCATGGCGCTTATGCGCAATTGACATGTTAAGAACACACCGTATGCCCGACGCTTGGCTCATGGCAGGTGCTTGGAGAAGTGACCATCGCTGTAATAGTTCTCCCCTGCTCTTCTGGCCCCCAGCCGCACCTTGAGGCTGCAGGTCTCGGGGTTTTGGCTCAGCCTGAAGGTGGCCAAGAGCATGGCTCTGCTCTTGGTGGGCCGGGCTCTGGGCTGTAGGCGGAGGCAGCTCTAGGTTCCAGCTTGAGCCCACCTACATACCTGCTGTCTTTCTCCGGGGGCTGGGGAGGGGGAGTGATGCTGGCCTGCCACGCCCTCCTCTCTCTGCTGCAGCCCGGGAGCCTGGGCACCTCCGCCCTGCGAGGAGATCTTGGCAAAGGCTGCGTCAAATTTTTGTTGGCAGCCACATTTCCCAGGGCTTGGGGTCACCTCCTTTTGGCCAATCTGGTTTGGGGTCACTGGGGACAGTTTCAGTATGGTGATGGTGACTTCTGCGGCCTGTCCGCCTAGTCCTTGCCAAATACTGAGTGGCTGCCCCAATGCAGCTGAGTCACAGCAGGGGCTCGCCCGCGTGCCAGCCTGTGAACACCCATTTGCCAGCACACACGCAGTTTAGCCTGGTGCAGGGGGCACCCAAACCCACGCAAATTCTGCCCCTGCCCTCCGCCACAGCCCCCATGAAGCCACCTTCAGGAGCCCCTCCGCCCCCCACCTCCCTGTACCCGGCTGGCCTGGGCTGCCCTCCAGGCCTCCTGTGAGTGGACCCTGGTGGTCCCAGGCTGCGGGCTGGTGGGCCTGGCCGAGGCACAATGTCTGCCTTCACACCGAGGGCCGGGGTGGGGGCCCGGAGGTCCAGCCTATTGATGGAGCGGCCACCGAGCCCTGCGCCACATGTTCCTGTTTTCCTAATAAGTCCCCAGTTGTGAGTGGGGAGGAGGCGGGGAGGCCCCGGGGCAGCCCAGAAATAATCACATGATTGTGAAACACAAGAATCCTAGAAAGGGTATCTCCGAGCGCCTCTATCTCACCCTCCCTCCTCCTCCTCCTCCTCCTTCCCTCGCTGGCTGCACTAGCTCTGAGGTAATTGTAGACAACCCAACCAGCTTCCAGGGTGAGGGAAGGCATCTCAGGGCTGGCAGTGTCGGCTGGGCTGGTGGGGAGCGGTGCCCACGTCGCTGGGCCCTGGGGGAGCGAGGCCTGCGCGCCTGCCGGGGAGCAGGCTTCAGTGGACCCGGCGCATTTGCTAAAATCGAAACTTGGCTGGCTTGCTGGGGCCGCTGTGGGGGTATTGAGGCTCCTCTGTGTTTTTTTCCAGCGTGGGGAGGGCCTGCAGGGGGCCCCGGGCCTCCCTCCCCCGTGCTGAGGATCAGCATGCTGGACTGGGCTGGGCAGGTGCCCGCTGCTCCGGGAAGCCTCTATTTATAATCTGTGTTTTTTTGTTTTTTAAAAAAATTCCTCCTCTTCGCCATCACCCTGCAGAAGAAGGCTGAAGCTGCACATCGGATTCTGGAAGGCCTGGGGCCCCAGGTGGAGCTGGTGAGCTGGGGTACAGGGTCAGGGGCTCAGGGGAGGGCGGGGGTGGCTGGAGAGGTGGGCAGGGAGGCGGGAGGGTGCGGCGGAGGAGGAAGTCATCTATTACCAAGCGCTGCCCAGGCGGCGTCCGCGGAGGAAGCAGGAAACCCACCTTCCTGATGAGAGGACGGCAGATAGCGGGTGGGCGGGCCTGGCTGGGCTGGGTGGGGGTGGGGAGTCTTGGCAGCGAGCGCCTCCGGGGCCACCTGCGCACTCCTGTGCATACCGTGAAGCCCGGCCGCTCGGGCTGTGAGGAGAGTCACACATCCGTAGGCCGGTGCGCTTGCTCCAGCTGAGCGCGGAGAGCCGGTTCTCTGGGTCACACAATCTCGGTCCACTCCCAGGTGCACCGCTTCATGGCGGTGTGACCCTGAGCGGGTCTGTTACCCTCCCTGTGCTTCAGTTTCCTCATCTGTAAAATGGGAATCCTAACAGCACCTATTCCACTGGATTACAGTGAGGAGGAGCTGTGTTAATATTTTTCCAACATCGGGTGCCGCGCCTGCCTTGTAAACAGTAAGTGCTGGGCATTAGCTATGATGATGATGATGATGATGATGGCGATGATGGCGATGATGGCTGTCACTAGTGTCCTTTTGCTGCGGAAAGATGCCATGTCAGCAGCAGAGCTGGAAAGCAGGCCCCAGGCCTCCTGGAGTCCCTGGGCTGAGGATGGGTGGATGCAGAAGCCCTAGCCCCCAGAGAATGGGCCGCAGCCCCTGCCTGCCCCACAGCCATCTGTGCCCACTGAGCTGGTCAGCATGGATGGCCGTGGTGGGCACTGAAGGTATATGCTACCCACATGTGTGCCGGATGAGGGAGAGTCTCTGTGTGCATGGTGGGCTAGGGTGTGCGTGTGAGTGCGCCCAGGGTGCAGATAAAGGCTTATGCCTTCGCCATGTGTAGTGGCTCATACCTGTAATCCCAGTGCTATGGGAGGCCAAGGCAGGAGGATTGCATGAAGCCAGGAATTTGAGATCAGCCTGGGCAAGATAGCAAGACCTTGTCTCTGCAAAAAATTAAAAAATTCACCAGGTGTGGTGATGCACGCCTTTCGTCCCAGCTACTTGGGAGGCTGAGGCAGGAGGATCGCTTGAGCCCTGGAGTTCAAGGCTGCGGTGAGCTATGATCACACCACTGCACTCCAGCCTGGGCAGTAGAGTGAGACCCTGCCTCATAAAAAAACGAAACAGAAGTCTGACACCTTCAGAGCCTCAATCTAAACTCAGCTCCACTGCATGTTTGCCAAGTGGCCTTAGGAAAGGGGCTGACCTCCCAGTACCACAGTGCTCTCTCATCTGGGACAGGCGGAGGCTCTAGGGCCTCCTTCCAGGGTCTTCCCAGGGTTAAAGGCAGTGCTGCCTGTTAAAGGCTCACCTAGTGCAGCTCCTGGTCCCTACGAAGCGCTCAGTAGTTGTGAACAATTTGGTGATGAGCTGCTCCCCCTGAAGTTTCTGCAGGCTGCTCAGTTTTGCAGTGAGAGCTCCCCAAAGCCCGGGGTCCGTCTTTTGAGGCCACTCAGGAACTACAAGCCCCGGGCTCCCAGGCCCACTCAGAAGGCAGAAGCAGGGAGGAGATGGCAAGGGCTCCTCCAGCTCAGAAGCAGGGCCCAGCTGCCCACCTGGCTGGACTCAGGAACCTCGCTGGGCTCCCCCACCCCTTCAGGGCTCTGCCCCCTCCAGGCACATCCTCGGGCCTGGGCGATCTGGGTGGTGAGCTCTGGCCTAGGGTCGTGCTTCTCTCAGTGGAAGTGATATCTGGGGAAGTTTTCAGCAGCAGCAGCTGCTGCTTGCTTGTTTTTTTGTTTTGTAAACAGCTTTATTGAGGTACAATTCACACGCATGCCATTCACTCAAAGTGTCCAGTTCAGTGGGTTTTAGTGTATTCACAGATGTGTGCAACTGTCACCACGGTCAATTTTAGAACATTCCATCATCTCAAAAAGAAACCCTTCTGTCTCTATGGATTTGCCTATTCTGGACATTTCCTATAAATGGAATCTTGCAATATGTGGTCCTTTGTGTCTGGTTTCTCTCACTCAGCATCATGTTTTCGAGGTTCATCCGTGTCGAGCGTGGGTCGGTCCTTCGTTCCTTTTTGTGGCTGAATCATATTTCACTGTAGGGGTAGGTCACGTGTTGTTTACCCACTCATCAGTCGGTGGACGTGAGATTGTTTGCATATTTGGGGTATTGTGAATAAAGTTGCTGTGAACATTAGTGTGCCGTTTCCATGTGAACGTACGTCTTCATTTCTCCTGGGTGTGTACCTAGGCGTGGAATTGCTAGATCCTCTGTTAACCCTGTTTAGCCCCTTGAGGAACTGCCCAACTGTTTTCCAAAGTGGCCGAAAAGTGGCCGTACCATTTTACATCTCCACCAGTAAGCTGCCTCTTGCCTCGGTTTCTCCTTTTCTGCCAAATAGGGATGGCAGGGTTGGATGAAGTTCCCAAGCATTTCCAGATTTCCGGGTCCTCCCGCTCCCGTTTCCTGATTGGTCCCCGGGGGCCTCCTGGGGGAAAGGGCCTGTGTCTTAGGGCCCGAGGAACACAGGCGAGGAAGCCCCTGTCCGTGGGAGTCTGTGGGCAGATGGGGGTGGGCAGCTGCTGGTGTCAGAAGCTTTGGAACCAGGGACCCCACAGTGAGTCTTCTCTGGTTCTTTGGAGACAAGGGGACGGGGTTGTCTTCCACTTGGGGATCTCAGAGCAGAGGCTTCCACAAGGCTGATGGCACAGGAGGCTAAGATCTAGTGTTTGGACTCTTGAAGGCCCCTGGCTTGGTGCCAGTCAGTGGGGACAGGGAGGACGCCTCACAGAGCTGTTGCCGTCCCATTTTCTGGATGAGGCTCAGTGAGAGGAGTGCCTTGTGCCGGGCCACACAGCAAGAGATGAGGCGTGGAGGTGTGCTGAGCCCCTGGGAGAGCGGCCGGCCAGTTCTGCACAGATCTGCCAGGCCCGAGTGGCCACAGGCATCCTCCAAGCAGAGGCAGCTGCATGGTGCACCCTCTGCAGGGTCCTGTCTACCAACTGGGTGCCAGAAGCCCGGGCCAGGGACGGCCTGAGGTGCTGTGGGTCACAGAGTCCAGTTCCCAGGGTGTCTTCCATCAGAAGCTGCAGTTCCAACGCCCCTCCCCTCGGCAGGGACGGATCCCTGTGGCCTTCCTGGAGGAATTTGCATTGGAAAGGATGAAAATAGCACCAGAGGTGCTAACCAGGGGTCGGGGGCACTGAGATGGTGGGGCACGGCCCCTCCAGCCCAGCTGTGGGGACTGGACCAGGCTGGGAGCGGGCGCAGTGGTGGAGGGCGTGCCCAGCAGCCCCGACCTCTCTGCCGCTTTGAGTCATTGCTTCCTTCCTGTTCCAAGGCGTTATTTTAAGAAGCTGGTGTCACCAGCGGGTTGAGGGCTGGGGCTGTCACTTCATTTATTGCCAGCTCAGGCCGCCTGGGACTCTGGCTCTTCCTGGTGGCCCTGCTGGCTGGCTCAAAGCCCGAGGGGGGCCGCCTCCTCCCTGGCCCCTGCTGGCTTTCTTAGTCACCACCATGCCTCATCTCTGCCTGCGCCCTGCGTCTGGCACCTGCTCCCCTTTGCCCTCTTTCTGCCCTCTGAGTGGCTGTGCCTCTGATTTTAGAGGAGACGGAGGCTGAGCAAGAGAGAGCTGGACCTTGGGGCCTCCTGGGTGCCGCCCCTACCACCCCAGGCTCCACACGCATCTAGGCCTCGATTCCCTCACTGGCGTGAGTCCCCCCAGGGGTCATTTCTCCCGGGAGGATAAGGCCTGGGGGTGAGGGACAGGGGCCAGCCATGCCCCCCAGCCTGTGTGGCTGTGGAGGTGCCTCATGGCCCCATGTGGGGACCCCGGCTAGCCTGGGCTGGGAGCCGCCAGGCCTTTGTGCAGCCCTCTCTGCAGAGGATGAGGGGGATGTTGGGGAGTCCCCTCGGGCCCTGCGTCCCCTCAGCAATGCACCTGCCAGGACATGTCACTGTCCCTCCCTCCCCCCACTCCCTTCTGGGCTTTCCAAGATGGCTGTCCTCAGCCTGTTGCCATGGCGGTGCACGGCATTCCAGGCAGCTCTGGGCCCAGAGCCTCCCCTGGGCTCCTGGGGTTCAGGGGCCTCGGGGAGTGGCTGGTGAGTGCCTCCCAGGGGGGCAGTTCCTGTTTAGAGGCCGCAGCACCCCACAGTATCCTCAGTCCTTCGGGGCCTTCGCCTTGTGGGCCCCTCACCGATGGCCGCCTTGAGAAGCAGGGGCTGTGTCCCTATCTACAGGGCAGGGGAGGAGGCCACCAAGTGGAAGTGGCCTTCCTCCCCTGTGGCTTTGGTGGGTTGGAGGCTGACCGGGCTCTTGCTGCCCCCGGGAGCCGGTCCTGCATTTCTGCACCCGCCCTGTGCCGCAGAAGCACTGTCCCCTCTGCCCACCTCGCCCTCCCAGGGCTGCGTGCTGTGGGCTTCCAGCCCCTTTCTGGCCCCCTTCGGCTGTTTGCTATCTTTAAAACCAAAACAAGACAAACACCAAATTTCACCAAGTCTGAAATTTTCTGGGCTATCCAAAATTTCCGTGAAGTAGGTCCTCTTTGACCTACACCCATATTCCAGATGAGGAAACCGAGGCTGGAGTGTTGAGGGCACTTGTCCAAGCTCACAGCTAGTGAGGGAGGAGGCACCATTTAAATTGGGGCCTATCTGTTTCCAAAACCCGAACCTTTAAGTGATGTCCGCTTGCACCTGGCCTGCATTTGATTGGCATGTGGGGAACATAAAGGAGCCAGTGTGGTTGCCCGGGTTACAGCATGGGCATCTTCACAGGGCCCCTTGCCATTCCTGAGACGAGGATTCGCACCCTCTGCAGGGATGCTGCACTGCACCCCTTCCCTCCACTGGGAAGTTCTGCAGTGAGTCTGACCGTGGGCTCTCTTGTTCCTCTGCCCACTTCTCCCTCTTGTTCAAACTTCCAGGGTCAGGGTGGGGAAACTGCCCTCTGTTCAGGGCTGAGAACCTTGGGAGGGGAGCCTGACCCGGCACGGGGAGAAATGGCCCATGGCAGCTGCAGGATGACATCTCTGTCCCCAGGAGAGTAGCTGAGCAGGAGCCTGGAATTGCCCGAGCCCAGTGGTGAATTCTCTAGGAGGGGATCTGGGGCTACAGGGGGAAAGGCGACATTGTCACCAGCCGAGACTGTCTGTGAGGCTCTGTAGAGCTGCAGAGGCCCTTCCCTGGGGATGGGTGGGCGGGGGTCTGGGTGGCCCACTCTGCCGGCGTCATCAGGAGGTGTGTTCAGCTCTATCCCCAGGGAAGAGACTTGTGTGTCCCTTCTGTCGCTGCAGCCCTGCCCTGAGGCTGCAGGACTCCACGTCTCCATCCTTCCCTGTTCCATCTGATCACTCACACTCTGTACCTGATCTTCCCACCATAGTCACCCATGGCCACCCTGGGAGGCTCCTGCTGTGTGCATGGGTGTGTGAGAGGGAGAGGGACAGGAAGAGAGGGAGACAGACAGACAGAAAGACATACACACACACACACAGAGACTCAGGCAGAGAGGGGAGCAGACTCCTTCCTCCAGCGCTGGGGCTGAGAGGCGGGCTGTCATTCAGGCTCATCTCTTACCAGCTGTGGGCAAATGTTGTAACCTCTTAAGGACTCAATTTTTCTTTCTGTACAGTGGGGGATGATTGTATCAGTTACCCGGTATGGTTACATGGCTACTGCTGGGGAACAAAGCAGCCCCACATTTAGAGGCTTGAAGCAGCAACTGTTCACTGTTTCTCACCTGTCTGGAAGGCAGCTGAGCATTTCTGCTGGTGTGGGCTCAGCTCTTGCACCTCCGTGGCCAGCGAGGGAGTCGGGGGGCCGGCGTTGTAGATCAGCCCAGGCTGGGTTGCACCACGCTGCTCCTTGCCTCTCTGCCCGCTTCCTGCAGGCCAGGCTAGGCTCATTCTCTTGACAGAAACAGCAGAAATGCGAACTCGCATCTTCAAGCCTCTGCTTTTGCTAAGTGTGCAGCAATTCCACTGGCCACAGCAAGGTCATGGGTGGTTACAGGGAGGCGTGAAAGGTGGGTGCCATTAGCACAGCCACTGCTCCCTGATGGCGGCAATGTGACTGGCACCTCTGGGCACTTCAGCCTGCAGGTACCAGCCTGAGAGCTTAGCATGCACTGTCTCGTTTGATCTTCACAAAATCCTATGAGTTTAACCCCATTTTATAGATGAGGAGAAATGGAGGCACAGATGGAATAAGTAACTTCCCAGGGAGACCCAGCTAGAAAGTATCAGAACCGGGACTTGAACCTAGGCTGTGCCCTTGGTTGCTAAGCAAGGTTCTTCCATCTGGGAGGGGACACGTGGCAGCTGGCTTGGTCCCTGCACCATCACAGATGCTGCCGTGCTTTCTGCGTCTCCTGGTACGCTCTTTGAAGCCCTGTGCTTGCTACATGTGGGCCCTGCCTCCCTTTCTCACTGCTGTGTGGGATTTGTGGTGTAACCGAGTCCTGGTCTCCTTAGCTGCTCTTCTGGTGGTGGACGGCTAGCTTGCTTCTCACTGGCCGCTGTGAGCAGTGCGTTAGGAACATCCTAGCGCCCGTCTCCTGGTGGAGCACAGTAGGCAACTGCAGGAGCATGGGGGTCGGAAGCGGGGGCGTCGGTGTTCGTTACCAGGTAGTGGCTGTTGTCTCTCTGGGGGATGTGTGCCCATACACCATGCTCCCACCAGCTATGTGCCAGCCTTCCTGTCACCCCAGACCTCACCAACACTTGGCATTCAACGTTTTTGTCTTTTGCTGGTCAGTGGGGGTGGAGTGGTATCTTGCAGCGTTGGGACGCGCGTTTCCATGGTGAGCTAGGAAGCCAAGTGGCTTTCCACGTTTGGTGGCCAGGGCCAATCTCTGGGGTGTGTGTGGGTTTGTCCGGGTGTGCTCTGGGCTGTGGCCCCTTCCAGGCCAGCACTGCTGAATGCCCCGCAGAGCAGCCATGACGACCTTGGTGGGGGTGGTCACAGTACCCACAGCTGTTCCCGAGGAACCAGTTTCAGCCTGTTCCTGGCTGGGGCTGCGTGCTGGGTCCCTGTGTTCTGTTTCATGCCTGCCTGCGGCTGAGCCCTCACCCAGAGGACAGCTCCTCCGTGCCAGGGCTGTGGCTCCTACCGGTGGGCTCTGTAGTGGCGAGTGGCCAGCCAGGCTCTGATGTGCTTCTCTCTCTCCCTTTGCAGCCGCTGTACAACCAGCCCTCCGACACCCGGCAGTATCATGAGAACATCAAAATGTGAGTGCTCGCGGGCAGCCGTGCAGACACACAGAGGCAGGGTGGGCGAGCAGGCTCTCAGCAGCCTGCATGGGATGTGGGACGTGGGCTCTCTGTTCCCATCAGGGGCTCCCGGCCAGGGCCAGGTGCTCCCGGAGGGGACAGGAGACAGTCCTAGGTGGCACCTGGGGTGGGGGTGGGGAGCAGAGAGAGTGTCCCCCTGAGGTTTTGGGAGACAGGCTGGGTTTGGGAGGGTGGGCGAGGGAGCTGCTGGTGCACAGGTGGGTCTGGAGAGACGGAGGTCAGAGGTCCCAGGCTGTACATCTGCATCCTGTTCGAGCAGGAGGGAGCTGTTGCGGGCAGAAGGCAGCCGGCTCAGGGAGATGGGGAGTGGCCCCAGAGCAGGCGGGGGCCTGGTGTTTTGGGCTCTGGCATAAGCATGTTTGGGAATCACCTGGTGTCTGCACAGAGAGGTCCCTCTGGCACAGCCCACTATGGGGCAGATCAGAGCACTCATCCAGGCCCTGAGGCTTTGGAGGTGGCCAATGTGATGTATTCTAATGATGGGGGCCTTTTCCCAGACCGGTGCTAGGAGGGAAGAAAATGTCAATTAAGTGCCACTGCCATTGGGTGAGGCGGTGCTGGAGGCTGGTAGCATTGTATCTTCAAGCGGGGTACAAGGCATTGGAGGTGTGGCAGCTGGAAGGGGGCTGGCTTTTTCTTGGGATGCATTAACGGGAGCATAGACTGTTGGGCCGAGGAGGGCATGTTATCTCATGTTAGTGCCCAGGAACCCAAAAGGTAAAAGGGGCTGCAGATCTTGCCCCTTGAGGAACATATGGCCACGTGGTGGGCTGGTAGGTTGGAGGTGAGACTCTTCAGGATCATAGCTGTTGAATGTTCAAGGTTCGTCATGGTGAGAGGGTACAGGCGTTTGAGTGTGGCTGCAAAGGGAGGCGTTTAGCTGATTCGGTGGGTAGTTCAGCCCGGTCCGATTGTTCAAGCGTTCCTGGGATGGAACTACAGAGTGTATATGCGGTGGTGAGCTCCCCGTTCCTGAAAGCGTGCAAACCTTCCAGTGTTTTCACACATCTGCTGGTGCTGGACTAGTCGACGGGGAGATCGCTGCTGTTGTAGTTTCCAGAGTTGCGCGACTGGTCCAAGCTCAGGTGATCAACTTGGCCACCTGGTCATTGTTGCAGCAGCCTAGAAAATCTCTCCTTGCTAGTTGAGGCCCTTGGCCTTCTCGGGTTCAGGAGCACCTGACAAAGATACTTCACCAGCGTGGCTGGCGGGGGGGTCATCCTCAGCCAGTGGCCAGCAGGGGCTGCAGAGTGTGTCAGGAAGGGGCATGTGTTCTGCGCCAGGGGTCCCGGGCTGGTACAGAAGGCCCATGTCAGATGCAGCCTGGGCTCCTCATCGGCCTGGCGGGCTCATTCATTGCCCAGGTCCCAGATCCCTTTTGACTCGACATAGTTTGTCTTCCAATTGGGCTACCCCTGTCCCTTCTGCAGCTTCCTGGGACCTGCCTTGCTCTGGGGCCCCTGTCTGGGGTGGGAAGCCACAGATGGAGGGGTGCTGAAAGCAAGGGGGACATTCTTAGGACCTCATCACAGGTGGTTTAGGGGATGAGGGTGGGGTGTTCTCAACTGAGTCCAGGCTGTTTGGGGCATTCCCTCATTCATTCATCCCATCTTTATTGAGAGCCTGCTGTGTGTCAGGTCCCGTTCTAGGCCTTGGCTATTCAGCCTTGGATAAAACAAAGGCCTCATCCCTCATCAAGATTTGTCTAGCAGTGGAGACAGAACCAGAATGAGTTAAGTAAACAAAACAAGAGAATGTCAGCTAATACAGCCGGGTGCAGTGGCTCATGCCTATAATCCGAGCACTTTGGGAGGCTGAGGTGGGAGGATTGCCTGGGGCCAGGAGTTCAAGACCAGCCTGGCCAAACATAGCAAAAATTGACAAGAAATTAGCTGGGTGTGGTGGCACGTGCCTGTGGTCCCAGGTACTCAGGAGGCGAAGGAGGGAGAATCGCTTGAGCCCAGGAGTTCAGGGCTGCAGTGAGCCGTGATTGCACCACTGTACTCCAGCCTGGGTGACAGAGCAAAACCCTGTTTCTGTTAAAAAAAAAAAAGAAAGAAAGAAAAAAGAAAGAAAATACCAGCGAATCTAAAGTACTATGCTGACATAACTATCTTAAGCTCTTTACGCCTTCATATACCTAGTTATGATTTTTCTTTTTGACATAATAATTTTTGATAGCCATATTATTATACTGACAATTTTACATAGGTTTTTTTCACTTAAAGTGAGTGATATTTTAAGCTGAATACTGTGGTTGATTTCAGGTAATAAAGACAGCCATAGAATCTAAACAAAAGAGGAGCAAGATGCTCATATAGATGACACCAGCAAATAGATATTGCTTCATCTTTGTGTAAGTAGAATAAAACTGTAAGCATATTAAAGCCAGTGCTGTATTTGACATCTCATAATCTTCCTCAGAGAATGACTGTGGTCCGTTGAAGTGCATTTTGACTAAATAGGTAACCGCCTCACTGAATTTGTTCCAAATCTAAATCACAAACAAACATGTTTCTATTTAAAACAACTAGATGTGCTGGGCGCGGTGGCTCACGCCTGTAATCCCCGCGCTTTGGAAGGCCGAGGCGGGCAGATAACTTGAGGTCAGGAGTTCGAGACCAGCCTGGCCGACATGGTGAAACCCCATCTCTACTAAAAATACAAAAATTAGCCGGCTGTGGTGGCGTGTACCTGTAGTCCCAGCTACTCAGGAGGTTGAGGCAGGAGAATTGCTTGAACCTGGAAGATGGAGGTTGCAGTGTGCCGAGATCACGCCACTGCACTCCAGCCTGGGCAACAGAGCAAGACTCTGTCTCAAAAAATATGTGTAATATAGTATAATATAAAACAAATAGATGAATAATTAAGATTTCCTACACTGTAAGTAGTCAACTTCTGTTAGAAAAACCTTTGTGTGTAAATTGTTGGAACTGATTTGTCCTAATAATTTTAGTTTTTTGGATATTTTCTACTAAAATTATCATCCCTTCTATTTTTTAGATTTCAATCTGGTTATCATTAAATTTCATTGTGCAGTCATTCATTTTTTAAAAATTCTATTACTCTGGTAAGTGGGGTAATGGGAGAGAAAATGAGGGGGTGACATTAGCCAGAGAGGTCAGGGCAGGCCATGACAGTTAAGGGGACCCTTGTAGGCTGAGCAGCAGCTGGCTGTGTGGACCTCTGGGGAGTGTCCCAGACAGGTGGAACAGGAGGTGCAAAGGCCTTCCTGAGCTGGCAGGGGTCACAGAGAAGGCTGGCATGGCCCAAGGAGGTAGGCAAGGGAGAGGAGGGCACAGGCCAGGTCACGGGGGGCTGGTAAGGAGTTCCGGTTTTATTATCTGTTGGGATAATAATGATGAAGTTTATAATAGTGATGAAGTTTATCCCAGGAAGCAATGTGATCAGACTTTTGTTTTAAAAGTTCACTTTGGTGGCTGCAGGGAGGAAGGACCTGGGGGTAGGGGTGAGAATACCATGGGAAGGCCCCTGCAGGAGCTGCCGAGGTAGGTAGTGAGCACCCTGTCACTGGGAGGTTTGCAAGCTGAGGGTGCATAATGTTCAGGAAATCTGCAGTGCCCAGGAAGCTGCCCTTGGCAGCCTCTGCACCCTGCACTCCTTGCAGGCTCTGATGTTTTGTGACCGCTCATGCTAGACTGCAGAAACTGTCTCGTGTCCAGTGCTGGGACATGGGAAGGGAGGCCCCGTGCAGGCCCCGTCCCACCATGTGGCTGGACACAGGGACCTCAAGTGGGACCGCAGCTCGTCCTGGCTGTTTGACTAGCTGTGTGTCCCTGTGGGAAGTCACTTGCCCTCTAGGGCTCAGTTTCAGACGTGCTCACTAAGGTCAGTGCTCAGCACGTACAGCACATACTACTGGGTTTTTGGTTCTTCTTTCTTTTGTCTACAGAGACCCAGACTCATTCATTCGACAAATATTTACTGAGCATCTACTACACGCCAGGCACTGTTCTGGGCCTCTAGGAGATAGGAGTGAATGAGGCCTGACATTCTAGTAGGGGAGGCTGATAAGAATAAATACATTGTGATAAGTGACTGCCGCCATGGGACAATGAGATGATCCAGCCGGGGTCAGGTGGGGCTCCCAGCTTCCCCTGGAGCAGCCTCCCTGGCGCTCACGGCCTCCTCGCCCCCGCTGCTGTCATTGCTTCTAGGTGGGAGGTCGTTCCCTCCCCAGAGACCTTGCCCCGTCACTTTAATTTCTCTGCGTCTGCATGCTGGGGCCGCGGAGTGAAAGTTAATTTCACGCTTGACTTCCTGCCGCACAGACGATTTCGGACGCGTTGGAGTCGCCCGTAGCCGCCTCCGCCGCCCTCCCACCGCCACCTGCTTCGGGCGCTGCTGGTGTCCCCTGCTGCAGGAGGGAGCGCTCAGACCACCGGGGCGGGGCCGGGGCAGCCGCAGAGGGGCAGGAGATGGGGGCTCCATCGAGGGATGGGCCCCACCCTGGGCAGGATGCTCCAGGAATTCCCGGGAGTCTATGGAGCCCGCGTGGGATGTGGTGAAAGTGCGTGGGACCTGGGGATGAGCGGCAGATGGCGCTCAGGCACATTCTGCCTCTGCCTGCCCGGGGGTTGCCCTGGTTCACCGGCCCCCTCAGGCCTGGAAGCCGGTTTCTTCCGTTGCTCGTTTTTCTCTTTTCGCAGCCTGATTTCTTCCCTCCTGCTGCCTCATTTGGGGGTCGGCTGATGGGAACTGTCAGACCCGGGGCTGTGCAGGCGGAAAGGGGGATCAGTCAGAACCCAGGTTACTCTTAGCAGGTCTCTCTGGTCTTGTTCAGAGACATCAGATGACTCCCCCAGGGTCACACAGACAAATTCCTAGACCAGTCCTAACTGCACATCCAGCCAACTTCCTCTCCTGGGTCTCTACTCCAGGCCCTGCCCCTCCCTACCTGGGTGACCTTAGACAAGTCACATCACATTGTTTGGCACTGTCACAGCTTTTGGTTGGCGCTCAGTGATCAGGAGGTTCAGACCATCACCCCAACCCGCAGTCTCTTCCCAAGGTATCCGGGCCCTGCATATCTGCCTCCCTCTTCCTCTCCCCTGCAGCCGGGGTCAGGCTCTCCCTGAGCACCCCTTCTGCCCTCTCCAGATTCACTATTGCTGCCTCCCTCCCTAGAACCCAGGGCTCTGCTCATTTTCTTCTTCCCACCGCATTCCTCTGCTTCTCTCAGGCCTCAGCTCAAACCTCCCTTCCTCCAGGAAGCCTCCCCTGATTGCCCCCAAGCTTTCCTTTTCCAGTACCCCATAAACCCCAGGACCAGTCCCAGCTAGGGTCCAACCGGACTCCCCTGGAATACTCTCATAATTCCTGCCTCCTTATCCTGCCCTCCTATGTCCTGCTTCTCCTCTCCAGTGCCCTGGCAGATGGCAAGACTAGGTTTCCTTATAGGGTGTGTGTTTTTAAACCCTGACTTCTTTGCACCCCATGAGTGCCTCTACCAGCAAACTCATCACATGCTGCTTACCCCATGCCTCCAGAGCCCTCCTACAGACTGTGGTCCTTATGCTTGCCGGACAGAAGCTCAGCAGAAAAGATTTGTCTGCAGTAAGCTATTTGCATCTTCATTGCCTAAACACTGCTTGGAACAAAATAAACACTTAAAAAAACGTTTGCCAGAGGAATGTTGAACACGTGGGCATCATAAACCAGGAGTCCCCCAGGTGGCTGCCTCCAGGAGCGGGAAGGAAGGTTTGAGTGAGGAGGGCTGGTGTGAGGCAATAGGGAGTAGTAGGGGCTGAGGAACGGGGAGCTGGGCGACCTTTGAAAGGAGCAGCCAAGCCTCAGTTTCCCAGCCTGTGGCCATGAAGGGGTGTGGCCCGATGGCCTGATGTTTTCAAGAGAAGCTTTAGGTTTGGCTTTTTGTGTAACAGCCTCTGGTTTTCAGTGCTGGCAATGAATTTAGGATTTTAGAAAGCACCAGCCGGGTGCGGTGGCTCACACCTGTAATCCCAGCACTTTGGGAGGCTGAGGCAGGCAGATCATGAGGTCAGGAGTTTGAGATCAGCCTGGCCAATATAGTGAAACCCCGTCTCTACTAAAAATACGAAAATTAGCTGGGCGTAGTGGCACGTGCCTATAGCCCCAGTTACTTGGGAGGCTGAGGCAGGACAATCACTTGAACCCGGGAGGCAGAGGTTGCAGTGAGCCGAGATTGCGCCACTGCACTCCAGCCTAGGTGACAGAGCAAGAGACTCCATCTCAAAAAAATAAAAAATAAAAAATAAATAAATAAAGCACCACAGCCCAACACAACACCCTCAGAGGCTGTCTCTGGCCTGTGCACTGTGCAGTTTGCACCCTGCGGACTTGACATGTGTTTGCAGACTTGACGTGTCCTCTTGCGTGGTACGTGGATGTCTCTGGGTGGCAGGCAGTGTCCTTGCTTTGGGAGGAAACCTGGATCAGCCAGGGTGGATTCACACCCTCAGTTGCTGCCCATCGGTGGCAAACAGACGGCTGCATGCACATCACCACCACCCCGAGGCCTCATGCTCACCGAGTCGTTTTCCAGCTGCAGTGACAGCACCGCGGTTTGTGGAAGATCACACGCCGGACTAGCTTCTCAGCGCTGCCTTAACACTCGGCCGTGAACCGGGCAGCTGAAAATGGCAGGAACTTTCTTCTCTCACAGTACTGGAGGCCAGCAGTTGGAAATCAAGGTGCTGCAGGACCACATTCTCTAGAAGGCTCTGGGGGAGGCTGCTTCCTTGCCGGTTCCAGCTCCTGGCGGCTGCCGGCCTCCTTGGCGTTCCTTGGCTGGGAGATGCGTCACTCCCGTCTTTTGTATTCGTGTGGTGTTCTTCCCGTGTCTGTTCGCGTCATCTCCCCTCCGTGTGTGTCTGTCTTTTTGTCCAAATTTCCCCTTTTCATAAGTCATTGGATTAGGGCCCACCCCAGTAACCTCATTCTAACTTGCTTCTCGCTCTAAAGACTCTGTTTCCAAATGAGGTCATGTTTTGAGGTGCTGGGGCTTAGGACTTTACACATATCAGTTTTTTTGTAGTTGGGGTTGGGGGTGACATTCCCACCTGTACTAGGCAGTGTACCACCTGCAAACCCCAAAGTCAATTTTGTATGGTCTTCACCACGGTGTTTCAAAGTGGATTCTATCTCTCTTCTTTTGTGAGAAGGTGGAACTATTTATTTTGAAGTAACTAGATTGTACGTTGTGCAACAGAAGAGTTGCAAATACGCTCCACAGAGTTCCCCCACACACGTCACCTGGCACCCCTCATGTGGACAGCTTATATAACAGCAGAGAAACACTTACCACAACTAGGGCCTGCCATGGTGGCCCACGCCTGTCATCCCAGCACTTTGGGAGGCCAAGGTGGGAGGATCACTTGAGGCTAGGAGTTGGAGACGAGCTGGGCAACAAAGCAAGACCTCATCTCTACCAAAAAATAAATTAGCCAAGTATGGTGGCATGTACCTGTAGTTCCAGCTACTCAGGAGGCTGAGGCAGGAGGATTGCTTGAGCCCAGGAGTTCAAGGATGCAGTGAGCCATGATCGAGCCACTGCACTCCCGCCTGGGAGACAGAGTAAGACCCTGTCTCTAAAAACAAAAATCAAAACAAAACAAAACAAAATACTAAGAAAGAAATAGTGGCACATGACCCTCTGCTAAACTACCAGCTGTCTTTGCATTTTCACCCGTCTCTCCGCCAACGTCTGTTTTCTGGTCCAGGATCTGATTCAGGTTCTCACGTGACATTTGTGCTCGTGTCTCTTTAGTCTCCAGCCCGTGACGGCTTCTCAGCCTTGCCTTGTTTTTCACCACCCCAGCACTTTTGAAGATCACTGGTCATGGCTTTCTTTGACAGGTGTTTCCTCCTGGTAAGACTGGGATGGTGGGTTTTGGGGAAGACCAGAGAGAGGTAAGGGGGCTGCGTGATGCCCACATGATAGGGGGCTCTGCCCTAGGTCTCCGCTGTCGCCTTAGAGTTATCCCTCCTTTGCTCTGTTCTTTACTAGGGAGTCACCAAGTCCCACCCATCTTCCAGGGCAGGGGAGTTAAGCTCCGCCTCCTGGAGGGAGGAATATAGATTTGTGGAGCCACCGCCATGATTCATACATACTTGCGGGGAGATTCTTTGAGACTGTGCAAATTTCCTGTTGCTCCTTAAAATTTTGCCAACCAATTTAGCATTCATCCCCGGATCTTGCCAGCGGTGGTTGGGTTATTACTGCGTTCTAATGACGATTTTCTGTTTCCCTCCTCTCTTGGACATTTATTCATTGGAACTCTAGAAGAAAGATCTGTCCCTTCTCCTCCATGTATTGATGTATTGAATCATTTGTTTGTAATCACATGGACTCGTGGGGATTTGTTTTATTCCTGGGACGCTAATCTAGTCCCAGGGTTATTTCTGTTGTCACTCACATTGTTCCAGCTCTGGCAGCCGGAAACCTTCAGGCTGGGTTCTGTGTCCTTTTGACTTTTGTTTTCTTTTGTTTTTGGCAATTCTTGACTTAAAGTCACTCTGGGCTCTTCTTGCATACTTCCTGGCCGAGCGCTGGAATCAGCCATGGCCCGGGCAGCGCGGTTTCTGGGATTGGAGGATGGTCTTTGCTGAGATATGGGTGCTGCTGTGCTCATGGCGCCTGGGCCTTCACTGCTTCTAGGCCTTCACAGCTGTCTTTTGCATAAAAGACCAAACCCTTTGCCATGTCGAAACTCACAGGACCCTGCAGGACTGGCCCTGCCAGTCTTGCTCACAGCCCCTCCTCCGTCCTCTCTGCCCCTCCCCAGCACTGTCCAGCCACAGGGCCTTCCTCTGTCTGTGCTTCCGATACACAGAGTTTGTTCCTGTCTCCTGCGGTGCCCTCCAGCTGGAGTTCCCTTCCTTCTGGATCTTCCCAGAGCCGGGTCCTTCTGATGACGTAGATCCCAGCTCAAGGCCATCCTCTCTGGGAGATCTTTCTGCACCACGGAATCTAAAATAGCCCCTCACACCCCGTCCCCCAGCACCCACTAGCCCACCATTCCATTTAAGTTCCCAAATCCAGGATTATCTTGGTCATCTTGCTTATTGTCAGTGTCACCTCTGTGAGAGCCCTCAACTGTGTCTTGCTCCCTGCTGTGTCCCCAGCACCTGGAACAGTGCCTGGCACATAGTAGATGCTCAGTAAACAGTTATTGAATAACAGAAGATGAGGCTGCGATGCCATAGATTTCAGATGAGGAAACTGAGGGCTTCTGAGGTGTGCTCAGAGACACCCTGTTATGAGATGAAGGGTGCTGGTCCTAGCCTGTGGGACTGAGGACCCCCATGGCCCACCCTGGCCGGGGGGCGGCGGCCAGACTGATGGAAGGTGGGGAGGCCCTGGCCAAGTCACCACCAGAATGACCCGGGGACTGAGGTGGATTCCAGGCCCTTGAGCCCCATGAGGCTTCACTCGTCCGTCAGAGCCTGGGGTTCCCTCCTTTTCCTGTTTCCAATGGGGCTGGGGTCCCGGGGGCTGGACATAGCGTGGCTCCCAGTCAGTAGCTTTGGAACTTTTGAGGGGGTTTGGACACTGCTGAGAATATGAAAAAGTTGGGGATCCCCTCCCCAGAAAAGCGGGTGCCACTGAATGCCGCGGATTGGGGACAGACAGCAAGTTAAGGTGCACAGCAGGCTCCTGAGGTCGCTGTGGCCCCCCAGGCCCTGGGAGGCCAGCTGCAGCACCCTGCTTTGTGTGTTGGAGACCGTGGGGAGGGGCCTGGGAAGAGAAGAGGACGGTCCTGGGGTCTCGGTGCAGCAGTGGGTGGGGGTGTCTTCCAGCCCTCATGGCGTGGGCTCCAGAACCTCCCGCCTCTACTCTCCAGGGCTCCCTCCCTTTGCCTGTCTCAGGGTCCCTGTCCCCTTTCTTCGGGTCTTGTCTCTTTCCCTCTCCCCACTTCTCTCTCTTTCCCTCTCCTAGTTTCATCTTCCTCTGAGTCTCTGTCCCCTTCCTTTGGATCTTGTCTCTCTGTGACTGCCTCTCTCTCTCTCTCTGATCCTCTCTTTCTCATCTCTCTCACTCCAGTCTCACCTCTCAGTCTCATCTCCTGTCCATCTCCAGGTCTCTGTCCTTTCTTGGATCTCATCTGTCTATCTATCTCCGTCTCTGTGTCTCCCCTTCTCCCAGTCTCTGTCTCTTTCTCACCTCTGTCTCCCTGTCTGTCTCCCTCTCTCTGGGTCCCTGTTTCCCTCTCTGGGTCTCTGTCTCCGTCTCTCTCTCTCTGGGTCTCTGTTTCCCTCTTTCTCTGGGTCTCTGTCTCCCTCTCTCTGGGTCCCTGTTTCCCTCTCTGGGTCTCTGTCTCTCTCTCTCTCTCTCTGGGTCTCTGTCTCCCTCTGTCTCTGGGTCTCTGTCTCCCTCTGTCTCCGGGTCTCTGTCTCCCTCTCTCTCTGGGTCTCTGTCTCTCCCTCTGTCTCTGGGTCTCTGTCTCTCTCTCTCTGGGTCTCTCTCTCCCTCTGTCTCAGGGTCTCCATCTCTCTCTCTCTGGGTCTCTGTCTCCCTCTGTCTCTGGGTCTCTGTCTCCCTCTGTCTCTGGGTCTCCGTCTCTCTCTCTCTGGGTCTCTGTTTCCCTCTCTCTGGGTTTCTGTCTCCCTCTGTCTCTGGGTCTCTGTCTCTGGGTCTCTGTCTCTCCCTCTGTCTCTGGGTCTCTGTTTCTCTCTCTGGGTCTCTGTCTCCCTCTGTCTCAGGGTCTCCATCTCTCTCTCTCTGGGTCTCTGTCTCCCTCTGTCTCAGGGTCTCCATCTCTCTCTCTCTGGGTCTCTGTCTCCCTCTGTCTCTGGGTCTCTCTCTCCCTCTGTCTCTGGGTCTCCGTCTCTCTCTCTCTGGGTCTCTGTCTCCCTCTCTCTGGGTCTCTGTCTTCCTCTGTCTCTGGGTCTCTGTCTCCCTCTGTCTCTGGGTCTCTGTCTCCCTCTCTCTGGGTCTCCGTCTCTCTCTCTCTCTCTCTCTCTCTCTCTCTGTCTCTCTGGGTCTCTGTCTCTCTCTCTCTCTCTGGTTCTCTGTTTCCCTGTCTCTCTGGGTCTCTGTCTCCCTCTCTTTCTGGGTCTCTGTCTCCCTCTCTCTCTCTGAAACTCCCGTCTCCCAGGACGTGCCTCCTTCTCTTGGAGCCTGCAGTGGTGTGTGTAACCTGCTTGGTTGAGACCCCATGGGCCCTGCCCTGAAGTCTGAGACCGCCCCCGCCCGGGGGTTTCCTGAAGTCCATGCCTGGTGGCCCCACCAGCTGCCCCACACTGCTTGTGTCCCTCCCCCCGCAGCAGGACTGGGTGTGCTGGAGGTCCATGCACAGCACCTGGTTGGAGCCAATCCTGGGGCCACACAGGCCACACTCTGACACCCGGCCTGTGGGCGGCAGCAGGTCTCGGGGTCTCGGGCTCTGTGGCCTGTATTCCTAGTTGGAGGCTGTGGCTGTTTCTCCGTGGCCATCTTTCCGTGGGCAGATGTGGCTGCCGGGGTGCATGTGGGCGGGGGCGGGAAGCCACAGGCCCCTCGGCTCTGGGAACCCTCTTGCCTGCACACTGGGCTCAACCTAAACGTTGGCGGGGGCTGCCTCGCGCGCGGGGGAGTAAGGATGCACGTTGGCAGCTCACAGGTCTCTCTGGGGATACAGCACGGGTGGGTCTCATCTCCCTGAGAACCAATAACGGGGCAAATTTGGGGCTCACTCTCAGCAAACAGGATGGCACGGGGTGCAGCGCCTGAGCCCGGCCGGGCTGACCTGTCTGCCGCTTCCCTCCTGCACAGAAACCAGGCGATGCGGAAGAAGCTAATCTTGTACTTCAAGAGGAGGAATCACGCTCGGAAACAATGGGTAAGTCCACACCGTGGCCCCCATCAGCTTTCCTTGAGATCTGGGGAGAATCGAGCGCACAGGGGGCCACACCTGCCGGGGCCCTGTCAGTTCCGCAGCTGTGTCCTCCCTGAGTGTCCAGGCTGCGGAGGAAAAGCCAAGGCCGGCCAGGAAAGGAGGAAAGACAACAGCTGCTTCCAGAAGGCCCCAGGGTGGGTGGGGGTGGGGGGGCTCTATGGCCCCTCTTCCAGCCTGGAAGGGAAGAAAGCAAAATGTTGGCCTGGAAAATTAGTTGCTAAGCCCTGGTCACGGGACCTGTCCTGGGCTTTTCAGGCAGAAAGAGAGGTTTTGGAGAGAGGTGGAGGATCAGGGTGGGCTGTGTGCCGGGCAGCAGGGGCCGCAGGCGCACCCTTACAAATGAGCCTTTCCTGGTGCACTGGGCCCAGGTCCAGGCTCAGGGAAACTGAGACAGTGGACAAGCATTGAGCCCCCTTTCCCTGAGCCTGCATTTGTGGCCAGTGGCCTCATCCAAACAGAAAAGGATGCTGATTCCTGCTTCTCACTGTAGGCTGTGGATCTCAGCCCACGGCGGGGAGGCTGGGTCTGCCAGAGGCATGTGGTGGTGGTTTCAGGCGGCCGTGGCCATCACCCATTCCCCGGAGGAGATCAGGGTTGAGTATTCTCCCAGCTGTCAGGGGAAGAAGCGCGGACTCAGATGGGCTTCAACAGGAAAGGAATGGCTGTAGCTGGAAATGTCTGTTGGGTGTAGATGGCAGGAATAGTCTTTCAACTCAAGTCTTGCCTTCATTTCATTTCATTACATTTCATTTCATTTTATTTGTTTATTTATTTATTATTTATTTTTGAGATGGAGTTTCGCTCTGTCACCCAGGTTGGAGTGCAGTGGCAGGGTCTCTACTCACTGCAGCCTCCGCCTCTCGGGTTCAAGCAATTCTCCTGCCTCAGCCTCCCAAGTAGCTGGGATTACAGGCGCCCGCCACCAAGCCCGGCTAATTTTTGTATTTTTAGTAGAGAAGGTTTCACTCCATTGACCAGGCTGGTCTTGAACTCCCGACCTCAGGTGATGCACCCGCCTCGGCCTCCCAAAGCGCTGGGATCACAGGTGTGAGCACTGCACCCAGCCCCTTCATTCCTGTGCAGTTTTTTCAACTCCTTATGTTAGAACATTGACAAACTGAACCTGAATTCCCATAGCAGGTGGGAGCCGGAGAGAGCTGTGCTTTCTCGGATGGTATCACAGATGCTCTGATTAGGCCAGGAGAGGGCCTGCGTCCTGTGAACCAGTGGCTGATGCCGGGGAGATGGAGTGAGGCTGCCTGGTTTTGGCTCATGGGACTTTCTCTACAGTTGGGGATGATGTCATTGACTCCACCCAAGCCACGGGGCTGCTGGGACATGGTAGGGAATGGGATAAGGCTGGGGAGGCCCTGAAAAGGTCCCCACCTGGGGAAGAGGCGGGCTGGATGGGGACTGCTGCCTTGGGATTCTTGGATAAGAGACGCGGCAAGGGCTGGGAACTAGGTTTGCTGGAGGCTGGAGGGGCTCCCCTCATACCTGCAGCCCCCTGCCCCACCTCCTCTCTCCCTCAGCTGTGTTGAGGCAGGGCCTGCGAGGCAGCTCCCTGTATCCTTTCTGGGCCTCCAGAGAGGCCCTCCCAGGCGCAGGCCTGGCTCAGTCATGCCCAGCGCCTGTAGGTCTGTGGTACACAGTAGGTGATGACCAAGTCCTGCTTGAACTGAAATGGGCCGGGACAGGGTGTTAGCTGATCCAGTGCCTTTGGGGCCTGGATGCCAGTAGTCACGGAGCACCTACTGTGTGTGAGGCTCGCAGTTGCTGTGACACGGGCCCTGTCCTCAGACCTGCAGGCTGCAGGGACAGGTCGTGCGTAAGGACGAGGAGGATGCCCGCACACCCTGCCCTTCCGGTGCCTGTTGTGTTGCAGGCGCTCTTCTGAGTGCTCTCCATACATTAGGGCATTTAGTCCTGCGAGGTGGGCGCTTGGTCAGCCACATGTTTCAGAGGAGGAAATCGAGGCACAGAGAGGTTAAGTAACTTGCCCTAGGTCACACAGCTGGGAAGTGGTGGAGCTGAGATTTGAACCCAGACCACCTGGTTCCTGAGCCCATGCTCTGAACCCCCAAGGGGCAGTTCCGAGAGAGTCCAGGAGGGTGTGTGGGGTATGGTGGTGTGGTGAGCGGCCACATGGTGGGGCTGAGCAGTGCCTGGGGAGGGGGACCCTGGGCAGGCATGGGGTCCTGGGCAGGTGTGTGGGCACGTGGGGCCAGGTGAGGGGCTTAGCTGGGGCAGGAGGTCCTGGCTTTGGAAGGAGGGGCTGTGCTATATGGGAGGAGGGTCTTCCCTTGGCCCTGCCTGCCTGCTCTGGCCCCGAACTTGGTTGGGTACTAGAGGGAGGAGACACTTCCAGCCAGATGCTGGTGCCTGGGAAGCTGCGGGCAGCCCTCGGGACCCAAGCCCTGCTCATAGGTGAGGAGAGGTGGGCTGCCCAGCAGTGCCTTGCCCAGCTTCCTCAGATCCCCCACCTTGACTGGATGGTGCCCACAGGCACTTGGGCTGGTGCGAGAGGCTCTTGAAACGAGCGTCCAATCTGTTTATCAAGTTAAGAGATACCCACACAGGGCTGCTGGGTGCCCGGGAGTCACAGGCCAGGAAACAGACCGGTAATCTGGGGAGAAGAGCTGCACAGAGGGCTAGACTCTCGAGATGGGCTGGGGACCTCAGTGCTGAGGTGGGAATGACCAGAAAGGACTGGCTTTGTGCGGATCTGGGAGTCAGGGTGTCAGGCAGAGGGCATAGCAAGTGCAGAGGCCCTGAGGCAGGAACCAGCTTGGGACAGAACCTGGCAGGCCAGCAGCAGGAGCCAGGTCGCGTGGAAACATCTGCCCTCAGGCTAGGATGGAACATTCAGGTTTTATTCCGAATGCAGTGGGACACCGAATTTATTCTTAATACATGTATTTGTAGTAAAGAATCCAAAGTCCTTATTCTAAGAAATTTGACAGAAGAGTACAAGGCACATCTATATACCCACCACCTAGAATCAGCCACGGTTACCATTGCCTTGTATTTGCTCTGTGTGTATAACATGTTTGTTGTTGCACTATTGGAAAATAGGTGCAGAGGTGCCGACCTTCACCCCTAATAAATACTCCCCCTCTGTCTCCTGCGAGGAAGGAAATCCTCTCATTTTCACCTAAAATGACTGCCAATTCAGCGCGATCTTGCCGCCTCCTTGACAGCCCCCCATGGTTCCCCCCTTGGGGTGAAGGCTCCTCTCGGGAGGGCAGGAGAGGATCTGATTTCCATTTAAAAGGATCGCTGCAGCTGCTGGAAGGAGCTCAGGCTGGAGGTGGAGTTGGGGTGGGCTTGAGTTCTTTAAAGATCGCCAGTGGCTCCTTGGGGGGTCTGTGGAGGGGGTGGAGGGAGAAATTGGCTTATTTAAAGCTAGAGAAGAGGCAGGCAGAAACCAAGGACTTCCAAGAAGGGTCCGGTGTGGCTTTGTGGCCCATCTTAGGAGGGATGGAAACAAATTCAACACCCCCTGAAGCTGCGGTGGCGATTGGGATGGTCTCTTTGTTGTGGTATAAGAAGCCGAAGTCCCTGACTTCATTGATTTCAGTAAGGCCTGGGGAGGGGGGCTTGGCCGAGAACTCTGATGTGCCTGCCTCACCCCCACTGGGGAGTCAGACCCCCCTCAGACCCTGGGACCCCCACACCTTAGCAGGTTCCTGGGGACCCCCATACCTCTTCCCAGAGAGCAGGGCCTCGTCCCTGTCATGGGATCCTCAGCACCAGCACAGCCCCCCAAGCCTGCCACATCTCCTGGGAAGCTGAGCTGGACCCTCTGGAGGCCCAGTTGGCTGAGAGACTGGCTCAGCCTGTGGTCCCAGAGGCATGGCTGGCCTGCTTCTTCTCCCTAGTGGATTTGCGCTCCTAGCACCCCGCAGACTAGCTGGCGGGGGTGGGGGGCGGGAGGGGGACGGCTCCAGTCTTTCCCTGTGTGTGTGTGTGCGTGTGTGTGTGTGTGTGTGTGTGTGTGTGTGTGTGTGTGTGTGTGTGTGTGTGTAAGACAGAGAGAGGGAGGGAGGGAAGGGAGGAAGGGATCTGTTTCCTCCCCTGGCCAGTGGGTCTGCCCTTGTAGAAAAATGCCAGTGAGCATCTTCCCTGCTACCCAGGCCAGGCCGGAGCTGCCCGCCCTGCGCTGTCCGAGGCAGACCGAATGCACACCCAGCACAGTGGACATAGGCACAGGCTACAGCAGGTGGCACTGTGGTTAGACCCAGAGGGGGACTTCCTTGTTCTGGGCAGAAGGCAGAGCCCAGTGCTTGGGGCCATGGAGGTGTCTGGATGTCCCCTCAGGGACACTACTGCTGGAGGCCTTTGCCACCCGTGCACTCCACGAGGGACCCAGCTAGAGCCGGGCCGTCTTGCCAGCGCCCTGCCGGCAATGTGGACAGGCTGAGGCCCCGCTGGCCAGTGGCCTGTTGGCTTCCGCCCGCTGGTCTGCACCAGTCACCACGTGACTTTCCTCTGCTGGCTTGAGGTGAGCTTTTCTCACCCATGAGCCTGGGGCCTCTTGGACAGGGGCCGAGGTGGCATGGGCTGGTTGTTGCCGTCCCTGCAGTCCCCATCCCTCACTGGGGCTGTCAGCAGCCACTGCCCCGAGCACGTGTGGCCGTTGTCTGTCACCAGAACTGCCTCTTGATCTCCAGCGCGTTCCTGGCACAGCCTGCATGCATGGGGTTAGGTTCTGGGCCACCCAGCACCAGCCTGGCCACCTCGTGGGGACCGTCATGGTCACGGGGCTGTCGAGGATGGAGGGCACAGCTTGCCCTTGGTCAGCAGCTGAAATATGGGGTGGGGTGGGGCTGAGGTGTCTGGGCTCCAGGACCAGAGAGGGGCTTTCTGACTGTACCGAAGCACCAAGTGGGTGTTTGTGGAGGCTCCCAGATCACACCGTCTGTCCACCCCCAGCTGTTAGAGGTGGAGTAACTGGGGTTGTGTGGGTGGCTCGCCCTGCGTCCCCTTCCCCGCCCCCACCCCCCGCCCCCCGCCGCCACTTGCTCAAGTCACCTTGGAGATGTGGAAGCCAGGCAGCTATGCTCTGGGCTGATTGGGGATCTCTTCTCAAAGGACATGCAGCAGGCAGCACTGTGGTTAGATGTGGAGAGGGACTTCCTTGTCTTGGAGGGAAGGCAGAGCCCCCTCTCTGGGAGCTGCTGGGGTCCTCACAGCTGGTCCTTGGGGTGAGGCTGGGGAATGAGGAACTGCTTGGAATGTGGTTTTCTCTGGCGGCTGCCCCTCCCCAGGGCTGACGGGCCCGCATGTTGTACAGCACAGCTTCCTGTGGTGTGGCAGTGGGCTCCATCCGGGCTGTCTGGTGCGGCCGGAGCCCCAGCCGCATGTGGCTGCTGGACACTGGAAGCATGGCTGGGGAGAACTAGAGCCCGACTCTTAAATTTTACTGGATTTGTGATTTCAGTTGAGCCACACATGGTGGGTGGCTTCCATTTGGGACCAGGCCTCTGCAGAGGAGGCCAGGTCTGGGTGGCCGGTTCACCAGGAAGGGAGGTGACCGTGTCCTCAGGGGAAGTCTGTGGGTTTTCTTCAGGGGCCCCCGTCTGCTGGATAGCCATGCAACTATGTGCCTGTCTTTCTGTCGTCTGCCTGTGTGATGTGTGTGTGTCTGTTGTGTGTCTACATGTGTGACTCTGTGTATGTGTGTCCATCATGTCTGCCTGCGAGACCCTGTGTGTGCATCTGTTTGTCTGCCTGCGACTGTGTGTGTGTCTGTCATATGTCTGCCTGGATGACCGTGTGTGTGTGTCTGCCTGCCTGTGTGACCGCCTGTGTGTCTGCCTGCCTGCCTGTGTGATGGACTGTGTGTGTGTCTGTCATATGTCTGCCTGCATGACCATGTGTGTGTGTCTGCCTGCCTGTGTGACTGACTGTGTGTCTGTCTGCCTGTGTGACCATCTGTGTGTCTGGCTGGCTGGCTGTGTGACTTATGTGCCTGTGTATATATGTGTGTGTGTGTGTCTCTCTGTGTATCTGCCTATATGACTGTCTGTCTGCCTGTGTGACTGTGTGTCTGTCTGTCTGTCTGCCTGTGTATCTGTCTGTGTGTCTGCCATGTGACTGTGTGACTGTGTGTCTACTGTGTGTGTACCGTGTGGGTGACTGCATGTGTGTATGTGACTGTGTGTGTCTGTGACTGTATGTGTGTGTATCTGTGTGTCTGCCTGTGTGACTTGTGTGTGCCTGTATGTATGTGTGCCTGTGTATATCTGTCTGACTGTATGTATGTGTGCCTGTGCATATATCTGTGTGTGTGTGTCTCTCTGTGTATCTTGTGTGTGCCTGTATGTATGTGTGCCTGTGTATATCTGTCTGACTGTATGTATGTGTGCCTGTGTATATATCTGTGTGTGTGTGTCTCTCTGTGTATCTGCCTATATGACTGTCTGTCTGCCTGTGTGACTGTGTGTCTGTCTGTCTGTCTGCCTGTGTATCTGTCTGTGTGTCTGCCATGTGACTGTCTGTGTGACTGTGTGTCTACTGTGTGTGTACCGTGTGGGTGACTGCATGTGTGTATGTGACTGTGTGTGTCTGTGACTGTATGTGTGTGTCTGTGTGTCTGCCTGTGTGACTTGTGTGTGCCTGTATGTACGTGTGCCTGTGTATATCTGTCTGACTGTATGTGTGTGTGCCTGTGTGTGCATGTCTGTGTGACTTTGTGTATCTGTGTGTGTCTGTGACTGCATGTGTGTCTGCCTGTGTGACTTGTGTGTGCCTGTGTATATCTGTCTGACTGTATGTGTGTGCCTGTATGTGCATGTCTGTGACTGTGTCTGAGTATATGTGTGTTTGTGTGACTGCATTTGTGTGTGCCTGTGTGACTTGTATGTGCCTGTGTGCTTGTGTGCCTGTGTGTATCTGACTGTATGTGTGTGCCTGTATGTATGTGTCTGTGTGGCTGTATCTGACTGTATATGTGTGTGCCTGTGTGACTTTGTGTGTGTGCGCACGCACCTGTGTGTCTGCCTGCATGTGAGTGGGCAGGGGGGAGGCGGCGGGTGCCAGGTGCAGGAGCATCTTCCGCAGTGCCCCCTGCGCTCTCCCAGGAGCAGAAGTTCTGCCAGCGCTATGACCAGCTCATGGAGGCCTGGGAGAAGAAGGTGGAGCGCATCGAGAACAACCCCCGGCGGCGGGCCAAGGAGAGCAAGGTGCGCGAGTACTACGAGAAGCAGTTCCCTGAGATCCGCAAGCAGCGCGAGCTGCAGGAGCGCATGCAGAGGTGAGCGGGGCCTGAGCCCAGGGCCCCCGACGTCAGGGCCCGGGGTCAGCTCCAGCATCCTCAGTAGAGATGGCCTGGCCAGGAAGGAACAGAACAGCACAGCAGCTTCTCAGGCCAGTGGCCAGGGCCCTACCAGACCCTGGCCTGTGTCACGTGGAGCCTCTTTGGCCTAATACTTACTTGGAACTTAAATACATTTTGGGGACAAGCACTTCTTCCCATGTGCCATAGCGTGCACCTGCCAGCTTCACTCATTTCTGGGGCCTGCACGACCCCTGAAGGCAGCTGAGTTTGAGATCCCTGGTGTGGGACAAAGGGGAGAGACGTGGCTAAGAGACCACGCTGTCAGCCTCCCCCAGTGGCTGTGAGGACTGGGTGGGCCCCATCTGAGAGGTGCCTGGTGACAGGCAGCTGTGGTTCTATGGCCATTTTTCTTTGGATGCACAGATAAGGCGATTCATTGGTAATGATAACAACACCTTTCACCCTTAACTGAAGTCACAAGCCATGTCTCATTAAGTTCCCCACAACAGCTCTAGGCAGCCAGGTGCCACTTTTGAATCCTCATATGACAGGGGAGGAAACTGAGGCACAGAGAGAAACACTTCGGCCCAGGGCCAAAGAGGCAGAGCTGGGCTTTGAACCCAGATCTTTGTAGCTGGGCTTTTCAGGGTGTTTTAGGAGAGAGGAAGGGACTGAGCTGCCCATGTCACAGGGTTTGGCCTTGCTGGGTTGGGGTGGGGGCTCCATGCCTCCCCAGGACCCCGGGTGTGGGGCCGGCCCCTCTGCTGGCCGCTGCCCACACTTCTCCTCTGGGGAGGGCGTGGGCTCAGGGCTGCGCCACAGGGGTCTGCTAGTGTCCCCGACCACCAGAAGACCGGTCCTGAGTGTGTCCCCTTGGTCCCCAGCAGGGTGGGCCAGCGGGGCAGTGGGCTGTCCATGTCGGCCGCCCGCAGCGAGCACGAGGTGTCAGAGATCATCGATGGCCTCTCAGAGCAGGAGGTGAGTCCAGGCCCTGACTCTGGCCTCAGCTCCTTTTCCCTGGCATCCCCCGTGAGGGTGCAGAGGCCCTAGCCAGAAACCACCTCCCGGGTGGTTTACGTCGAGGGGCTTTGCCACCGAAGCGCGGGTGGAATCAAGGTGGGTATTGAGGTACCCGTCCCAGGCCTGCAGGGGCGAGCAGAGAGAGGGGTGTTAATGTGTCTGAGAGGGAGGGTAGCAGGACCCCCTGCAGGGAGGGCCCTGGCGCTCCCCCATCCAGATGCCACAACAGGGAGGGGGTTGGGGGACGAGGACCCTGCCTCTCACTCTTCCCATCTCCTGCCTCCTTTTGGAACTTCCCATTGGCTGAGTCCAGCCAGAAGCCCAAGGGGCGGGAGTGCCTGTGGGTTCCAGGGTCAGCCTTCCAGGGCCCAGAGCCTGGCAGGGTGGGGGGAGCATGGCGCAGGCCGAAGAGTTCCCAGCACGCCAGCTGTCCACGCAGCCACGACCTTCTCGCAGGCACCTCAGCCCTCCTGGCTGGAGCAGGGCCGGTTTCCCCTCAGGCCTCTTTGGGGTGCCAGGACACCCTGGGGTCAGCCTAGGTGACCCTGGCTGCCGTCACTGGGGCCCACAGATGGCCAGGAAGCAGAGAGGCAGCCTTTTCTCCTGGGGAGGAAGTTGGTGTCAGCCTGTTCCCTCCCGGGTCCTGTGGGTCAGGTACCCATGATGAGACTACCCCCTGCTCCTAACACCACAGCAGACACGAGGCAGCCACGGCACGTTTCTTCCTTCTGGGGACTTTTGTCCAGGGAGAGCTTTTGTCCAGATGGGAGATTATAGCCCTTTAGCTCAGCACAGCAGAGCCACGCATGGCTATTGAAATCAAAATTAATTAAAATGGGATAAAATTAGCAATTCAGTTCCTCGGTTGCATCTGACACATCTCAAGAGCTCGACAGCCGCTTGTGGTTGGCAGCTCCCCTCCTGGGCGGAGCAGACAGCGAACACCTCCCTGGCTGCAGAGTGCTCTGTTGGACAACAGAACGCGCTGCCCTGCGATGCTGATGCTCAGATTAGACAGATGGAAGGGGCCCCAGGGAGGGGGCGGCTGGTTTAAGTAGCAGTTTCTCACCAGAGACTCTGATTCAGCTGGTCTGGGGCAGAGCCCAGGAATCCGCATTTTTACCCAGCCACCCACTTGATTCTGACGCAGGCAATCCAAAGATGAATCTGGCCATTAAAACATAATTTTTCATTTTAAAACTTCTCGTGGTACGTTTTTGTTTACAACAACATCCAGTTGACAGAAAACAGAGCTCAGAAAGCCATCGCATTGCACAGCCACAGGGCCCGGCCCTCGAAGGCTGGGCGCCGGAGCTGGGCCGTGTCAGCCCCTGTCTCACCGATGCTGTGCACTTATGGACATCCCGCAGAGAGGCTGGCTGTGGGTTTAGTCTGCACTGGAAGGAGGAGGCCGGTGGCCCTCTCCTCTGCATTCCTCACCTGATGGCCAAGGGTGTGGCACCTGGGCTGATTGTTGCATGTACACACACACACACACACACACACACACACACACACACACACACTGGCCACATGGGAATGCAGTCATCAGAGTCCTCAGGGACATCAAGGATGCTGTGTCCGGGGTGAAGGGTGGAAGTGGAATTTGGGACAGAAACTTCCCCAGCCAGCCTGGGGTGACCTGAGGTTCCCCCGGGAGTGTGCAAGGGAGGGGGCTGGGCCGGAGGACAGGCACTTCCCATCCTTCTGGGAGCTTCCTGTGGTCAGAGCACATGGCCGGCATGGGAAGGACAGGAAGGCAGCTGTGGGAGGGCAGAGCAGAGGTCCTGCCTGTGGCCGTGCCGGGGGTCCTGCCATTATTACATCCCTGGGATACCCGAGGAAGGTCGCCGTTCCGTATCAGGGGTGTAGGGGACAGCTCCAAGGGTCTGGGAGACAGATGCCAGCCTCTTGGGGGGATTCTCTCCCACCCCGGGGTCAGAGCTGTGCCCCGCACCCGACCTGACCCCTGGCTGGGAGTCCTGCACATTGAGTGAAGAGGTTGGATGTGGGCGGCCGGGCAGCTGGATCGTTTGAACTGGCTGACCTTGGCTACGCGGAGTCCTCGCCTACCTCCGGAGATGGGTAATTAATCGCCAGTAATTGGCTGGCTGCGAGATTTGGGGAAGTGAGCCCAGCTGAGTGGCGGCTCAGAGCCTCTTAATAGTCATCCCAGTGCATTAGGAGCGGCCGCCTGACTCCTGCCGCATGCAGGGCTGGGCAGGCCAGATCCCAGGTGGGCCCTCTGAAGGAGCGGGGTGCCGGGAGGGGGCGTGTAGTGTGGGGGCAGGAAAGACCTCTCCACCAGCGAGGCGCTGACCCTCTCTGCGCCCCTGGGCTGCCTGCATGCTGTGGGGCCAGCTGGACCCCAGGGCCCACTCTTGCCTGCGGAACCTGGAAGGCCAGCCTGTCTCCCGGGCTCCCTGGGCCCAGCTGGGCTGAGCATCCTTCCTGCAGTGCTTTATGGCGCTTGCATTTCCAAAGGGAAGATTCATGGCTCCCCTCCCACTGCAGAGAAGGCGGCTGCTGCTCTCTGCATTGAATCTACAGTCCTGCCCACCATAAACCTGTCGGGGAGGCCTTTACATTCTCCCTTCCCCCAGCATGAGCTATTATTATTTTTAAACTCATCATTCTCCTTCTCCTTGGTTTCGCGTTTTCCCTGCTCTGGCGCAGACCATCCGTCCCCTCTGTGTCTTCCCTGGGTCCCCTGCGCCGGCCGGAGCACCTCGTCCCTGGGCCTCTGACCCTGCCCTCCGTTTCCCTGCAGAACCTGGAGAAGCAGATGCGCCAGCTGGCCGTGATCCCGCCCATGCTGTACGACGCTGACCAGCAGCGCATCAAGTTCATCAACATGAACGGGCTTATGGCCGACCCCATGAAGGTGTACAAAGACCGCCAGGTCATGAACATGTGGAGTGAGCAGGAGAAGGAGACCTTCCGGGAGAAGTGAGTCCTCCATCACCTGGCCTGGCCTCCCGGCCCCCCACCCCCATCCTGTTGAGGCCTGCGCTGTCTCCCGGCAGCCACCACAAATGAGCATGCCGGGGGGTGCTTAAAACCGCAGGGATTTACTCTCTCCTGGTTGTGGAGGCCGGAAGTCCAAATCCTGGTGTTTCGTGGGGTTGGTTCTTTCTGGGGGCCGTAAGGGAGAGCCTGTCCCTGACCTCTTCCCAGCTGGTGCTGCCAGCATCCTTGGCCTTCCGGGGCTTCTAGATGCATCCTTCCATGCTCTGCCTTCGACCCCACATGACCTTTGTCTCTGTGCTTCTCCTCTTCTTATAAGGACACCCGTCACACTGAATTTAGGGTCTAGCCTAACCCAATACAACCTCACTTCAACTAATTACATCTGGAAAGACCCTGTTTCCAAATAAGGCCGCATTCTGAGGTTCTGGGTGGCCATGAATTTTAAGAGGACACACTTCAATATGGTACAAAGTGTAAGGGCAGCTGGATGTAAGACGGGGCACTGCGAGTCGGAAGAACAAGGCAGGAGGGACTTAGAGGCTGGGCCGCAGCCTTGGGCAGGGCGGCAGCTGGCCAGTGGCTTTTGGTGGTTTCTATTTTGTTTTGTCTTTGACAATAGCTGCTGGCTGAGTGGGTTCGTGATCCCATCACTGTGCCTGTGTCTTCTCAGCTTCATGCATTTTCCCCCTCCTGTCCCTTATGACAGCTCAGCCAGGCCCACCCCAGTACACAGCTGATGACACGGAGGCTCAGAGAGGTTCAGACAGTGCACAAAGGCCACACAGCATGCACACAATGGAGGCAGGGTTCAGACTCCTCCAGCTGGAATGGAGAGGCTGTATAGGGAATGGTTTGTGAATGGGGCCAGGGAGGGGGGCTGTGCAGAGCAGAGACGGGAGTCGAGTTCTCTCAAAAGCTGTGTCTGAGGGGGCCAAACCCCACAGTGAGAATCTGCGATGTGACATCCAGGCAGAAGGAGACCTCCATCCCTGGCCCGGGGTCCCCAGAGGAGATCGTGGGCCCTGCTGAGCCACCCCACGCCTTAGGGACAGTGTGCTATAATTCCGGGGAATCTAATCTTTTGGCTTCCCCAGGCCACACTGGAAAAAGAAATGTCTTGGGCCACACAGAAAATACACTAACATTAATGATACATGATGAGCTAAAAAAAAAATCACAAAAAAAATCTCATAAGGTTTTTTTTTCCTTTTTTTCTTTCTTCTTTTCAAGACAGAGTTTCGTTCTGTTGCCCAGGCTGGAGTACAATGGCACAATCTCTGCTCACTGCAAGCTCTGCCTCCCGGGTTCACGCCATTCTCCTGCCTCAGCCTCCCGAGTAGCTGGGACTACAGGCGGCCACCACCATGCCTGGCTAATTTTTTGTATTTTTAGTAGAGATGGGGTTTCACCATGTTAGCCAGGATGGTCTCGATCTCCTGACCTCGTGATCCGCCCGTCTCGGCCTCCCAAAGTGCTGAGATTATAGGCGTGAGCCACCACGCCTGGCCAAAAATCTCATAAGGGTTAAAGAAAGTTTACGAATTTGTATTGGGCCGCATTTAAAGCCGTCCTGGGCTGCATGTGGCCTGTGGGTTGGACAAGCTTGCTCTAATCACTTGCACGTAGAGGGCTGGGTTCCCTGCCCAGGACATAGAGCACCTCCTCAGGACCTCAGAGCTCTGGGAGGCAGGAGAGTGGGAAACTGAGGTGTGGACGGAGGCCTCTGTGCTTGGCCAGGAGGGGACGCAGGGAAGAGACTTTGTCACTGCCCGACGTTCACCCGGCAGGCTACTGAGCTGCCTTGGGGAAGACCCTGCCTCCGGACAAGAGCTTCCTCCAAAGCAATGACACTCCTTCCCCAGTGCCCTGGGCTTTGGTCCAGGGTTGTGGCCCCAAAGAGGTGCCAGGCAGGACCTAAGGGATGGGGTGACTCTGGGTCCCCGGCAGGGGTGAGTGGACCCGCAAGTGCAGATACCGAACTCAGAAAGGACACAGTGGCTATCCAGGAGGGTCTTTGGTGGAAAACATTTTTTAAGAGTAGCTTTTGATTATGGAAATGTTGAAACGTCCATAAGAATAGAGGGGTGGGGTAATGAGCCCTGGAGTGCCCACAGCACCGAGTGAGTGGTCCTTCACAGGAAACAGCGCTTGGTTCCTGAGCAGGAATACTCGGTTACTTAATGGCTCGTGCCTGCAGCCTCACCATAGCAGGCACGATCTTTCTACGTCAAATCAAAGTCTCCGTCGAATGCTTCTTACAGTTTTGAACGAGGGAGGTGATGGTGGGACGGTCACGGGTGTTAAGAATTACTGAATTACTGTTGCGTTTGAGATTCACGTTCCCCCTGGTAGGCATGATGTTTTAGTGTATGTATTTTTTCTGAAATACAAAAAAAAAGGTGTTCTGGGAGACTTTCTGCGGCTTCAGCCTTTCGGAAGATCTCATGTGGCTCTGCAGGTCTGATAATGTCACCCTCTGTTAATTCAGTAACCGAAGGGTGGGGGACCCAGGCTGGGCTGCTATCTGCCGGCCCGTGGGGCTGGCGTAACTTCCATCCTGTGTGAGCCGCAACTTGGCCACTTGCATGCCTCAAGGACTGTGGGCTTGGTTTGAGGTCTCATGTGCAGAGGAATTGATAGCACTCGGGGCTTTGAAAATCACCTACTGACGGCATGGGGCTCCACCACGTGCTGGCCATGTGACCATTCCCCCTCTGAACCTCAATTTCCTCGTCTGTAAAATGGGTATAGCGACAGGGCCTCCCTTGTGAGGTATGCAGGGCATAGGAAACTTCTAATAAACGTCTTCCAGGGGTGCAAGTGAGGTATTGAGGGAGGGGAACAGGGGACCTAGGAGATTCCCAAGTTTGATTCCTGGTCTCTTGGGAGCCCCCACTGTGCCTGGGGAAACCCCGTGGGAGGGGTTTGCAGGGAAGGAAATGTCACTGGGACAAGGAGAGGGAGCGGAGAGGAAAGGACTCTCCCTACCTGGAAGAGAAGGGCCTTAGGATGGCTCCGGCCTTGCCAGCCGCCCGAGGTGGGATCCCAGGCCAGGGAAGCCTGCCATTCCTCACTGCGCCGCTTCCACCGGGAAGAGAGCAGAGACTGTTCAGGATCCTCGGATGTCTGGCTGGGAAGCAGGCGCGGGGCCTGCTGGCCTCCTGCCCAGCCATCTGGAGGGCCAGGCAGGTCGGGCACTGGTGCTCACTCAGCCTCCCTCCGTGGGAGCCCACAGTCCAGCCTCACTAGCAGCCAGCCGCTGCTCTCCCTGCGAAGGCTGTGGGGCTGTGGCACGTCGCCGGGACGCCTGGGCCTGGGGCCAGGGACTCCACCCAGCACCCCTGGGGTGGAGCAGGCCTTGACCCACATCCCCGCCCCCACCATGCTCCCGCTCCTTTGGCCCTCACATTTCAGCCTGGGCCCAGTGGTTTCCCAGTAATTCTCCTGGCTACGCAGGAAGCCAGTTGGGACAGTGCCAGCGACCCGCCACCGCCCTCCGACTTAAGTCCATGCTTGCCGCCTCCTTGGCTGGCCAGCCCCCTCCTGCTGCCCCACGGGCACTCAGAGCCTCTGCTCCCAGCTCTTCTGGGGAGGCCCAGCAGCCTGGTGAGCTATGACCCCACTGGTGGGGCCCTGCCATGTTCCCAAGCAGACCCTGTGTGGGCTGGGTGAGGCCCTGCTTCCCAGATCCAGCTGGAGAGAGAAACAAAAGTGGATTTTAAAGGGGGGGGAACCCCACCAAAGAGCTGCATGTCGTGTCCTCATTTTTCCTGGAAGCCGCCTCCAGCAGGACAAACAAATATATTTTCAAAGGCGCTAAAGCCAGTGACTCACTCCAAGGAACGCCCTCTCTTACCCCTGGGTCCCCACCCCTCCCGTCTGCCGCAGCAGCCCTTCCCACACCCCCCTGGGCTTAATTGCTCCAAGTGGGGCGGTGCCCGCCAGGCCCGGCCAGTGGGGATGGCAGGCGCCTGGGAGCCGATCGGCTGCCCCGCAGGAAAGCCCCCCTCGGCCAGGTCTCACGCCCACCCTTCTCGTCCCGCAGGTTCATGCAGCATCCCAAGAACTTTGGCCTGATCGCATCATTCCTGGAGAGGAAGGTGAGTCGCTGCCCGCCCCATACCCCTTCGGTCTCCACCTCCGTGGGCAACTGCGTGGACTCAGGGTGGAGGCCCTCCCTCCTTGCCCACAAGGCCCTGGCCTGCCTGGCCCCTTGCTCCAGCTGCCATGCTCCCCTCCTCCCTCCCTCCCTTCCTTCCATCTGGGAGATAGATCAGTGCAGGCCCCGCCCTGGCCTCCTGGGCCCATGGAGGAGGAGCCTCAGGTTGCTGAGCACCTGGGAATCCCGAGAACCCCAGGGAGAGCTGCACGGCCAGGCTTCCTGGAGCCCCGTGTGCCCGACGGGTCTCCTGCCAGCTCCTCAAAGGCCACGTGGAGCGTCCTTGCAAACTGGGGGTGGATTCTGGAAGCACTACGTGCCTGGCATCCCAGTGAAGTTTTCGTAGGCAGGAGTGGCGTGCCTCAAAGGGACTGGAGGGACCAGCTTTTCTAGGTCCCTCTGAGGGTCACTGACTGCTTTCTGACACCTCTAATGCCAAACCAGACGTGTGGCCTGCAAGTCCCCATCTTCTTTGGACAAACCTTTGTGTGGACCTGAGGCCTAAAGCCCACTTTGTGTCAAGCCCAGGCCCGGAGCAGCTCCAGGTGGCCGGTAGACACAAAGTGTCCCCAGAGAATGGTAAAGCCGTTGTTTTGCACCCACAAGGCTGGTTGGACTGTGCCTGGAGAGGCTGCAGGTGGGAGAAGGTGGCTGGATGAGGCTGCATGTTGGACGTGGCCCCTGGGCCTTCCCCCAGCATCTTGGGGTCAGAGGAGAAAGGCTGCCGTCCGTGTGTCTTAAGCAGCATTCCCCTGAATCACGTTTCTCAGAGATGGGGACCTGCCCACCCCAGCTTGGTGGACACCCTGCTCGGGCTTCCTGGTTGTAGGAGGGAGGCCAGGAGGATGAGGCACTTATTTTAAAGGACAGCTGTTCCCAGCGCCTGCCCCTCATGAGCTGATAACCGTAGAAGGAGAGAGACCGAGCAGAGTGGGGAAAAATCTCTCCATGCCTGAAAAACCAGTGTGGAGAAACAAGCCCTATAAATAGCCCATCTTCTGAGTGACGACGTCTCCCTCAGGGAGTGGACGGCACGGCGGACTCTAGGTTAGGGCTCCCCAGGATGGAAGCATTTCAGAAACTGGCCATCGAGCAGTCCTCCTTCAGGATGAGGGGATTAGAAGTCTTTGTGCTGGGGAGTAAACTTCATGATGTTCTTTGGCTGAGAGGCAGCCCAGGACAAGGCTTCAGTAGAGCTTCCAGAGGGGTCTGGAGCAGGAGCTGCCAACGGAGAGGCCGGCGGGGACAGTCAGGTCTTGACAGTGAGTGAGGCTGACGTCTGGCTGGGAGCCAGGTGGACCAGCCAGTCTGTGCCCGTCTGCGGGGGCAGCTGCTGTCCGGAGCCGGGCTGCCATTGCTGAGCGCAGGAAGGAGCTCTCTTGAATTGTTAAAGGAGAAGTCGGGCACCCACATCCCCTGAATTGCAAATATTGGCATCTGATTATAAAACGTCTTTCTCGATTGCCATGTTTGTGGGCTGGGTTTAGCCTGGGGCCGCCTGGGAGCCCCCCTGGCGGTCGTACTTGGCAGGAGGCTGCCAGCTGGGGGCTTTCTGTTGAGGGCAGTGAGATTTGAGGCCCAGCTCAGAGGCCTCACAGAATGCCCATTGGAGGTGGGGTCCTGGCTTGGCACTGGCCAGAGCATTGCAGAAACATTTTACATTGTAAGGGGAACGGCTGTGGGCATTGGCAAGCTGGGCTCCATGCCCGCAAGTGGGGGCATCGTGGCATCACTTTCTGAGGCTGCCCCTTTTACTCGTCCCATTTGGCCGGGGTTCATGGAGGGCTGGTTGCTCCGGCTTTCAGACCCAATCTACATGGAAAAGACCAAGGCAGAGAAAAGAAGGAAACCCAGGAAGAGGCGCGTGGGGCGTGGGGCGTGGGGCGGTCCCGATGCACAAGGCTTGGAAGAGGCTATTCAGGACCTCAAATATCAGGGAAGAGAAGGCTGAAGCCAGGGAAAAGAGAACCCGGACCTATGTTTGGGGAAGGCTTTGAGTTTGCCCGGCTGTGGGCTGGAGTCCTTGTTTCCCATAAGGGCTGGGGGTGACATGGCGACGTCAGCGCTGTCATTAACCATAGCAACAGCGGTGACTGTGATAACAGGAAAGACTTCCATCATGTTTGCTCTGGGCCAGGCCTCGTCCCAAGTACTTTACCTATGTATTAACTGATCTGATCTTTGTGATAATCCTGTGAAGTATGTACAATTAGCATTCCCATTTTACAGATGAGAAAACTGAGACACAGAGGTTAGGTCATCTGTCCGAGGTCACCCAGCCGGTACGTGGAAGAGGCAGGATATGAGCCCAGGATGTGAGCTCCTGGCTCCTGCCCTGAATGCCTGTGCTGTACCCTGCTCAGCGTCCTCTTTCTCTGTCCCACAGACAGTGGCTGAGTGCGTCCTCTATTACTACCTGACTAAGAAGAATGAGAACTATAAGAGCCTGGTGAGACGGAGCTATCGGCGCCGCGGCAAGAGCCAGGTAAGAGGCAAGGTGGGGGTGACTGTCCTTGCAGGCTCCCTGCATGCTCAGCGGCCACTTGCTTGGTGGCCAGCACCCCGCATGGCTGGCGGTAACTGTCTCCATGAGTTGTTGTTGCTTGGCCACCGGCAGTGTGAGTGCAGGCTCCCCTCCGTGGTAGCAGCAGATGTGGGGAGACCCCCTCTGGGGTGCTCACCCTGCCAGGCTATCTCGAGCCTCCCGTAGTGGCCAGGAAGATAGCTGGGGAGAAACAGCCACGGGCCTCCTCAGCCTGTGAAATCCCAGACTCCTGACTGGGTGACCTGTGATCTCTGTGCGTAAAAAGGCTACATTCCAAAAGTAAGAGCTTCCCAGGATGACTTGGGGTAGTTCACAAACTTCATGTTTAAAATGTTAATGGTTGTGTGTGTTTATCTTAATACATACTTGAAAGAAAAAATAGCCAGTACTTCAGCTCGCCGTTTTTTCAGACGCCGTTGCTTGGGATGAGACTGAAAGATTATTTACGCTAGAGCAGAGGCTGGCAGACTGGGACTCTGGGGCTAATCCGGCCCACCATCTGTTCTTGTGAATAAAGTTTTATTGGAACACAGCCATGCCTGTTTGTTTACATATTACCATGGCAGCGTCCTTGCTGCTCTGGTGGAGTTGCATGGTTGTGACCAAAAGTGTATGGCGTACAGGGTCTCAAATGTTTACTAGCTGGCCCTTCATAGAAAAAGTTTGCTTTTTCCTCCGAGTTAGAGGAAAAGGAGTTGGTTTGAAAAAATATCCAGTAAATAATGGTAGAGATGAGAGGCTCAGTGGCACGCCTTTGAAAGGGGGATCCTGGGCGCTCGGTGTTTGGGAGAATTTGTTTTGCATCCGGGCTCTTGAAGCATCGTCTCAGAGCAGATGCTGGGAGCACCACACAGAGGAGGCGGGTGGAGGCAGTGGGCACTCTGGCAGCTGCTGGATTGGAGTCGGTCGAGGCATTTCCTTCCTGGGGTCCTCAGTGGCTGGGGTGGGGGCCGGGTGAGAGTGACAAAGGCCAAGAATAGCACGAGCCGCGTGGAGCGTCCTTGCAAACTGGGGGTGGATTCTGGAAGCACTACGTGCCTGGCATCCCAGTGAAGTTTTCGTAGGCAGGAGTGGCATGCCTCAAAGGGACTGGAGGGACCAGCTTTTCTAGGTCCCTCTGAGGGTCACTGACTGCTTTCTGACACCCCTAATGCCAAGCCAGACGTGTGGCCTACAAGTCCCCATCTTCTTTGGACAAACCTTTGTGTGGACCTGAGGCCTAAAGCCCACTTTGTGTCAAGCCCAGGCCCGGAGCAGCTCCAGGTGGCCGGTAGACACAAAGTGTCCCCAGAGAATGGTAAAGCCGTTGTTTTGCACCCACAAGGCTGGTTGGACTGTGCCTGGAGAGGCTGCAGGTGGGAGAAGGTGGCTGGTACTCCCTATAGTGGCACCCTCTAGCCCCTCCCCAGAGCTGCCCCGCCTTCCCTTTCCCAGGCTGCCAGAGGTCGAGACCCATAAGGTGTTGAGACCAGCCATCACGGGTTGGGGGCGGGGTCCCAGTGTCTGCCGTGAAACAGCCACTTTCCTACAGCCTAAGAAAACTCCCATGAGGGAAACGAGGCTGTTGTCAGGAGCATGAGCCACCCCTCGCCGCATTCCCAACATCCAGCCACGATGCCTGGGGCTGAACTCGGTCCTTATCCGCAGGGATCGTGGAAGGGTGGCTGCGTTTGTGGAGAGGGTTTTCTTGTCTAGTTTTCTGTAGCCAGAGTTGACCAGTCTGCTTGCCCTTCTAACAGATGTGTAAAACCAAGGCCGAGTGGCACAGAGCATGTATTCCAAAGACGTAGCTATGTTTTATTTTTGTTTTTTTGGGATTTGTTTTTTTTTTTTTTTGAGATGGAGTTTCACACCGTCGCCCAGGTCAGAGTGCAGTGGCGCGATCCCAGCTCACTGCAACCTCTGCCTCCTGGGTTAGAGTGATTCTCATGCCTCAGCCTCCCAAGTAGGCGGCATTACAGGTGCGTGCCACTGCATCCTGCTAATTTTTTGTATTTATAATAGAGACAGGGTTTCACTATGTTGCCCAGGCTGGTCTCGAACTCCTGACCTAGATGATCCACCTGCCTTGGCCTCCCAAAGTGCTGGGATTACAGGCATGAGCCACTGTGCTCAGCCGCTACGGTGTTTTTGAAATTGAAGTGCATTCAGGAATTTTCTAGACTGAGAGGCAAAAAGGTAAGTGCCAGTCAGGGAGTATATAGATGCTGAGGTATGAGAGGCAGCAGGGAGCGGTGGGGATTATGACAAAGGAAGGGTGGCTAACGGCCTCAAGAGGTATTTGGAAAACATCATCAGGCGTCTGTTGGGCCCCTACTGTATGCTCATTCTCTTGCTGGCCTTCCCAGTTCCCCTCCCATGACCTGTTTGGGGGCATTGAGGCTGGGCTTGTGGTGGGAGCCCTTCCTGGTAGCTGGGCTGGGGGCTCTGAAGAGCAGAGGCCCATCCCCTCCCCCTGTGTGAGAGCCACATTTGCACAGAGGGAGGTGGGGAGACCATGGTAATTTAAGAAGGGTGGGGGGTGTCGGTGCCCGGCATATCCTGTTGTAGAGGCCTGGCCTGTACTGTGGTAGAGTGAGTGTCCAGTAGAGTGAGTGTCCGGCTTGCTCTTCGTGGAGTGAGTGTCCGGCCTGCTCTCCGTGGAGTGAGTGTCCGGCCTGCTGTCCGTGGAGTGAGTGTCCGGCCTGCTGTCCGTGGAGTGAGTGTCCGGCCTGCTCTGCGTGGAGTGAGTGTCCGGCCTGCTCTCCGTGGAGTGAGTGTCTGGTCTGCTCTCCGTGGAGTGACTGTCCGGCCTGCTCTCCGTGGAGTGACTGTCCGGCCTGCTCTCCGTGGAGTGAGTGTCCGGCTTGCTCTCAGGAGTGAGTGTCCGGCTTGCTCTGGGCGGAGCGAATGTCCAGCTTGCTGACTCATCCATTGATTGAGCATTTATTGTGTGCAGGACATGGGGAGCTTCATGCTGGTTGTTCAGAGCCATTGTAAACAGGTGGCTTCAAGACAGTGCCGCGGGTCTCCCTGTGCGGCGGGTCTATCTGTGCCACGGGGTCTCCCTGGGCCACGGGGTCTCCCTGTGCCGCGGGGTCTATCTGTGCTGCGGGGTCTCCCTGTGCCACGGGTCTATCTGTGCTGCGGGGACTCCCTGTGCCGCGGGGTCTATCTGTGCCGCGGGGACTCCCTGTGCCGCGGGTTCTATCTGTGCCGCGGGGACTCCCTGTGTCGCGGGTCTCCCTGTGCTGTGGGGTCTCCCTGTGCCACGGGTCTATCTGTGCCGCGGGGACTCCCTGTGCCGCGGGGTCTATCTGTGCCGCGGGGACTCCCTGTGCCGCGGGGTCTATCTGTGCCGCGGGTCTCCCTGTGCCGCGGGGTCTCCCTGTGCCGCCGGTCTCCCTGGGAGGTGGCATTGGTGGCACATCCTTGAAGACTCCGTAGAATAAAAGGCCCCAAAGATGAGGTTGAGGAGCAGCCCCACAGGCGGACAGGGATGGGGCCCTCAAGTGCAAAGGCAGGGAGCATGAGAGACAGCGCGTGTCTTCAGGAACAGCAGGGGGCCTGAGTCTTTGGATTCGTGGGGGTCCCGGTACCTCCCAGGGCCTTAAAGGAACAAAGAAAGGGAGATTATGTGACCCTCTTTCTTTTGCTCATTTTTGATGGGTAAATAGAGATGTTTTTTTTTACCCTGTGAAAAATAGAAGTGCAAACTCGATAAATAACAGCTCACACTTGCCTTCGTGTCTGGGGAGGGAGTAGGGAGTGGTGAGGCCTGTGGCTCACTGCAGAGCTTGGGCCCCGTCTCAGCTCCAGTGGACGCTTGGCCATTGGCCCTGAATTGCCAGGTGTTCTGATCTTTGATGACGAGCTGGAAATCCAGTTTTATGTGAAACTGCCTGATTTTAAATCTTAGGTCACATTTTTTAAAAAGGGAAAAAACAGCTCAACACTGTATATGCCACACAACTCTTACTTGCTGTTGAAATCACCCCCAGCCCCAAGTAGAAGACCTCTGGGTTAGACTACAGTGAGACCAGGGGAGGAGGGCATTAGATGTCTGGGGCCAGGCTGGGGCACCGGGGAAGCCCTAGAATGTTCCATAGCAGGGAGGAAACATGCCCCTCTTTACACCGGAGATGTCCTGGTTTAGCCGTGGTATCTGCGGTGCCTGGGAGTTGGTGGGGCTTTGCTGGTGAGTTTTTATCCCCTGCTGAAGCTGCCGTTCCAGGCAGGGGCTCCCAGGATGGGGAAATGATGCTTGTCTGCTCTGCGTCTCTCAGAAAGATGGCAGAAAGCAAGCCGGGCAGGAGGTCCCTGTCTGTCTCCAGGGCTCGCCCCTTCCTCGGATCAGCTGCGTTTGCTAAGGAGGTGGTGGCGTGGCCTGGGCCCTGCCACCCCCCACAGGCCTGGTTCACAACCACGGGGTAAACAGGGGTTCTCAAGTGCTAACTCTGGGGCTGAGAGTCCTCTCTGCCCCATGGCAGCAAGGAAAATCAGCGGCAGCTTCAGGCTCAGCCTGTCTTGTTAAGTGGAGATGCAGTGACTGCCGCCAGCTGAGCGTCTCTGTCTGTGGCTGTATTTGTGGAGCCACTGACACTGCTGATCAGTCTGCCCCAGGTGAGGGCACAGCAGGCCTGGGGTGGGCCCAGCACCGCTGCTTGGAAGGCTGCGGTGACGGACGGGAGGTGCAGGCAGTGGTGGTCTCTGAGTGCGCCAAGGCTGTGAGCACACAGAACCTGCAGCTCCTTAAGGAGGGTGGGGAGGTGAACTGAGACCACTCCCCACCCACTACCCCGCTGCCTCAGCATGGCTGGCACCTGCAGGCTGGGACAGGCATCTGGGACTCTTGGTGACTGTGGGCTGGGGAGCCACTGCCCTGTGCTCCAGGCAATGCAGGCACCCAGGGTACCTCTGTGGGCCGGTTCTTCTTTCTGACCTATCCTGGCAGCTCAGGCCTTGTGATCAGATGGGAATCCCTGGCCATGGAGCACACGAGCCCCTGCCCAGCCCCACTCCCCTCACAGCTGCCCCAGGACACTTGTCCATGCTTCTCTCTCCCTCATAGGTTTCTGAGTGAGCAGACACAGCCCCTTCCCCCTACCGTGACATGGGCCCCCTCCCCAGGCACCACGGGAAGATGGAGAACCCGGGTCTTCCCAGCCAGTGAGCCCACCCACCCTCAGGGGTAGGGTGCCCACTGCCAGGAGATGCTGTCTGCCTCTTCCCCGATGTCGTCTAGTGGGAGGGAGCTCAAGCTCCCTTCTCCGTGATGTTTACCTGGAGGGCAGCAGGTCGGGTTCTCCCTCCCTTCCTGGGCCCTCTAGTTTTGGAAGAAGACTTAGGTTATCTCAGCCAATATGCATTGGACCCCTTGATGGCTGGTGGGGGATGGGACCTGGGAGTCCAGTGAGACATGGGAGCCTTGTCAAAATTCCAGGGGCACCTGGCCCTGCTGTGTGATGGGGATGGGTGCTGCTGGCCGCTATGGTGGCGATGGCGATGATGGTGATGATGACGGCGACAGTGATGGTGCCGGCCAACAGTCATGCAGCACTATCGCCACACACTGTGATGATTTCAACCTCACTAGTGTTGGGGACAGGTGTGTAATTATCCCCACTGGCCAGATGAGACAGAGGCACAGGGAGGTGAGGAAGCTTCCAAGGAGCCTGCTGAGTGGCAGACTGAGGGTTCTAGCCTGGCACATGCAGCCCGGGGAGTTGGAGGGAGGCCCAGCCGTCCCCTCGGCAGCACACTGGCCATAAAGCCAGCCTTCTGGAAGCCAGCCCTGATCCGCCAGGTAGGACAGGCCTCTCCTGTGGTCTGTGCAGGAGCCCTGCGAGGGCAGGCGGCAGAGGGGCTCATGATGAGGCTCCATGTCAGTGGGGAGTCGGATGCTGGATGCGGGGACCCCAGGTGAGCCAGGCTGGATCTGTGCTGTGGAGACACCCTCTGATATGGGGTGGGTGGGAGTCCTGGGGTGGGGGGGGCTCAGTACCCCCCGCCACCACCTGTGTCTCTTCCCCTGCCATGTGTCCCTCAGCTCCTGGGGACAGCAGCTGGCCACTGTCTCTTTCTCTCTCAGTGCCTCCGCCGTTACCATATATGTCTTTGGGGAGTTGCTGAGGGCTCTTCCTCATCTCCCTCTCTCCCGCCTTGTCTCTCCTCCCCATCTCTGTCTCCCGCTCTGCGTCTCTTGCGCTCTCTCAGCACCCCCACTCCCAGTGCACAGCCCCTCTCTCCTGGGTTGCTGTGGAGGCTGCTGTGGGTGGCCGCAGAGAGGCTGTGGTGCTTGTGGTCCTGGCGCGGTGCCCGTGGCTCCAGGCCACATCTCTGCTGAAGACAGGCACGAGTGGCCTCTCTCATGTCACCAGGACAGAGGCCGCTCGCAGGGGCCTTCCTGCCTCGTGTCCCCAAGCTTGCTCGCCCCACAGACCCCCCAGGAGGTGCCCATCGGATGCACAGTATATGCATGTTCATCCGGGGGCATTTATTCAGTGCCTACTGTATGCCAGGGTTGTCAGACTCTACCTTCAGATGCGAATCCGACCTTAATCCTTCCGAAAATAGGGTAAAGGGATCAGCCGCGCCTGGCCCATCTCAACACCCCAGACTGCCCTGATTCCACGCTGCAGAGGTGGACACAGGGTAGGACTTCCGAGGTGTCGGGGAGTGGGCACGACCGCCCCTCCCAGGGTCAACAGCGCCCACGTGCCTCCTGTGGGTTTCCTGAGTTGGGGGGTGCATGGCCCAGGACCAAGGACATGGGTGCCCCTCCTTTCGCCATTTGTCAAGGTGGGATTGAAATGGAGGCTGTGGTGGGATCCCGAGGGAGGGGAAGCCTGTGGGCTGGGGGTGAGAAGTGACTCCAGGGACACTGGACCGTGCACTTTCCCCGGCAGCGAGGCTTCCGACTTCCTCAGACACCACTGACCACGCTGGGATGGCTGTAGCCAGCATCCTGGGGCTGTGCCCTCCTGGAGTTCCCCCTGTCTGAGGCCAAGGTCTGCTTTGTGAGGGGACGTGTCCCAGTCTGAGTCCTCAGATGTGAGTGCATGTCGGAATCACCGGAAGGGCTGGGGAAACCCAGTCACTGGGCCGCACCCCTCACCCCACAATAAGGCCGAGATCCAAGACTCTGCATTTCCAAGGAGCTCCCAGGCGTTGGTCTAGGACGCTGCTGAGAACCTCGGTGCTGGGGGTCAGCCCCTGAGCAGGGAGCAGGGTGGCTGAAGGGGTTGTTAAGCCCGAGGTGGGCTACCCCACAGCCCAGACCACCCATGGGAGTACACTCAAGCTGGAACGGCCCTTCCCAGGTGTTTGGGGTGGGCAACGGCCTCCCTGGCCAGGGCCCAACTTGGATGAGGCAGCTCTGAGCTGAGTTATTGTCAGCGCGCCTGACAGCCGATGGCAGCCAGCCCCTTCTAGAAGGGAGGTCTGGCCAGTCCAGCCCAGGAGGCAGCCTGTGCATCTGCATGTTTGCAAAGCCACGCTTCATAGATGCTGTGGCCACCCGAATGCTTAACCACAGCCCAGCAGCAAGACGCCAGTGCCACCGTGTCATCTCAAGGACACCTGCCCTGTCTGAAGTGCTTGCACCAGGCCCTTCTCCGCCCTGTCACCCCGACACCATGTGCCCTGTACCAAAGCAGTTTGTGTGTCATTTCGATGGTTACGTTTCTGAAACTTGGATGGTTATAAAGTGGAATATGAAAGTCCTTGATTAAAAGTGCTGGCCATGGGACGTCTCTGGACTCAGACCCGCGCTGTGTGCGGCCGCCTTCACTCTGGCCCACCTTGGCATCCATGGCACTGGTGCTTAGCCTTGTGGCCGGCTGGAGGCGAGGGATGTGCATGGCTGTTTAGAGTGGTGGGATTGCCTTCTTGTTTAATGGAGGGTGCCATCCTCTTTCTGGAAGCTTCTCTGTGTTCTGACACGGGGATGCAGGCCCGGGCATAGGCTTTTGGAATGCTAGCCCCTCCACACCCACCCCCATGAGACCCCACAGGCCTGAGCTTTGGCAAGGGAGGGCCGAGCCCCCACCTCCCGGAACCTGGCCCCTGAGATCGGCCGTGAGCGGCTTTTGAGCCTGGAGGCTGGGTTGAGGCCCGAGCATCCTCTCTTGGGCTCCGAGCCCCATCACCACCACCCTGAGGTGAATCACGGACTGTGGGGCGGTGCGGGGAACAGCTCAAGCGCTGGCACAGTGGTTTATAGTCCATGATTCATTGATGGAAGGGCCGCGTTATCCTAGTGAATTGCAAAACCAGAGCCCAGGAATGCTGGGGCCTGACTGCAGACCGTTGGGGAGCGAGGATGTGAGGCTGGCTAGGCCAGGTGGCAGGGCCCGGCCCCTGGTAGCCAATATGGCCTTCCCGCAGCGATGGGGGTTCATGTGGCCAAGGGGGCCTCTCTTTCTGCAGAGATGGGACACTGAGACGGGAACAGCCCGTCCTGGGCTCCAGTCATCCGGCCTGGGTCCAAGAAGGAAGCCCAGGGAGGCCGAGGCTCCGCCCCCGACTGCTGCCGTCCACTCTCCACTGTTCCCCATCTCTGTCCCTCTGGGTCTGCTCTGCCCAAGCCCCTGGCTCTGAATCTCCTGCATTTTTCTAGGTTTCTCTCTCTCTCTCTCTCTCTGTGTGTGTATGCGCGCACACGGGTGGCTACGTCTGTTTCTCTTCCCATGTCTTCCTCCCTCTTTCTATTTCTCTGTGTCTTTATCTCTGTGTCCACGTCTCGTCTGTTTCTCTGCATGTGCTTTCCCGTCTCTCTCTCTTTCCCCCATCTAAGTCTTTTAACTCTGTCTCTAGCTCTCTCTCTCTCTCTCCCCTTCTCTCTCTCCCCCATCTCTCCTCTTCCTCCTCCCCCGCCCCCTCCCCTCCTCACCCTGTCCCTGGGTCTCTCCTCTCACCCTTCCTCCTCCAGGTCTCTGCTCCTCCCCCACCTTTCTCCCTTTCTCTCTCCTCCCTCCCACTACAGCCCCCTGTCCCCTGCCTCCTCCGTCTGTCCTCTCCCAGCTCTTTGCGGAGGGACTGGTGACCTTGTTCCCCTTGCTGTGGCACTCGGACAGTTTGCACAGGGAACAGTATGACCGGGAAGGCTGTTCCAGGGCAGGAGCAGCCAGGCTTGGTCCCTGGGGAGGGGCAGCCGCTGTGCGGTGGGTGTTGGTATTCAGGGCTAGCTGCCTGCCCTAGGTGCTGAAGTCACTTGATGGTGGGGACCGGTGGCAGGGCGGGCCAGATCACCCCAGGCTGTGTTTCAGCTCCCAGGCCGAGGGCTTGTATCTTGTTTCAAACCTGCTGCCTGCTTGGGGCTGGGCCAGGATGGGCCCACAGCCTTCCGGTGGTGCCGACTTTCCCAGGCCTGCCAGAGGAGGTGGCTGGGTCCTCTCCAGTCAGGGCCAGCTGGGCTGGGCAGGATTGGGTGCAGTTTTAGGGTTGAAGTGAGCAGATGTCTCTGGTTTCCTGCCCAGCTTTGTGCTAGGTGGGGAGACAGTTGGGGGCTCCCCACGTCCTGCAGTCAGGGATGTTGCTCCCAGGGAAGGCAGCTGGTGAGTGGGCCGGAGCCCAGGGATGGAGCAGACCGGGCTGCAGGTTGAGGAAAAGACCAACATGGCCTTTGCATGGGCCAGGATGCAGTGCAGGGGCGATCGCATCAGAGAGGCAGAAGGAGGTGGAAAATGTGAGCGCTCCCCAGGCAGCAGATCGGTCAGGATCGAGGGGGCCTGGGGGACATCTCAAGCTGGGCTGCTGGAGTCAGGAAGTAGTTCCCAGAACAGCAGCCTTGGTGTCTGTGGCAGCTGGAGGCACTGAGGGAGGGGCCCTGGCAGGCTCACAGGCGGCAGGTTGTCCCTGGGGGATGGGTGGTGTTTGAGTCTGTTCTGCAGGGATGTCATTCTAGGTGATTCCCTCGTGGACAAGACAAACAAGGTCACCCCGGTGCGGTGGCTCATGCCTGTAATCCCAGCACTTTGGGAGGCTGAGGTAGGTGGATCGCTTGAGCCCAGGAGTTCAAGACCAGCCAGGGCAACATGGTGAGACCCCATCTCTACAAAAAAATTAAAAAATTAGCCGGGTGAGGTGGCTTGCTGCTGTGGTCCGAGCTTCTTGGGAGGCTGAGGTGGAAGCACTGCTTGAGCCCAGAAAGTGGAGGCTGCAGTGAGCCGTGATCATGCCACTGTGCACCTCAGCCTGGGCAACAGAGCAAGACCCTGCGTCCAAAAAAAAGGGCAAACAAGGTCCCTGGAGCTGACACCCATGGGGAACTTGGACCATGTGCAAGCCTCCAAAAAAAAGGGCAAACAAGGTCCCTGGAGCTGACACCCATGGGGGACTTGGACCATGCGTAAGTCAATCAGCATGGCAATTTGAGAGAGTGTTGAAGGGCAAACATGTAAGCCAGGGTCAGGAGGCCACTGCTGGGCAGGAGGGCAGCTTTTATAGGGAGCTGGCCGCAAGGCTTCTCTGAGGAGGTGTCCCTTGGGCTCAGACCTGAGTGATAAGAAGGGACTGGCCAGGCAGAAGTCGGGGGAGCACCCCAGGCCGTGGGCACAGCACGTGCAAAGGCCCTGAAGCAGGAACATGCGGGCCATCTTCCAGGAGACAGGTGGTGGGCATGGGGAGAGCTGCCCTGAGGGAGGTGGGCCAGGGCCAGGAATCCTGGCCTCAGAGCAGGAGCAGGGACTGTGGATTTGATGCCGAGTTGCGGGTCGGGATCTGAATTAGGATTTACAACAGAGCCTCGGCTGGCACAGCACACATCTGTACAGGCGGAACAGGCTTCCATGTGCGTGTTAAATGTTGCTCACGTTCTGTCGACACGCATCTTTCTGCCGTAGAGTGCTGGTAAATGTTTAACAACCAGCTTTCTGTAGGGGGAAGCTGCGTTTGTAGCATGTGCCGGTTGCCATGGTGTAAATAAATCCTCTCACCGTGCCCAGTGCCACGTGACAACGTGCTGCCGCTGACTTGGAACTGGGGAAAGATGCCCCTAGCACCAGGCTGTCTTATCCTGTTCTCACCCTGTGCATGGAGTTGGCGGAAGTCACCTCCACGGCACGGATGACTTCGTAGCTCCATGTAGCCAGATGATCAGGAAGCAATGCCCTTGGAGTGCTTGTAACCTTCGCTTTCTTTCTTTAAAAAAAATTTATTATTTTTTTAGAGATGGAGTCTCGCTCTGTCACCCAGGCTAGAGTGCAGTGGTGCAGTTGAAGCTCGCTGCAGCCTTGATCTCCCAGGTTTAAGCTTTCCTCCCACCTTAGCCTCCTGAGTAGCTGGGACTACAGGGATGCACCACCTAATTAAAATTAGCACCACCAGCTAATTTGTAGTGACAGGGTCTCACTGTGTTGCCCAGGCTGGTCTGAACTCCGAGCCCTAGACAATCCTCCTGCCTGGCCCTCCCAAAGCACTGAGATTACAAGTGTGAGTTACCTTGCCAGGCCATAATTTCTTTAATTGTAAGGTTAAGTGTTTCCATTTTTAATAATGGCCATGAGCTGGTAGCCACTGGCTCCAGCACGCCTTGGTATATCTTTTTTTATTTATTTTTGTTTGAGACAGAGTCTCACTCTGTCACCCAGGCTGCAGTGCAGTGGCGCGATCTTGGCTCACTGCAAGCTCCGCCTCCCGGGTTCACACCATTCTCCTGCCTCAGCCTCCTGAGTAGCTGGGACTACAGGCGCCCGCCACCAAGCCCAGCTAATTGTTTGTATTTTTAGTAGAGATGGGGTTTCACCGTGTTAGCCAGGATGGTCTCGATTTCCTGACCTCATGATCCGCCGGCCTCGGCCTCCCAAAGTGCTGGGATTACAGGCGTGAGCCACCGCGCCCCGCCACGCCTTGGTATATCTTATAAAAAGACAACCCTTAAACGCACTGAGATGGCCTCCCCTGACTGCATTTTCCCCAGCAAGGACAGGAGACTGAATCCGAGGGACAGAGAGCAGGTGTTAGGGAAGAGCTGCCAGCAACAGGGAACCCTGTTCTGCCTCGGCTCTGACCCCTGGCCCCACTTTCCACACCAACCCCAGGCTCCTGGAATCCCCATCCCTACACTGCCAGGAGGTGGAAGGTGTCATGAGGATGCGCCCTCTCAGGGGCACCTGGCACATGGTAGATGCTCAGTGAAGTGTTTGTTGAATGAGTGCATGAGATTGAGCCACAGACGGTGTTGCTGGGTTTTGGGAAGTTCTCCTGACACATTTGTAAGGACTTAGCATCTGAGAATTAAATCTCATCAACCCCTACGTGGGTGGTCGCAGCACCTTCTCACTGGACTGTCTCCTCTCATTCCCGGAATCCACCGTCTTCCTTCCTGCGACCTGCTATTGGATTGCTCTTTAACATGGGGTGGGTCATGTGACTCCCTGCGACCCCTGCACCTTTTGAGAAAGGTCCCCGGGGGCTCCCACCGCCCTCAGAATGCCTCCTGTATTTCTGAGCATGGGTGTTAGCCCTGGCCAGGCCCTCCAGCCATGCCCCAAAGTGCCACTTGGTAGGCACAGGGGCCATTTTCCCATTGCCATGCCGCAGAGGCCTCCTGCTCTGCCAAAGCCCCTTCCCTCGCCCTGCATGTCAGCACGCCTTGCTGCCTCATCTGCATCATGAATGTGCCTTTTGAATGTGTCCTCGTCACCGGCGCCTCCATCTGGCCTGTCTTTGTCAACCTAAATACAAGCTCCATACAGTTGGGGGCCACATCTTTCTGTGGCTGGTGTGCCCCTTGGGGGTTCAGGTTATGCTGGCGGAAGGAAAGAATCAGGCAATGGCATCATTTGGTTTAAATGGGCATAGGGAGGAGGCTGTGAACCCCCAGCCCAGGGCGGAGGTAGGGCACCTGGCTGTAGGACCTTCTAGGAAATGCTGTGTGACCTTGGATGAGTTACTTAAACTCCCTCTGTCTTTGCATTCTCATCCATAAAACTGGGATGATACCAGTTGTTGGGAGGATTCAAATAACAGGTAGGAAGTGATTAGGAGAAGAAGGCCTCATCAAATGTGCTCAGCGAGCTTTTGCTGTTTTTAATTAAGATATTTTTCTGCATAGCCCCCAGTCTGGGGCTTCTGCACAGGCCCAGTCATGTGCTGCTTGTCTGGCAGGCTGAGGGTTATGGGTTCAGTGTCCAGATCTGGGGGCAGGTGTCTCTTGGGGCTTTGGGCCAGTGGCTCTGGCTAACCATAGATCCAGTAGGGTTTGTCACAGAGTTGTACTGTGGTTTGGGGGGATGTTTCTGACCACGCACAGGGCACAAACCCACTGTCAGCCTGACCAGTGGCACATCTGAAAGGCAGAGGTAGCCCTCCACCACGAGGGCGGGGTCCTTTGAGATAGTGGAGCTGGCTTCTAGTTCTTTCTGATTCTCCTTTCAGTCCCCTCACGTTGAGGGAATGGTGCCCACAGGCGTTTTCTGCTGCACAGAGTCCTTTATGTGCCTTGTGAGACAAGGATTCTTGAAGGCCTCACTCCTCAGTGGGATCTGAGGCCAGCCGTGGCAGCTTCTCCTGGCGCAGGTTAGAAATGCAGAGTCCCAGGCCCCACCCCAGACCGACTGAGTGGGAATTGGCAGGGGATGTGTGTGCACCTGCAGGTGTGGGTAACACTGGCCTGGAGCAGAGTGCTCTAACGAAAGCCCACAGGCCAAATCCGGCCCACCACCTGCTTTTGTAAATAAAGTTTTATTGGCACACAGCCGTGCCCTTTTGTTGATATAAGGGCCGCTTTCACAAGACAGTGGCAGAATTGAGAAGGGGGTTGACAGAGACGGCATACTTATCCTCTGGCCCTTACAGAAAACGTTTGCCAGTCCCTGGTAAAGCACTGGTTCTCAAATCTGGCTGCCCATCGGGATAACCTGGAATTTAACATACGAACGCCTGGGTCTCCGCCCAGAGATTTGGATGTCATTGGTGTGGGGTGCGGCCTGGGCATCAGGACTTCGCAGGGCTCCCCACGAGATCTGAGTGTGCAGCCAATGTCATGGGACCTTGAGAACCATGGCCCCCAGTGGCCCGGGAAGCCCAGCAGGTGCAGTTCTGCCGCTCTATGGACAGGCCCAAGACCCAGCAGCCCAGCCTCGCCAGTGTCGGCTGCTGCACTTGCTGCCCTAAAACATAGAAGGCTTTGGGGGCTGAGCCGGCTGCCGGGTCCCCCCAGCTCCTCAGGGGGAGTTGTGAGCTGGGACCTCCCTCTCCCTGCATAATCTCCCAGCAGCGAGTATGAGCGGCCCTCAATCAGTCCCTCGGCCTCCCGGGTGGCCACTGCGAGACCCTGCAGATGTTCATCATTAAGGCTGCCGGGGTCTGTCCCACTGGAAAGCATATTTTAAGGCCAGGGCTGCTCTGCTATTCCTCCTTTTCATCTTCCCCCACCGGACTCACTCAGCGTGGGCTGCAGGGATGCCTCTCCCACAGGAGATGTTGAGGCCACAGGAAGTGAGGAGCCTGTGCACAGGGCCCTAGGCCTTGGCTGCAGGGTGGCCCAGAAGGTGCTGTGCTAGTGGGTGTTGCTGCACCCACTCCAACCAGAGGGTGAGGGTGGAAGGCACCCCTGCCCTGGGGGCTTGTTAACATGTCAGGGAAGAGGAGGCGGCAAGGCTTGGTGCCAGGATTGCACTCGGTGCCTCAGTTTCCTGTTCTGTAAGATGGACAGGTGGGTGGGTAGGGGAGACCATGTGGGACGGAGCCAGGCACGTGGTGCCATGAGCGATCGAATATGGAGACATAGGGGGTGACGTTCCAGGAGCGAGGGGGTTGTGGGCAGGCCCTGGCGGGGCTTGTAGAGTCTGGAGTGGGAGGCAGGTAGGGATAGGTAGATGGGGCGTGCTGGCAAGTCTGCAGAACACAAACTGTAGATCCTGGCTGGGGGTTGGCTGAGACTCTCAGCGGGGGCTCTGGGGGCAGCAGGGCCCCATCCCCCACACTCTGGGCCGTCAGCCTTTGCTCCGAGACCTCGAAGCTTTGCCTCTCTGAGCCTGTTTCCTCCTCTGCAGAATGTGACCAGTGATCACTGCTCTCCTGTTTCTGAGGCTGGGATAGTGTTTGCAAAGCACTTGGCATGGTGCAGGGGTGTTACTCGTGGCGTTTTCATCTCCATCAGGACTTCAGAGGGGCCAGGAGCCGGCCCATAGAAAATGGACAGCACAGTGCTGGGCACATAGTCAGCTCTCGGGGATCTGTGGGGATTTTCTCCTCTGTACCAGCCTCTTCTTCCTTGGGGCTTTTCTGAGGACTTGGAGGAGAGCTGCGGTGGGGAAGGCTCGTAGCTCAGGGCCTGGCCCAGATGCATCCCTCTCCCAACTGGCCCCTGCCTGCGGCCTGATGGGTGTGGAGCTGCATTTACTGGCCATGCCGGAGCAGACATTAGCCTGATTCGTTGGTCCATGGGTGAGGCCCCAGGGGGTCATGGAGCCCCCACCAGCCTAGGTGCAGGGGCTGATGGGCAGATGCTCTGGGAAGGAGGCTCCGTGGCTGCTGCTCCCATCGGGAGGGACGCCACAGCCCAGGTGGGGACTTCTTGGCACAGACGTAGCTGAATGTGGTCTCAGGAGACACCAAGCCCGTGTGATTCAAAAGCCCCGGCCCTGCCCAGACTCTGGCCCTGGGCTGTTGCCAGGGACATCTGACCCGGGGAGACGGCATCCATGCCGGGCAGCCCAGGGGCCAAGGCTCTCTCCCCAGCCAGCCACATCACTCCTCCCTCCCCGGGTCCCTACCTCTGCCCACATCGGGCAAATGTGGACAGAAAGGATACTGTGTAGGAACAAGCCAAAAAAACCCTCCCTGCCCCAGCTTCCACCTCCAAAAGAGGCTTCACCTGCCGGCTGTTTAAACGTTACGTTTGAGGGTTCGAGGTCAGGAGAGGGAGAACAGGTTGATCCCAGGATGCCGGGCACCTGTTGGGGAATCAGCAGCAACCTGGGGGCCGGGGGGTCTGTTCCAGGTCGGGCAACTCTGCCCCTTCCTGGCTCCTCTTACAGAACATGGTGGCAAGGGATTCCTGGGGAAAAGAGGCAGATGCAGGCCCGAGGCTCTGCCCTGGACCTGGCAGCAGCCTCAGGGAGCCCACGGTTGCCTGCAGCAGTCAGACACTTGCTCTGTTTTTCTGCCCCATCCTAAATGAAAAGAGGCTGGAGAGAGCGTTGTGTGCGGGTCAGGCACCTGTTCCTGGCAGGAAGGAAAGGCAAGAGAAGGGAGTCTCTCTCACCTCCCCGATCCCTCCTCTTCCATCTGCTTGGAGTTCTTGCTCCCTGGTTTGAAACATTGCCGTGACTGTGCCCCTGGTACACATTAAAAGGCTTTGGGGTTTATTTTTATTTCGCTTGGCTCAGAGGGATGGAAAGATGGTCTGGTTTGGCAGCTGCCTGCAGGGAGGACCTTGGGGTGTCCAAGAAAATCAGTGTGTGCTTTAAAAGAAATCAGGCGGGATGACAGGAAATCGGGAGGCGGTGCCAGGAGGAGCTCACACTCCCTCCTCTATCTCGGTGAGGGGAGGGGCGGTAGGCCCAGAGTGGCTGGGACAGGTCGGGGAGGCAGATGACAGGAAGAGGCCCAAGTAAGGAGGCTGGCTTGGCTCCCAGCCTCTCTGATCTGCTCTGTAAAATGGGCTTGTTCTGTCCCCCTGGGGTGCTGGCATGCGAGGGAGACCAGGCCCAGGCAGCAGAGCAGCCACCTCCACGCAGGCCTGGGGCCTTCCTGGGCTCTGGGGAATCAGGGGCATCCCCCCACCTCCCCGTTTTACAGACTCGGAGACCGAGGCTTAGAGAGGTGGCCTGAGCTCTGTCGGGGGCAGGGCAGGGCTGGGGCATCAGGGGTGTGTCCCCAGCTTCCCAGATGCTCAGGCACCCCTGCCGAGGCTCACCAGGGCACCTCTCTCAACCCAGATCACATCTGCCCCTCTTAAATATCCGGGCCAGATGCGGATGTAAGCATGGTGAGGATTCTCTCATTTCAACCTCCCAGCCCTCAGCTGAGGCACAGGCATGCTGAATACCCCCATTGTCAAGGCGAAGGAGTCGGCACAGAGAGGTTAAGACCCTCATCCAAGCTCACACAGCCACTGTGTGGAAAGGGCAGGAATTGAAGCCAGCACTTCTGACACCAATGCTTCCTGCCCCTCACCCCGACTCCGCCTCCCCAGGCCCCTAGGGCGGCAAGACCCCAGGCCGTGCCTCTCCCCATCTCATGCCAGTGGGGCCTGGCTTCCCGGTTGTTTATGACCTCTTCTGGGTGGACTCCACGGGTTTTCCTCCTCCTCCCCCAGCTCAGGCTGAGCCCAGGTGCAGAGATTCACCTGTTCACGGTTTTCTTCCCTCCCCACTCCCCTCTGCCCTCCCCCGGGGTCTGACAGCAGCAGCAACAACAGCAGCAGCAGCAGCAGCAGCAGCAGCAGCAGCAGCCCATGCCCCGCAGCAGCCAGGAGGAGAAAGATGAGAAGGAGAAGGAAAAGGAGGCGGAGAAGGAGGAGGAGAAGCCGGAGGTGGAGAACGACAAGGAAGACCTCCTCAAGTAAGGCAGCCTGCTGTCCCCTGCAGGGCCCGGCCGCTGACCCAACCCGGGTGGCACACGGTTCTGGGGGACCCTTTGTAGAGACGGGTGGGGTGCCCACCAATTGCCTGTGAGCAGGGGGGAGGGCTTTCTGCTCGTTTGCCCCTGACAGCCCCCCTTCCGGAAGCCCACCCATCGCCCTACTCCTCCTCCCTGGCTCCCCCCTCTCCTCCGCCCTCGCTTTCTTTCTCCAACCCTCTGGAGACTTTAGAGACTGATAGCTCATTTGAGCTCCACTCCTGAGCTAATAAATCCAGGCAATGACTTTGGAACTCTCTGCCTCCCTGCTTCCTCCCGCTCTTTCCTCCTGAGGCGCCAGGAAGGGGGAAAGGGGGATCAGAGGCCCTCCTGGAAGGACTAGGTGTGCAGGCGGCTGCTGTCACCTTTAGAATCATCGATGGCAGTGTGAGTTCTTGCAGATCAAGGCACAGCCTCACCGCGGGGGCCGTGACAGCCTCCTGTGCCTGCCAGGGGCTGCAGGAGTGCAGCCAGCTGGAGAAAGGGGGGCGGCACGACTTAGCGCCAGGTACCTGTAATGGGCTCAGGAATTTGGCTTCAGAGAACATCTGGCTTCCTCACCCCGTCTCCCAGACGCTTCCAGCAAGGGCCTTTCAGGAAGATGAATGGGAAGGCAGAGGTGATCAATCTGAGCCTCCCGCAGTAAAACTCTCCCCAGTCACTTCTGCGAGAGCCCCAGCTCGGGTATCGAGGTTGTGAGCACCCCCACACACCACAGCTAGGCCTGCAGGCTAGGCCTGCATAAAACCAGCAAGAGAGTTTCCTCCTGCCAATGTCTAAGATGATGCCCGGCCCTTGATAATACTGAAGGCCAATGTATTGCCTCTTATAGAGCCCCTCTGGAAATAGCTCCTCTGTGGCGAATAAAATGGCCCTATAAATTGCTGCCAGCCCACGCCCCCATTTAGTTCACCAAATAGTCTTGCAGACAGTATCTCTCTATTTGGTGCATAAAATGGTCTTGCAGATAACCACCAGCCCAGAAGAAAGTAGCCTTGCAGGAAAGCTCCCAGTACCTCCCATTTGGGGAATAAAATAGCCAGCCAATTAACTACCTGTCCACATGGCCTTATTGGTGAATTAAGTTGATAGCCCAGGTTACACCCCCATCCTTTCTTTTTCTTTTTTTTTTTTTTGAGACAGGGTCTTGTTCTGTCACCCAGGCTGGAGTGCAGTGGTATAATCATGGCTCACTGCAGCCTCGACCTCCCAGGCTCAAGAGATCCCCCTACCTTAGCTTCCCAAGTAGCTGGGACCATCAGCATATGCCACCACGCCTGGCTAATTTTCTGATCTTTTTCTTTTGTAGAGATGGAGTCTTGCTGTGTTGCCCAGGCTGGTCTTAAACTCCTGGGCTCAAGCAGTCCTCCAACTTCGGCCTCCCAAAGTGCTGAGATTACAGGTGTGACCCAGCACACCTGGCCGCAACTCCCTTTTGAGAAATAGCATGGTGTTGTCCTGCCAGCTGTACTCCCACTTCTGGTGAACATGGAGCCCCTGCAGACTTGCCCCTGGCCACCCTCACCTCAGGCCTCTCCCCCTCTTTCCTAGCGTCCGATTAGTGCCATGGCTGGCAGCCAGTGCAAATCCAGCTAAAGAAACAGTCTCCTCCAGTGGCTGTTTGATTTCCCGGCTCGGGTGAAGCCATCCTATCTCCCCTCTCTGGCCTGTAGGGAGAAGACAGACGACACCTCAGGGGAGGACAACGACGAGAAGGAGGCTGTGGCCTCCAAAGGCCGCAAAACTGCCAACAGCCAGGGAAGACGCAAAGGCCGCATCACCCGCTCAATGGCTAATGAGGCCAACAGCGAGGAGGCCATCACCCCCCAGCAGAGCGCCGAGCTGGGTGAGCTGGGGGCCAGGGATGCGGGTGGGGAAGGGGCTGGAGACACGGCGGGTTGCGCTCATATGAAAGTTTCGTGCAATTTGAGTTAATTGGCAACAGCCAAGGGGTTGGTGTAAGTCATGGTTGGAGTCAAATCCCAGCGCTACCTACTGGATGTGCTGTGTGGCCCAGCATGAATTCCTGAACCTCTCTGTGCCTCAGGGTCCTCATGTTCTCAGTGGGAGGAATCGGTGGTTACCTCTAACGTGGGGGGACAGTTGTAGTCACTTGCTATGTGAGAAGCACCTAGAACAGTGCCTGGGGTGTAGGAAGAGTTCAGTGGCTTCAACCACAGTGATTTCAGAGCAGGGAGATGTCACAAAAAATTCCCAGTGACCAGTTCCGGATTTTTTGGTTGTCGTTTTTAAAACAGAAGATCTGGCCACGCTTGGCCCAGGTTCCCATGAGGTGGCTGTTGTTGGGAGCCGAGTAACCACCACTCCTTCTTAGAATGTCATGGGCTCTACTTGTCCCCACCCAGCCTCTACCCTGGTAGGCATCTGGTTTTGTACCTTCACTTCCGTGGGCCTCAGTTTCCCCTTCTGTTGAGAAGGGTGTTCATCCCTCACTACCCTCCCAGAAAGTAGAAAAAAATGAGATGATGTGAGTGGCAGTTCCCAAGATTCGCCGCAGGGGGCAGCGGTGTGCGTCTGTTGTCTCTACTTTGTTTAGCTGTTAGGGTCCAGCCCTCCAGCCACTGCGGGAACCCACCCAGGGGCCCAAGCGCTCAGGCCGAAGCCCCGCCTGCCAGGGCTCATTCTCAGGGTGGAGATGCTGCTTCATCTCCCACAGACCCCCACCGTCCCCTGGGGTCCGGGTCATGCACCTGTCTCTTCTTCTCGTGGGATGTAGTTTGGACCTATTTCATAAATGGCCCACTCGAAGCTCAGAGAGGAAACGTTCCCTCTCTAAAAATTTCATTGTAGCTGGGGTTAGAACTCAGCCCCATTGGCCACAGAGCCTATGCAGCTCCTGCAGATATTTTCCAGCTGCCTCTTGGTGGCGGTGTACTTGGAGGCCCAGGGTGAAAGGGCTTTCTTCCTGCCTGATCTCTGGGGATAGTCCTCTCGGACCCAAGGCTGATGCTGGGGGCTCAGCCGCAGGGTGGAAAACACACTCCTAGGCCTTCCATGTCTCTTCTGGCACTGGGCACCCTCAGCACCCCTGGCACCCCTGGCTTCTGTAGGCTTCCTCTGGGAGTCCTGTGGGGAGGAATGGGAGCATCGATGAGGTCCCAGAGAGGCCCAGGCTGTGGCTGCAGAGATGGGGGAGGCTGGGGTGGCTCTGGCCTGTCGGGGCTGATGGGGCTGCCCATGGGGGTGGGGGCCGTCTCCCCTCTTCTGCTGGAACCTTCCGCCACTCCTCAGCCAGCCTCTGTTGGACACATACTCCCCCTGGCGCAGTTCCAGGTGCTGAGTCCATGGAGCTGACGTCCCTCGCACCCACCCCACTCATGGGTCTTAAGCAACTGGAAAGGAAGGGCCAGGGCTCACATCCAGAGGAGCTCGGCAGACAGACCCAAAAATAGTGCCACTGCAGAGATGCAGCCACCTCCAGCCAACCCCAAGGCCAGGTTGTGTCCCTTCCCAGTAACACCAGAAGCCCCTCCTTGTCCTGGATGAGTGGGGGTATGAACATTCCCTCTGGAGCAGGGCTTCTCCGCCATGGGCGATTTTACTCCCCCACTAGGGGACGCCAGGCAGTGTCTGTGAACAGTTTTGATGGTCACAATTGGAGTAGGGTTGCTGGAGTCCAGCGTGCAGAGTCCAGGGTTGCTAAGCATCCTGCCGTGATGGGACAGCCCCACAGTAATAGAAGAGCTGGGCTCCGAGAGGGTCCTCGGTCAGATGAGGTCCCGGCCCACCTGAAGCTTGTGTCCCACTGTCGCCACGTCACCAGGTGACCCCTTTCCCAACAGAGTGCAGGCAGAGGCAGTCATGGTCAAGGCCCTTGACTGCTTCAGTGTCCCCTTCTATAAAATGGGGTGATCGCAGGTGCCCCGACTTCAGCGGCTTGTGTGGAGGTTGGCCCCGACCAACGGCACGTGGGACTGCCCAGCACAGCTCCAGCCCAGCATAAAGGCTCAGGGAGTCAGGTGCCACGGTGGGTACTGGCTGGGGAGGGGCGTCTGAAATGTGGCCTTCCCACGGGGTTCAGAGCCGTGCGGTGACACCGTCAAGGCCTGGTCTACTCCCTCCCTGGCTCAAAGGAGAGAAAAGGGCAGAAGGCAAAGTGCCTCCTCTCCCGGCTCCTGCCAATAACCTGGCATCTTCTTTTCAGCCTCCATGGAGCTGAATGAGAGTTCTCGCTGGACAGAAGAAGAAATGGAAACAGCCAAGAAAGGTGAGGGGTGTGTGGCGGCTTTAAGCCTTGTTGGTTTGCATCCAGGGCGCCTGAAGCTCACGTGCTGGGGAGGGTGTTGACACATTTGGCCTTGAGCCAGGGGCTGTGGTGAGGCCTCTGGTGAGGTTCTGGTTCTGGGCTGTTCTCAGGTTTGTCACCCTGGAGCCTCAGTTTTACCTTCCAGAAAATGGGTCTGTGCAGCTGCGCTGTCAGGCTTGTCTTTGTGACTTGAGGGCGCAGCTCAGAGAGACACAGCTTGTGCTGTGCATGTAGTCAGCGAGTGGCTTCTGGGTGACCTCTGTGGCCAGCACCTCTGGGCCTTGGGGACAGAGCAGTGGCAGCACACCTGGGTATCTCGGGACAGTCAGAGCTTGCCGGCGGCCATCTCGGTAGAGTCCTGGGGTCAGGGAGACCTGCAGGGCGTTCATCCAGCCCTTAGAGCCCCAAAGGTCCTATCCTGGGCTCAAGTGTGCTGGGGCTTTGGAAACCTGTCTCAGGTTTGAGCACCCCAATCTGGGTGACGGGTTCTGGAGTGGATGGGGACACCCAGGCCGTTGGGGACAGTCGTGGGAGTGGCTCACACGGCAGGGAGCCAGCAGGCATTGGTGCTGGCAGCAGAAGCCATCCCGAGCAGATGGCCTTGTGATGTGCAGCACCGTGGGGGCTGGGGTCCAGTGCCTCCTAAGCCGGATCCCCTCTCAGCTGTGCTGTCTCCTGGCCAAGATCTTTACTTCCCAGCACAGTGACCTGCCTCTGGGCCTCGGTTTGCCCGTCTGTTGAGTGGGAGGGTCGTCTAGGTTGGCTGTGCGGAATCAGATAACCCTGTGTGAGGGCCCATGGTGGGCTGAGTGGGAGCGAATCTCCTCCCTCCCTCGGCCGTGCCTGGCCTGGGGCAGGGGCTGTCGGAGCTGGCGCATCACTGGCAGCACTGCTGAGGCCGGGGCAGCACCTGGCTCCCACGGCACGCTCACTCTCGGTTATCTAAGAGGTGGGGCCTGCTCCTGTCCCCGCCCATGTCCCTGTTTGTGGGCAAGGAGCCAGGAAGCAGAGGCCAAGGAGTGCCACGGGTTCCGGAGCTGGTGTGTGGGGCTGGGAGCAGGCCCAGGCCCCCACTCCCCGTCCCTGTCCCGTGCTTGGTCCCGTGGCCCTGCTGGAGTCGAGGCTGTCTGTGACGTGCGGTTTCTTTGTGCAGAAAGCTCCAGGTCGTGACTTATGGAGGGAACAAAGGCCCTTTATAGCAAACGCTCTTGGCACATAAGGGCAGGTGTATCTGAGAACAGCCTGGATCACGGGGCTCCTGGGCCCGGCCCCGTCCTCCACTGTAGTTGTGGGGGGTGCTGAGGGTCCCCACAGCCCTGAGAAGACCCCCACAGCCCCCGCCCTCACCCCGGGACCCTGCCCCTCGCCCTCAGAGCTCCTCCGGGGGCAGTCTGCCCTCCGCCCCCCAGGCTGAGGTGAACCTGGACCCAGAGAGACCCTCGCACCATTCAGGAAGGAGGGCCTGCCTGCCGCTGCAGGTCAGGCTCTGTGTGTGGTGAGTGAGAGGCATGCCAGCGGGGCCTGGGCACTGTATCCAGCTGGTAGGGCCTGGGCACTGTATCCAGCTGGTAGGGCCTGGGGCTGCTGTCAGCCCCCAGAGAGGCCACATTGTTGTTTCTCTGTCTTTAATGTCCACTTGGTGGTTTCTGGCATGTATTTCATTATAGGCTGCAAAAGAAGCTTTATTGAAATTGTGTGATTCCCGCCGCCTTTTATTTAATTTTGAGATGATACACATGGCACGAAGCTCAGCATTCTAACCACTGGAAAGTGAACATCTCAGTGGCATGAAGTACATCTGCATTGGTGTGCAACCCTCACCACTGCCTAGTTCCAGAACTTTTTCTCACCCCAGATGGAAATCCCATACCCATTAGCAGTCCCTCCCAGGGCCCCGCCCCAGCCCTACCAGCCCCTGGCAGCCACTAATGCACTCTCTGTCTCTGTGGATTGGCCTGTTCTGGGCGTTTCCAATGAATGGAATCCTACAGTTTGTGGCCTTTTGTGTCTGGCTCCTTTCTGGGAGCATGATGGTTCTGAGGTTCATCTGAGTAGCTTTGTACGGCTGAATAATATTCCCTCACCTGCACGGACCACATTTTGTCGGTCGTTCATCTCTTGGGGGATGTGTGGGTTGTTTCCATGTGGCTGTTGTGAAGAGTGCTGCTGTGAGCATTTGTGTAAAATTGTGTGAGATTTTTAATCACAGGTGAGTCCCTGGGATCTCAGCCTGTTGGCTGGGAGATTTCCCAGAGCACCCACCCATCGGAGGACTCCGCGTGGACATCCCCAAACGGTCAGCCCAGGGTCCCACCGCCTCTCCATCCCTTCTCGTGTCTCGTGTTGTCACTACCACCTCCTCACCGGTGACCACCCCCGCCCCCACCGCCCATTGCCTGAGAACTGGGAAGACAGTGCCTGCCCTCTGTTTGCCTTCTGGAAGGGCAGATCCGGAGGCTGGGAGGACGGCTGGGGATGACTCACCGGCGGAGAGGAGCCCGTGTCCCACCATCTCAAGGTTGGGTCCTCAGTGATGACAGTGAGCTCATCCTGGGTCCTGCCCATGGAGACGGCAGTGAGCGTCCCCTGGGGGCCGTGCACGCGGAGGCCCTGCTCAGTGACATTTGTAATAATGTCGTGAGCAGCAGCATGTTCGTCTGCCGTGAATTACAGCAATCTGGACAATTACTGCTCAGGGTGGCTGCTAATGGCTGTGTGTTCCAGGCGATGGCAGGAGGGAGCGGGGGTGGGGCGGGGAGACAGGTGCTGGCAGGCCCCAGCAACTCCTCCATAGGGGGTCGGGGTGGAGAAGCTAGGAACGTTCTGGAGCCCCCGCCCAGAAAACCAAGAGTTAGGAAAAGGGACTGGAGAAGCGGCTATTGCTGAGGCAGATGGTCTCTGCCCATCCTTTACCCATCATTTCAGCAACATAGTGCCTCACTCTCTGTGTGGCAGGGGCACTCAGGAATGAGCCAGCCCCACCCCTCCCTCGGGGAGCCTGGGCAGGTAAGCAGCCAGGTTTCCCCAGGGCCTTCGGACCCCAGCCTGCCTGAAGCCTCTGGAAGACTTTAGTAGCATGGCCCTGGAGGATGAGCAGCAGAGGGGCCCCATTCCTAGGGAGAAACCAGGTCTCAACCCCCTGGATGTTTCAGCTGTGTGACCTCAGGCAAGTCAGCCAACCTCTCTGTGCCTCAGTTTCTTCATCTGTACAGTGGGATTCAAGGAGCGCCCACTGTATGTTTCCTGTGGCTGCCATAATAAAGGGTCATGAACTGGGTGGCTTAAAATAAATGTATTCTCTCACTGTTCTGGAGGCCAGAAGTCCAAGTTGAAGGCATCCAAGAGGCTGCATTCCCTCCAGAGGCTCTGGGGAGGAGCCTGCCTTGCCTCCCCCAGCCCCTGGCGCCTGCCTGCAGCCTTGGCAGTCCCTGGCTCATGACCACATCCCTCCAGGCTCTGCCTTTGTCTTTGTGTGCCTTTCTCCCTGCGTGTCTCTGTCCACATTTTCCTCTTCTTACAAGGACCCACCCCAATCCAGTATGACCCCACGTTGACTTGATCACATCTGCAAACATCCTTTTTCCAAATAAGGTCACATTCATAGGTTCTGGTGGACACAAAATGTTGGGGGGATGCTCTCCAACCCAGCACACCCACCTTCCTGGGGTTTTGGTGAAAGTACACAGAAGAGCTGAGGGCAGTGCTGCCCGGGGCATACCGACCTCCCCATCACTTTGTAGCTACAAGCAGCTCCTTAGCCCCCTGACCTTGGCCTGGCCCATCTGTTTCACCCTCAGTTACCATCGTTCTCTCAGATGAGGCAGGGATGCTACCTCCCAGGGGCACTTTAAAGACGGAGCGAGCCACATAGGAACAGTCCTTGGTATACAGTAGGCACTCAGAAATGGCAGGCCGCTAGCTTAGGGCGCAGTCTCCAGACCCTGCTCCCTAGGTTTGGGTCCCAGCTGTGCCTCCTGCAGAGTCTGACCCTGAGCAGGTACCTACACTTTGGGGCCTCGGCCCCCGCCACCTCTGTCTTCGCCCCGGCGATGGGGGTCGGAGGTAAGTCACCTGCCAAGCAAATGTACAGTGACAACTGGAGGAACTTCCATGGTGCTGGGGGCCACCAGTCAGAGGGCTACCCCGAGGAAGGGGCCGACACCCAGAGCACGAAATAATAGTGAATATCACCCAGTAACACCGTGGAGCCCATCCTGCGTGCTGGGCACTGCTGGAAGCTTTGTGTGTATGAAGTCACTTTATCTCTACCAACCTGACTAGGAGGCAGGTGCTGTTAATACTTCTGTTATTCAAATGAGGAAACCGAGGCCTAGAGAGGCTTAGTGAGCAGCCTAGGGTCACACAGCTGTGAAGTGGTAGAGCTGGGATTTGAACCCAGGCACTCTACTTGCAGAGTAGGAATGGGGTTGGCATGAGAGCTGAACAGGTTAGTCCATGGGCCAACCTGTTGACCAGGTAACAAAGGCAGGACAGGCATGTGCAAAGGCCCCATGGCAGGGGCAGTGTGGCCCCATGAGAAGTGGTTGAATCCCAGAAGGTAGAGGGGCCACCGGGAGCCTGGCCTTGCCAGCATGGGATGGAGTGTAGCTATTACTCTAGAGCGTGGGAGGCCACTGGGGAGGGGCTGGGGACATGATGGCCATAGGGTTTCTGGTGGGCAAGTGAGCAACCTCCCTTCTTGTGTGCATGCGGCTGTGGCTGCCTGCCCTGGGGCTTGTGCTGCCTGAGGACCGAGAATGTTCAGGAGGCAGCTTCCCCAGGAACCGGGCAGCTCCGGGGAGCTGGCCGCCTGCCCTCGGGCCCAGCGCCAAGTGGGGAAGGAGGGGCAGGGCAGGAGCAGGGCTGGGATGAGGGACTCGGTTCCCCTGGGAAAGGTCAGCCTGGCCTGGCTTGGAAGCCTGACCCAGCTGTGCGAGAGGCCCGAGGCTCTGCTGGCAGCTCCTCCAGGCCCCAGCCCTCTTCTCTGGCGGGCAGAGAACCTGCTGTGGAGGGGGTTGGGAGGCTCCCGGTCACACCATTGTCACACCATTCTAGACCGGGAGTTGGCTCTGGCCCGCCTCCGGGCTGCCAGTCCTTCCCAATCTCCAGGGAGCGGCCAACAGTGGGAGGATGTGCAAGACCAGGCCCTGGTGGCTCCCAGTAAGCCCGGGCAGACCCCAGAGGCCTCCCCCAGGACTCCAGCTGCCTTGTCTAGTGGCCTTGCCACTTCTCACAGGAGCGAGGCAGGAACCACCCATTGCTGTGCACATGGGCTGGCCTGACGGGCTTTTATAGATGAAGCGTCTAAGGCATGGGAAGGGGAGGGGTGAGCCCCCAGCCTGGAGCCTGGAGAGCAGGACCTCCTCCACTACATGTCCACTGGGAAAGCCTTGGGCTGTGCCCACCATGGGCCCCCCAAAAGAGGAGCGCCTGTGTGCTCTGCCGCACAAAGCTGCCAGAGCTTACAGTGGGGTGGGCGGGCCGGTAGGCAGTGCTGCTGCTCCTGGGTTTGGGTCTGCCCGGCTACTTCCTGGTGCAGCTGTCCGTCAGGGCCCAGCAGGAGGCGACACTCGAGCTGTGTGACTCAGGAGGGGTGGTATACCAGGCAGGGACGGTGCGGTGCCTCGGGGCTCGCGTCCAAGGAGACTGTCACCACGTGTGGTCTGGAGAGAGACCACTAGGGAGGGTGCATGTCTGGGGCTGGTTGGCCTCCCGGCCGGATATGTGAGAAACAGTCTGTTGTGATGGTTTGGAGGGAGGAAAAAATTGGGGTTTCTGCAGGAACTTGGGGTACAGCCAGACACAGGGGCAGGGTCTGGACCACACTCTTGCTCCTGTCAGCACCCTTGAAGATGAAATCAGGCATCAACAAGCCCCCCTTCCCTCCTAGGGGAGACCCATGAATCCGCATCCACATGGCTCCTGACTCAGGGAAGGAGCACCTGGCGGTCGATGCGGTAGTAATGATGCCTGTCGTCACGTGGCGTGGCTGGTGCTCACGAACAAGGCAGGCCCTCCACACGCGTGTGTACACACGCACGCATACACACGACTTCTGCTTTGCACAGGAGAAGACCAAGGCCAGAGGGAGAGCCAGTGCTCACCCAGCCCACTGCGGTGGACACAGGGCATGGGGTGGTCTGTCTGACCCCCCAGGCTGGCTTCCAACTTTGCTCTGCTCTGTAGGAAAACGTGACATTGAAAGGTGTAACGTGGCACTTCCGGAAATGGTAGGCGAGACAGCGCCAGGTCGTATGCAGGTGACTTTATTTCATCTTAATGAGTCTGGGTTTTTTTGAGAGCTGGGAGAAGACGTAGCTTTTTCACATCGTACCTATGATTTACGGGTATAATTGCTGATGCGGAGGCTAAGGCAGATAGCGAGGCTGATTTTTGAAAGAGTAGATGGAGAGAAAAGAGTGGGGAGGTGCAAGTCCAGGTGTGATGTTATCCAGCCAACATCCTGATAGGATTTCAGGATGGCAGGAGTTCGGGAAGTCCTGACAAGACACGCAGGAGTGCCCGGCCTGTCAAGGGTGTCAATGCGGAGGCACCGTCCCTGTGGAACCCCCCCCCCGCCAGGGCTTGGGGTTTCTGAAATGAGGAAGTGGCATGACTCAGGCCCAAGACGGCTGGGTTCTTTTCCTCCCAACTTTGATAGGGTTTTAGGCAGAGCATGCTGAGTTTCTCGGGGAAAATGGCAGGTGGGGGGCGGTGGTCGATGCACCCCTCTGGCAGGCAGCCTGTGAGTCTTCATGGAAGGGGTGGGAAACGTCAAGGCTGGAGGTGACTGGCTGGGGTGGGGAGAGCGAGTGTGTTTCCAGGGTTGGGGGCTGACTTCCAGAGAAAACAGCTGCAACATCCCCAGATGCAGGTGGGCGGTGGTGTGGTCCCCTCGGAGTCCTAGCTGTGGATGCAGGTTTGCAGACCCTTGGAGAAAAGCAGCTTGGAGGCATCTGAGCGGCAGCACAGGCCTCCCTGAGGGCCAGAGCACCTGAGCCGAGGAGGCTGAGTCCTGGCCCCCACAAGAACAGCTCGTCATGGGCCCGCGGATGGCATGTGGGACGCTGCCCCATGGGTGCCCAGAGGAGGATTAGCCCAGCGGGGCCCCAAGCACCCACTCCCGTGGCCGCCGGGCCCCTGCGCCTGGCTCTCCACTCGGCGTCTGTGACTCAGACCTCCTGGCTGGACTTCCTGTCTTGGTCAATTTCACTTCCTAGTTCCTGCCTCCTGACTCTTCAGAACGAAACTCCTTCCTTAGAAATTAGAAGTGGGGTCGGGGAATCCAGACCACAGGGCATGGTGGCAGAATCTGCCATCTCCGCCCTGGCACAGAGTGTTGGGGGCGTGTGCCTGGATGTCAAGGGGGATACCCCAGCCTCTTTTGGGAGGGTTCGGGGCCCCCTGCAGAGCTAAACGCACAGCCCCCTCTTCCTTTGCAAGCTCCTTACCAGGGACCCAGACGGGTGGCAGAGATGCCCAGGGTGCTCAGCAGGCCCCGGACACCTGCCGATGAGCAGTGGGACGAGGGAGCTAATTTCAGAGGCGGTGAAAGCTATGAAGATGATCAAACCCTGGGATGGCAGGGCGACGGGGGGGGGTCACTTTGGAGGGGCGGGCAAGGAAGGCTTCTCTGAGGAGCCATCACTTGAGCCAAGACCAGAGGGAAGACAAGGCACATCTGTGAGAAAACCCGTGGAGGCAGCAGGAGCAGCTGGTGCAAAGGCCCTGGGGCACACACGAGTGACCCAGAGAGAGGCTGGGCGGGTTCATGGAGCTGGCTCCTAAGGGTCACCTGGGCCGTGCTAGGGCCTTTGGATTTTATTCCAAGAGCTTCATGTGGTCACTGGAAGATTTTAAGCAGAGGAGTGATTTCACGGGGTTGGCATCCTTAAAAGTGCACTGAGACCTCCCCTGCAGAGGGCAGAGGGCAGGACTCAGGTGGAGAGGCCCAGATCCCTGATGTGGTTGAGGTTTGTTGCCCTCCCCTGGCATCGTGCCCCAGGACGAGGGCTGGGGGTGCAGGGACATTCCAGAGACGCCTTCTGCTCCCCAGATTTTTAGGGGGCAGGATGGAAGGGCTGGGAGTTAAAGGGAAAAGCAGGTTAATGATCCCAGAGTCAGGGAAGTCGGTCGTGACCTGAATCTAGGATCCAAAGTTCAGCTCAGTTAACTTTCAACCTTCTGGGTGGCTCCCCGGCATTTCCCACAGTGTTCCTTCACGGCTGCAGGGGCTCTCGGAGGAGGACGAAAGGGGCAGCTGTGGTCCCGAGACCCCCCCAGCAGCAGAGGGCTCTTTGGGGACCCCAAATCCCCAAACCCTTCCCCCTCCCCTAAATGGTTGGCGGTCTCATGTGCACCCTGCAAAGGCTCCTCAAATCCCGGGATCCCTCCGGAATGCGAGGCTAGCCCTGCCCACCCACAGTCCCCGACAGAGGGCTCGGTCAGCCTCGGCAGCATCAGGCCAGGCAGGGGGCAGAGCTCAGGTGGAACTGACACGGAGGGTGGGGGGACGGGCGGCGGGGGATGATGGCGGAAGAAGCTGTTTGCTCCCTGTCTGCCGGGGGTGGAGAAGCTCTGTTTTTCTGGAACCCTCATCTGTTCTTACCACTGCTGACGCCGCCACCGCCGCGGATGGGGAGAGAGGGAGGGGGAGCCAGTGCCAAGTTGGCCCGCCCCTTGTGAACCTGGGCCTCTGCCACGCTCCCCCGCCCGCCTGCCCGCCCGCCGCGAGCCTCCGTCTGGAGGTCACATTCAGTCCTGCCGCGTCTCGCTGGGTCAGGCAGCAAGAAGATCAGAGCTGAGCCCGGCTGCGGGGGACACGGCTGCCCTGCTGGGCCTGGGTCCTTGGATTTTGCCCGGCCCGGGGGTCTGTGGGCTCTGGCCGGCATTGCTCGCTGAGCGTCCGCACTGGGCACATTGGTGCTGGAGGAGCTCGGCACGCTGCGCCCCGGTGATACCTGGCCCAGGGGCATCCCACACGCACCACTGACAACTTCCCGCCACCCACCACCCTCGGGGAAGGGCACCTCGCGCGCCCACAGCGGCTTGGGGACGGCGTCAGAGGTGGCAGCGGCCGCTGGAGGAGCCCCGGGCCACCACAGGCAGGCGGACTTGTGAGGAGCTGCCTCCCGCCCGCCCCTCTCGAGCCAGCCTCCGCCCGCCGCGTCCCTCCCTCCCTCGCTCCCTCCCTCCCTCCCTCCCTCCCTCCCTCACCGTGGGACGGAGAAGGATGTGAGGCTGAGCTGAGCCGCCAGCAGACGCCAACCAGCAGCCTCGCAGAGCCGACCGCGGCCGCCCAGCCTGCCGGCCCACTTCGGCCCGCTCCCTGGGGCATCTTCCCAGCCCTATGTTTCCGGAAAACTTGGCCGAGGGGGAGACGCGAATGAGAGGATGTGAGTGAGTGGTCCTGGGGAGGGGATGGGGGACTGCGGGTGCAGGGACAGGGACCGCAACGTGGCCATCTGGGATTTGAGGCTGGGCAGCTGGGGAGTCGGAGTTCTGGGCCCCTGGAGTGGATGGGGGTCCCAGCCCATCCTTTCCCCCATGCCCTCTCCTCTCTCTCCCTGCTGGGCTGAAGCTCTCCTGGAAGCAGGGGTGGGACCTGGATCTGTGCCTGGGAAGGTCTGTGATGCTGTGTGCACAGGGGGTCTCTCCAAGTGGACGGGGGCTTCAAGCTGGGTCTGGCGGGGTGGTCTCCAAGGCACGGTAGGGTAGAAAGTCTTTCTCTCCGTGCCTGGCAGCCTCTGCCTGGGCTTCCCAGAACAGGAACCAGAGGAAGCCAGTGCCAGCCTGCCCCTACCCCGCAGCCCTGGCCGGCACTAATGGGACACCCACTCTGGCTCCTCACACGGCAGTTAAGGAAACTGAGGCCGGAGAGCAGAAGGGCTGGCCAAGACTGCTAGCGAGCTCTGGCCAGGCGCCTGGATGACTCTGCCCAGCTCCTTTGGGAGCCGTATGTTTTCAGGAAGGGCTGGGTGACCCCCACCCCCACCTCCATCCCCTCTCCTCTGCCCTCAACCCACTCCCACTGCCCCCATGATCGGAGTTAATTAGGGTCCCCAGCCCCCAGCCAGGCTCCTAGCTACCTCCTTATTTATTGACTGAGTTTGGAAATGTCAACCTCCCCAGTGTTGTTGGGCCACCCTCACCCCACCCCCTGAGCTCTCCATGCCCACCCCACCCAGCAGGCCCAGATGGGAGACCCGCCCCCTCTCGCCCTCTCCCACCCGGGTGCCGGGTCTGTGATCCCTCTGGCCCGGTGTGTTTGCCTGGGCTCTCTTGGCCCCGGCTGGGGAAATATAAATAAACGCGCGGCCCTGTCCGCCAGGTTCTGGAAGTGGCAGCTGCTGCTGGCGCGGGCGGAGGGAAAGGTCAGGGGCCGGGTGCCACTTGATCCCACGCCCCGGCCCTCCCCTTCTGCGCCTGTCCTTGAGGAACCCTGAGGAGCGGGCTGTGAGGCCACGTGGCTCCCAGGGCCACGGCAGGCGAACAGGTGGCCTGTCAGTCAGTGCCACCCCCACGCCACGGGGGCCAGAGGACCCGGAGGGCAGGAAGTCTGGGGCCCCACGCCCGCGTTGCCCCCCTTGGCTGGTCCTCTAAGCTTGGGTGAGTTGGCGGGACCCTCTGAACCGAGATTTCCCCCTCCTGGGGATGGGAAAATGGTCACAGCCATGACAGCAAGGATGAGACGGAACCAAGTCTTTGAAGGGCTTTGCAAACTCTGTGTGTCAGTTAGCCGTGCCACGGGCTGATGTGTTGATGTTTCTGCTGCTGTTGTTTTATTTGCATTAGAGCCTTGTGTGTAGCAGGCAGGCAGCCAGCACGTGGGTGGGTGGGTGGGTGGATGAATGAATGAATGAATGAATGAATGAATGAATGAAAATACCAACACAGACGGCTGCCCCTCAGCTCCCCAACCTCTGAACAATTTTAGCTGGAGCTTGGCTTGCAGCTTGATTTTATTCAAGGAAAATGGTTAAAACCTTCATTATGGGAAATCCTTCATTAAAGTCCTTACAAGTGGAGCTCCAGCTCAGAGAGGCTGCCATGTCCCGAGCTACGTGATTCAGCCTTGGGGCCTGCTGCCCTGGAGGGGCACCCTCTTGCCGCACAGACCCCTAGGTCAGGAGCACTCCCTGTCTCTCCCACAGCCCTGGGAAAGTGGGCAGGCCCTACCTGCATGGACTGGCTGGGCCACACAAGGTCACGCCGCTGGAGACACAGGCATAAATATAGAGCTGCCTGGCCTGTGCCTGTGTGTGCCGCAGCTCGCCGGGCAGACAGGCCGAGACCGGGGGCTTGGCTTCCCAGGCACTGCCTCCGGTGCAGCAGGGGCTGTGTTTCTGCCGAGCCTGGTGTTTGTGGCCTTGAAACTAGAACCTGGGGGGCGGCATGCTCTGGTTCTGGCCTGAGACCTAGTGATGGAGGGAGCTTTTTCTGCCGATTCCTGGAGGGTCTCTTCCCACAGCAGGAGGTCTGTGAGGCTGAGAGAACCTCCTGGTTGTGCGGGTTGGGGTTTGGGAGCAAATTCCAGCTGCGCAACCAAGCCTGGTGGGCCCCGAGTCCTGAGTGGGCCTTTAGGTGCCCTTAGGGAGTTTGGGCCCTGGAGGTGCCCCAGTTAACCTGGGCCTGGAGGCTCCTGGCCCCAGCTCATCCCCACCCTGACTTCCACCCTCCCATCCCCTGCTCACCACGTCCCTTCCTTTCGCTGGGCCGGTGTGGCCGGAAAACAACCCGTCTCCCGAGGCCTCGCCTGCAGCTGTGAGCGAGTGTCAGGGCTGGGTCACGTAGGCCAGGCCCTCCGCCCAGCAGGAGAGGTGGGGCCTGGGCAGAGGCTGTGCGTTCTGGATATTCACAGCCCTCCGCCCCCAGACTCCCGCGCAGTGGCCTCGGTGGGACTTCACCTGTCGCTTTTGGCTCCTCCAGCCCAGGCCTTTCCCATGCATCCTGGCCTGGAGTCAAGTGACTGAGAAACCAGACCCCAGAGGCCAGGACTGCCACCCTCTAGTACCTTCCCCGCTAGGGGACACGTGGCCCATCACTGTCTCTTCTTCCAGAGGTCCTGGGCCTGAGCAGGGAGCCCCAGGCTGGGTTTCTGCTCCAGGCCCGTTTGCCGCCCAGGCCATGGATGCAGGCCCCCTCTGCGTGCCGGGCCTGGCCTCTTCTCACTGCCCTCCTCTCCTGAGACAGGTCTCCTGGAACACGGCCGCAACTGGTCGGCCATCGCCCGGATGGTGGGCTCCAAGACTGTGTCGCAGTGTAAGAACTTCTACTTCAACTACAAGAAGAGGCAGAACCTCGATGAGATCTTGCAGCAGCACAAGCTGAAGATGGTGAGCCCCCAGTCACGCTGCACCGCGCCTCTGGGAAGCTGGGAGAGGAGCCCAGACTGCCTCAGGAGATGTCTCTGCACCCCAGGAGGCATGGGCCAGGGAGGGGCTATTATGCCGCCTTGTTAGAACTCAGCTTCTGGGGGTTCAAGCCCGGGAGTACCCCGAGATGGCTGCAGGCGGCAATGCTGCTATGAGTGTCCCTGCCTTGGAGACGGGCCGGGCCAGGCTGCCCTCCACCCCCACCCTGCACCCCACTCCTCTCAGACAGACACCTCTGGGGGCCCTCAGCCCTGTCTCACGGTGTGGGGGAAGGAGCGCGGTGGACCAGACTGACTCAGCCAGGAATTCGGGCTGTCAGCGCGTTGGAATGAGGACCCGGAGGCAAATGGGTCCTGAGCGAGTGGCTCCCCTGCCCCATTTGACCTCACAGCTTTAGGGCTGCCGTGGTTGGGGAGGGACAGGTCTGGGGGGGCGGGGGCGGACGTCTCAGCCCCAGCATCCTGGAGGGCTTGAGGCAGGCCACGGGAGGCTGAGACCCTTCCCTCCTCCACAAGCACAGAAGGTGCAGGCTCGCCTCGCCAGCGTGTAAATGGCCTCTGAGGAGCAGCCGCTTCTTCCACAGCTGTTTCTGGGAATTGAGGAGCATTTTGGGGAGACCTCTGCTGCCTTCCCTCTCTCCTTCCCTTCCTCCTCCTTCCCTTCCTCCCTCCTTTCTCCCTCTTTGACACACTTGCCAAGCATTGTCCCCTTTTTGGAGCTGGGGAAACTGAGGCTTAGCCAGGCTCATGTGCGACTGAATTGCGATATGCACCCACAGTTATGAGATCAGCACCCACGCTCTTCATCGCTAGGCTGCGTGTTTCCTCATCGATACAGAAGCACTGAGGGAGGGGTTGCATAGCTCCCCTCCCCCAGGACTACTCCTCCCCCCGCCACTCCCAAACCATGACATCGGGCTGCCTTGTGCCTGGGTGTAAAGTGTGTGCAGTGGGTTCCGGGCAGGCCATGCTGAATTGCTCCCTCAGTGCAACCTGCTGAGGCCCAGAGAGGGTGAGCAGGCTGTGAGGTCACACAGCCTGCAGTGGGAGGACCAGGTATAGCCTCCCCCTGTTTGAACTCCGCCCAAGCACTGTGCAGAATTTAAGGACATCCTTCCACCCTCCCGAGTGGGTTCTTAGTGAGTCATGTGTGCGCGCGGCCGCTGGTGGCTCCGGGACCGAGGGGCCACGGTCCCACGGCCCTGTGGTCAGGGCTGAGATCCACCCTCTGGCCTCAGGGAGGCCCCTCCCCATCACTTCCAGTTAAGCAGTGCCCCGCGTGCCCTCCACATTGGCCCCTGGGATTTGTCCCCAGAGCTCAGGGCTTCAGGCAGCGCCTTTTCCTTCTGGATGCTTCGGGCCTTCTGGTTGGGTGTGGAGGAAGGCACCGCATCTGGCTGAATGTGCAGAACCCCGTCCCTAACACTTGCTGAAGTCCCTTGTGGCAAAGAGGGCCTGAGCCAGAGCAGCCTGGGGGCGCAGAAGGGGGCCTGGGCCGGGGGATGTTGTGGGCCATTGATTCTGTCAGCCAGGTCAGGAGTCTGAGGTGGTTCATCCAGGATGACTTGGGGGCAGGGCTTTGGCCCTGAGCATCTCCCCAGGAACAAAAAGGGCCTCCTGCTTTCTCCCCAGCTGTCCTTTCACTTTCTCTCTCCTCCCCCCGCCTCCCCTCTCTGGGGCTCCCTCCGCCTGTCCCCCTCACCCCACGACCATGGACGTCTCCCCCCGCTGCAGCCTGCTGCCACACAGCCTGGCTTTCCAGGCTTCCGCAGGGTGTGGCCCCACTGTACCCCTAGAGACTCCAAAACCTGAGAGTGGCTTGGAGGACCAGAGACCCCAGCACGGTGAACCATCCCATTAGGCCCAGGGCGAGACTGGGGTCAAGGCCCAGCTTGTGGATTTGGGCACCCCTGTGACCTTGGGCAGTGAATTCAGCCTTCTAAGCCTCAGTTTCCCCATCTGTAAGGTAGGAGAATAACAGTTGTTATCCAAGAGGTCCTATGAGGAGTGAACGAGTGATTACCTGTGAGGTCCTTAGTGCCTGCCAGAGGGGCAGCGCTCCGGGAGGGCGACGTGCCCTAGTTACTCTTACTGCTGTGGTTATTGTTATTTTATCTGGATGCCATCTACCCCCTTCTCAGGGCCACCTGAGGCCCCCTCTTTTTTTTTTTTTGAGTTGGAAGGTTTTATTAGACTAGGAGATTTGTGGGAGGTATGAGCACTGGGCCAAGGTGGCACGGGCCATGCTTAAGGCACCCTGTTGAGTGTGGTGACCACCAGTGAAGCCGCTGGCGTGGACGAACATGCAGCCAGAGATCCCACTGACGAGGGCGCCTCTTGAACGGTGCGTGCAGGCACAGCCACAGTGTGCTATGGGTTGGGAGCAGGGACTGGGCCCAGGAGAGCTGAGTTTGAACGTAGGCTCTGCCACCTACTAGCTGTGTGGCCTTGGGGAAGTGACCTGTGCTCTCTGTGCCTCAGTTTCCCCATCTGTGAAATGGGGACAATAATGGAACCCACTTCAAAGGGCTGTTATGGGAATACACTGGGTGGCTGCCTGCAGAGTGCTGGGAATGCGGCCTAGTATGCCCCAGACACTCTGCTAGTGAGAGCTGTGATGGTGCTGGTGGTGGCACACTCACGATTGATTGATTCATTCATTCATTCATCCATTCATTCAAAGAGGCATCCCAGAAGGATGGTGCAGAGCAGGGCTTTGGAGCTGGTGGCTTTGTACCCCAGCTCTGCCGCTTAGTGACTGGGTCCAAGGATACTGGGCTTCACCTCTCCGTGCTTCAGTTTCCACCTCTGTAAAATGGGGATAAGAATGGGACCCAGTCGTAGGGCTGTTGAAGAACAAGTGTGTTTCTTTTTGTAAAGGGTGGTGCCTGGTCCTTGGTCAGCCCTCAATAAGCATTCAGTATTATCCTCACTGTCCATTCAGCAGCCCCATATTCAGCGCCTGCTGTATCCCAGGGAAGCAATGGCAGCTGCCCTGAGGGCAGAGACATGGATGGGGTTTTCCTGCTGGGCTGTGGAGCTAACACTTCGTTAGTGGACCGTGGAGGGAGTGGGGGCTGCATTGAAGGATTCTGAGCTGAGACACAGCCCCCATCCAGGGCTGGACTCAAAGTGGGTCGTCCTAGTGTCGATGAAAGTGATTCTGATCCGAATGACACAGTCAAAGCTGATAAAGAAGGTGGCCCTTCTGTCCCCTGACGCTGAAGACTCTGGAGGCGTGGACAGGAGGGGACCCCGAGATCCAGGTTGGGACCTGGATGAGAATGAGTGATTTGGGAGTGTGGGGTTGGTTCTCGCTCCTGGCCGACCTTGAAGGAGCACCCTCATATCGCGGGCTGCAGAGAAAGCGGAGCAGATGCAGGGACCCACTACAGGAAGTGGGGCTCAGGCCAGGCCATCCGTCTTGACAGTAGCCGTTCTTGGTGTAGTGGTGAGCTCCCCATCGCTGCAGTAAGCAAGCAGGTCTCACCAGGAGAGGTGCCGCTGAACCTGGTGACCTCCACCTCCTGCCCCTCCCCTGTGCCTTTCAGTCCCAGGGAGGAGGGCATATCCCAGTGAATCCTAACGCAGTATCAGCCACCTCTGGCTGCTGGCCCAGCCCTGTCTGGAGTACAGGAAGACATGTCACCCTTGGCCAGAGAAGGAAGGAGTGGGGAAGCAGAGGGTCAGTGGGTGTCCCCTCCCGCCTTGCACTAGGTCTGGCCCGAGTGTGGCCGCAGGCGACGTCAGCAGGAAGCAGGATCCGGCGGCCGGGCGGGCGGGGCATGTCCCGGAGTTATGTAACACTTGGCATCAGTGTCTTCTACGAGGTTTCCCTCCCCCTCCTTATGGCCGAAGGTTACCCTTTTCTCCCATCTGTGAATTCAGGCCCCTGGGGCTCGGCTTCCACGTTCCTCAGTCTCTGTCCGCCTCAGCCTTGGCCCAGCCCCGCCTTGTTTTCTGCTGTTAATCTCTTCTACCTGAGGCTGCACAGGCCTGCAGAGAGATGGTCCAGCCACGAAATGTTTGAAGCTGGCCTGCATTCAAATCTGAGCTCCTCAACTCATGAGCTGTGTGGTCTTGGGCAAGTGTCTTTGCCTCTCTGAGCCATTGTCACTGTCTATCAGGTTCATTCATCTAAAGACATAGTTACAGAGCGTCTGTTCTGTGCTAGACACTGTTCCAGGTATGGTGGGAATACAGCAGAGAACAAAGATCCCAGCCCTTGAGGAGCTGGTGCGAGAGACAGGTTCACACACTCAATTTCAGAATGGAGTCTGAAGATGCTATGAGAAGAATGTAGTAGAAAGTGATTGATGGTGGGGGTGGGAGGGATGAGCTAATGATGGAGTGATCAGGGAAGACCTCTCTGATGTCTGAGCTAAGGCCCGAAGGAGGTGAGGAAGTGAGTTATGCAGATATCTAGGGGAAGGGTGTCCAGGCAGGGGAACAGCCAGTGTAGAGGCCCTGTGGCTGGGGCAGCGAGCAGGGAGGGCAGTGTGTTTGTAGCACAGTCTCTGAGGAGGGGAGAGGGGAGAGCAGCTTGGAGAGGCAGGCAGGG